>NC_000002.12:84749926-85055309 GCF_000001405.40 Homo sapiens
TAGATTAGAAGAGACTTAGGAGACAAAATAATCTCTATGTATAAGCTTTATTTAGATCCTAACTTAACATACTAAATATACATAATTACATACTATTAAATATACACAATAACATACCATTATTTAAACATACGCTCACATACATTTATAATTTATTCAGGGAAATGTGAACACTACATATTTGATAATATTAAGGAATTATTGTTAATTTTTTAGATGTAATTGTGGTACTGTGATTATGGTTTTTTTGTTTGTTTGGTTTGGTTTTTTTTTTTTTTTTTTGGAGATGGAGTCTCTCTCTGTTGCCTGGGTGGGAGTGCAGTGGCATGATCTCCACTCACTGCAACCTCTGCTCAAAGGATCCTCCCACTTCAGCCTCCCAAGTAGCTGGGACCACAGACATGTACCACCACGCCCAGCTAATTTTTGTATTCTTTTTGTAGAAATGGGGTTTTGCCATGTTACCCAGGCTGGTCTTGAACTCCTGAGCTCAGGGGTTCCTCCCATCTTGGCCTCCCAAAGTGCTGGGATTACAAGTGTGAGCCACCATGCCTGGCCTATGTGGTTATACTTTTTTAAAGAGACTTTGTCTTGTAGAAACATATTGAATTACTAAAGGATAAGATCATATGACGCCTTAGATTTACTTTAAAATAATCCTAGAGGCTGAGGGAGTGGGTGGGTGTGTTAATGAAATAAGATTGGCCTTGTACTAAAAAATGTTGAAGGTGGGTGAAGCATCAAGTTCACTATTCTCTCATTTTATATTTACTTGAAATTTTCCATAGTAAAAAAATATTTTGACTCTTAGTCACATCCTTGAACACCTAAACTCTCTTGCAACATGTATAACATAGCTGTCCACATGTGACCAAAGCTACAAACAGTAGACACTGTCATACCAAATTCACAGAGGTTTCATTGAAAATTCTTATCAATGCCTTCAACCAAAAACCTTACCCAGGTTATGATACCAAACAGTTGGTAGCATATATTCACAAATCAATACTAATCAGAACCCAGATTAGGTTTCAGAAATTAAGAGCTAGACACCCATTCCAGAGAACACAGGAACCTGGATCAGCCAAGACCAAGGACAGTATCACCTGAAGAAAAGATTCAAGTATGACAGTGTTGTCCCAGCTACACCTCCTACCAATTAGAGTCCTCATCAAAGCATTTAGGAACAATCCTTACCCTGCTATTGATGCCAAAGAACAACTTGCTGAAGAAATTGGGGCTCAAGAGTGAAGAATCCAAATTCCATTTCAAAACTGAAGATCTGGATTCCCTGACTAGAGAAAAAGAGTATGTGAAGAAGCCTTATAACTAAGACAAGACTAGAAACAAGACCTCTGTGATGAGAGAGTTCAGGATAACCAAACTGTTGTTTCCAGGTCTGTTCACAAGCGGAGCTTATTGGGTGACCAGTGCCTCTATATGGTGGAATCAACTGCTCTATTGGGAGAAGGAGGATAGTCCAACAAAGTGGCTTCTGTGGGAAACTCTAGTTTTACACAAAAACCAAGCCTTCTTCATAAATAGTGTGTTTAGACCTAAAGATAAAATTTCATTTCAAAAACTCTTAGTAAGCCCCATGGTATAGGCTCATTAGAACTGCAACAGGAAATAGAATGCTTGTCATCCCAATAATTCTTTCTTTGGCATCAATAGTATCAACTTCTCAGGAAAAGGTTATTAGGAATTTGAACTAGAAAGAGAAAAAAACTACCGTAATTCAGAGATGAATAAAGCTTGCTTGATAGAGAATAATTCATCACCACAGAACAAAGCTAAGACAAGTTCTCTACACCAGTGTTCTCAAATTTTGGTGTACATCAGAATCATTTGGGGGTCTTGTTAAAACAGACTCCTGGGGCCCATCCCCCAGTTTCTGATTCAGTAGGTCTGGGCTAAAGACCAAGAACCTGCATTTCTAACAAGTTACCACGTGATGCTAATGCTGCGGATTTTGCAAACATACTTTGAGAACCACTGTTTTAAGGTGATTAAATATACATAAGGAGAAACTGTTTTCAAAGCTGTCAGAGAGATGAGGTCATACATCGTTCCCTGAAGCATCTTGGTTTCCAAGGCTAAATCCACTGGGAACTCAAATGTTGGCAGGACTGGTGTTTCCATCCAGGTTTCCTCCACCTCACAAAGAAGGCAGTTTCTGTGACAGCTGGTTTTCTCTGTTGAAAACCATAGAGAAACCAGAATTATGATGAATCTCACTTAGAGCAACAATTGCAAGTTTTTCCCAATTTGGTAAAACCCAGATGTATGAATGCAGTGTTAAGTCCTTATTGTTAATTCTGCCATGTGCTGACTATTTATTTAAGCAGAATATCCCATGGAAGAAAATTCCCCAAAAGAGTCTCGTTGATGCTTGGCACAACTACTTGCTAAGTAAGAAAGATCTCTATATCATACAGATTAAGCAAGAGTTACTTGAAAATGTTAAAAATGCCACGTTAGCTGTCACAGACATACTCTTTGATCATGTGTAGTAACAACAATTCTAACAACTTTATTGAGGGATAATTTACTTATTATACAATTCACCCATTTAAGATATTCACTTCAATGGCATTTAAGATCTTCACAGAGTTGTGCAACCATCACAATTTAGAGCATTTTAATAACCCCCCGAAAAAACGCCATACCCATAGCCGTCATCCCCCAGTGCCATCATCACCAACACTAGTCTACTTCTGTCTCTACAGATTTGCCTATTCTGTTTTTTTTGTATCCTGTCCTTTCATTTAACATAATATTTTAAAGATTCGTCTCTGTTGTATCAAGTGTCTGTACTTCATTCCCTTTTATTGCAAATAATATACTATTGCGTGGATATGCCACATTTTATATATTCATTCTCAGTTGATGAACATTTATGTTGTTTCCACTTTCTGACTATTATGAATAATGCTGCCATAAACATTTGTGTACAAGTTTTTGTGTGGACATGGGTTTTAATTTATCTTATGTATTTACTTAGTGAAATTGCTGCATTATATGGTATGTTTAACTTTTTGATGAACTGCCAGACTGTTTTCCTAAAAGGCTGTATCATTTTACATTCCCACCATCAGTGTATGAGGGTTCCAATTTCTCCACACCCTCACAACATTTGTTATTATCTTTTTTATTATAGCCATCCTAGTGGGTGTGAGATGGTACCTTATGACTTTGATTTGCATTTCCCTAATGATAATGAGCATCTTTTCTTGTGCTTTTTGGCTATTTGTGGAACTGTCTATTCAGATTCTTTACCATTTTAAACTGGATTATTTGTCTTTTTATCATGCAGTTGTAAAAGGTTTTTTTTAATATCCTAGCTACAAGTTTCTTATCAGATATATGATTTGCAAGAATGTTCTCTCATCCTATGGGCTGTCTTTTCGCTTTCTTGGTAGTGTCCTTTTGAAGCACAAAAGCTTTTAATTTTGATGATGTCCAGTTTATCTATTTTTTTTTCTTCTGTTGCTTGTGCTTTTAATGTCACAACTAAGAAACCATTGCCTAATCCAAGGTCATAAATATTTACACCTATGTTTTCTTCTGAGAATTTAGCCAGCACTTTGGGAGGCCAAGGCAGGCAGATCACCTGAGGTCGGGAGTTCGAGACCAGCCTGACCAACATGGAGAAACCCCGTCTCTACTAAAAATACAAAATTAGCCAGGTGTGGTGGTGCATACCTGTAATCCCAGCTACTCAGGAGGCTGAGGCAGGAGATTGGCTTGAACCCAGGAGACAGAGGTTGTGGTGATCCAAGATCACACCATTGCATTCCAGCCTGGGCAACAGGAGTGAAACTCTGTTAAAAAAAAAAAAAAAAAAAAAAAAGTACAGTTTTGGCTCTTACATTTAGATCTTTGATACATTTTGAGTTAATTTTTTTTTTTTTTTTGAGACATAGTCTCACTCTGTCGCCAGGCCGGAGTGCAGTGGCACAATCTCAGCTCACTGCAACCTCCACCTCCCAGGTTCAAGTGATTCTCCTGCCTCAGCCTCCCAAGTAGCTGGGACTACAAGTGTGCACCACCACGCCCAGCTAATTTTTGTATTTTTAGTAGAGATGGGGTTTACCATGTTGGCCAGAATGGTCTCCATCTCTTGACCTCAGGATCCACCTGCCTTGGCCTCCCAAAGTGCTGGGATTACAGGTGTGAGCCACCACGCCTGGCCTTGAGTTAATTTTTGTATATGATGTCAAGTGTGAAGTAAGAGTCCAACATTCTTTTTTTTTCTTTTCTTTTCTTTTTGACGGAGTTTTGCCCTTGTCGCCCAGGCTGGAGTGCAATGGCACGATCTCGGCTCACTGCAACCTCCACCTCCTGGGTTCAAGCAATTCTCCTGCCTCAGCTTCCCAAGTAGCTGGGATTACAAGTGGCCACCACCACACCTGGCTAATCTTTTTGTATTTTTAGTAGAGACAGATTTCACCATGTTGGCCAGGCTGGTCTCGAACTCCTGACCTCAGATGATCCACCAGCCTTGGCCTCCCAAAGTGCTGGGATTACAGGCCTGAGCCACCACGCCTGGCCCCAACTTCATTCTTTTGCATGTTGCTACCAGTTGTCACAGCATCATTTGTTGAAAGACTACTCCTTACCCATTGAATGATTCTGGCAGCCTTGCTGAAAATCAGTTGACTACAATTGTGAGAGTTTTTTTCTGAATTTTCAATTTTATTCCATTAGCCTATATGTCTATCCTTATTCCAATGTCACACCATCTTGATTACTGCAGCTTTGAAGTAAGTTTTACAATCCAGTAGCATGACTCCTCCAACTTTGTTTTCCTTTTTCAAGATCGTTTTGGCTATTCCAGGTCCCTTGAACTTTCACATGAGTTTTACAATGAGCTTGTCAGTTCCTGAAAAGAAGCCAGCTAAGATTTTGATAAGAATGGCATTGAACCTGAAGATCAATTTGGGGAATATTTACCTCTTAACAACATTAAGTCATCTGATCTATGAACATGTGGTGTTTTTCCACTTATTTGGATCTTCTTTAACTTTATCCAACAATATTTCATAGTTCTCAGAGAAGAAGTTTTATACTTCTTTTGTTAAACTTATTTTTAAGCAATCTATTCTTTCTGATACTATTGTAAATTGAATTGCTTTCTTAATTTTTGCTATGATTTAAATGTGTTCCCCAAAGTTCCTTTATTAGAAACTTATCCCCAGTACAGCAGTGTTAAGCAGTGATTAGATCATGAGGACTCTGAGCTCATGAATGGGTTAATGTCATTGTCATATGAGTGATTTAGTTATCACAAGAATGGGCTTCTTATAAAAGCAAGTTTGGGCCTCTCTTGCTGTCTTGCTCTCTTGCCCTCTCTTGCCTTTCTGCCCTGCACCATGGAATGAGACAATATAGAGGCCCTTGTCAGATACCGTATCATGCTCTTGGACTTCAGCCTCCAGAACCATAAGCCAAATAATTTATTTTCTTTATAAATTACCCAGTCTCAAGTATTCTATTATAGCAGCACAAAACAGACTAAAACCATTTTCTCCCTTCTCATTACTACTGTATAGAAATACAGTTGATTTTTGTATCCTGTAATCTTGCCTAACTTGTTTATTGGTTTTAATAGTTTTTGAGTGAGTTCCCTAGTGTTTTGTATATACAAAATCATGTCACCTTCAAATAAAGATAAATTTACTTCTTCTTTTCCAATCTAGATGCTTTTATTTTTCTTACTTAATTGCCCTAGATAGAACCTACAACACAATGTTGAATAGATGTTATAAGAGCAGATCCTTGCCTTGTTCCTGATCTTAGAAGAAAAGCATTCAGTCTTTCATCATTAACCATGATGTTAGCTGTCAACTTTTCATGGATATCTTCTATGGTTTGGCTGTGTCCCCACCCAAATCTCATCTTGAATTCTCATGTGTTGTGGGAGGGACCCAGTGGGAGGTAATTGAATCACGGGAGCAAATCTTTCCCGTGCTGTTCTCGTGACAGTGAATAAGTCTCACGAGATCTGATTGTTTTAAAAAAGAGGAGTTCCCCTGCGCAAGCATTCTCTCTTTGCCTGCTGCCATCCATGTAAGGCGTGACTTGCCATGCCATGATTGTGAGGCTTCCCCAGCCACGTGGAATTGTAAGTCCAATTAAACCTCTTTCTTTTGTAAATTGCCCAGTCTTGGGTATGTCTTTATCAGCAGCGTGAAAATGGACTCATACACTATCCCTTATCAGGTTGAGGAAGTTCTCTTCTATATTCCTAGTATGTGGAGTGTTTCTCTCAAGAATTTTTAGGCCACTATTTGGATCAAGTGAAGGAAGACAGAAAAATTAAATAAATCGTGGAAGACTAATATTGAACTTGAGAAAGAAAGTTTACTTTGATGGATTTTTGCTGATAATACTGCTACAAGAGTATGCAATAATTATTACCAATTTAAAGTTTGAGTTACTGTAATTCTCATAACCTGTTTAATGACCTATCCATTAGCCTTCTACAAGGAAAAATACACTTCCTTATTCCACTTAACATTCTCTTATTTTTTCTGTAGGTCTCAGGAACTTGAGTATGATGCTAAGAAGTGTAAGGACAAGGGTTCTATCATAATGCACAATTTCAGTAGGTCACCCAGGATTCTGATAGGTCACCTAATACACTATAGCTTTAATAAGATTTGTCACTAGTGAAGGATGAGCAGGGAATCCTTATTCCCAAATATTTAAACTTATCTTCTCATCCAAAGAAAACACAGAACCATGCCCTTTCTCTGGGCAGGGAATTCCCAGTCACAGAGAAGTTTTCAGTGGTGAATTTGTGCACTCACCCATCAATACCTTCAAAAAAGTATTCCTCTGAAGCCAGGAATTGCCTTTGGAAATGCCAGATGGCTTCTGATGGAAAGGATAAACTGAAAAATGCTCTGAGGGCTTCAGTCAGAGACTGTGTGAAGGATCAAACAGCAAATCTAAAAAGAGGGTTTTAAGCAAAACATAATAGAGTCACATATATCATAATGGGAAATTTACTTTTATAAAAAAGAGAGAGGAGCTCCTAGCAAAGAACTTGGTGATAAAGAGGGAAGAGATTGACCATTCTCTAATGATCCCGCAATCCAGACATGGGATTTTGCAGAGGGTGATCTTTAAGAAATGCCTGTATATCTAGGCCTTATAGATTATAAGAAATCCAAGCCATTTCCACAGCAAATTCTTGCCATTACTGCCATCAAGATCTCCATGAGAATAGGACAGAAAAATATCCAAAAGAGGCACAGGGAGAAGTTGATCAGTTCCAGCCATGTGATATGAAGAAGCCCTTGAGGACCAAGCAGGTCAGTGTCACTATCTAGGAACCTACAGCAGCACAGTACAGTGGAGCACAGAGAGAAAGACCTCAGCATAACTACAGAGTTAAGTCCACTGCAAGTGCACTGCAGGATGGCAAGACTTTCCTGGGTAGAGTGAGATCTGATACGGACTTTGAAAGTCAGGAAATGTATATACAGACTGCACAAAAGCTAAAGCTGAAGAACTGATCAAAAATGTCAAGCCAGGAAATCTTCCATACTCCTGCCATCTCAGCATGTTCATAAGGAAACACTCTCTATTCAGGCCATTATGCCACTGATGGTTTCAACATCAGGAAGCAGGCCTGGTTCATTTATACTGACTAGAATAACTAAAATCAAAGAAGTGACTAACTAAGATAGGAGTTACTATGTTATCTTTTGTATGAACAAGATCTTTAATACACTATTGTAAACAGCAGAGAACTCTAAA
Source organism: Homo sapiens (assembly GCF_000001405.40). Lineage (NCBI taxonomy): Eukaryota > Metazoa > Chordata > Mammalia > Primates > Hominidae > Homo > Homo sapiens. Next base: position 84,757,697 of record NC_000002.12, read on the forward strand.
CCACCTAATACGAAAGTGGGAAGAACCATTTAGCAATGATTGTGAGATACAACCCTTGGGCTGGCATGCATACATAACTCACTTCTATGGTACAGCCCCTTCTTCCACCTGAGAATCATTCACCTTCCACCTTCCTGAGAGACAACTATCACCGGGACAAATCAAAGGACAGGAAACCGCATGCTAATTCTGCAGGAATCCTCTTCATGGCTTTAACTGATGCATCTCCTTTCTGTATTTTATGTACTTAACCATGTTCTTGGGTATATGTATTGGGTGACTAGAGCCCACATGAGGGTATGTTTTATGCACATTTATTTTCTGCATATTTAAAATGTTTCATAAAGAAAATTAGTTCACATACATGAGAAATTGCACATGTTACATATGCTTGTAACAGACCAATAGCTTGTGATAAAGCCACTGAGAACCAAGATCACTATGTAATATTAATGACAGTTTGTCCTGTTTGCGAGAAAAATATTTCTCCAACTTTTTAAGTTCAAAAGCATTTCATGAGTGTGTTACCATTTTGGTATTTAAATAGCAACCCCAAGAAATAAGTTATTTGTGTTTTGTATATTGTAATTCATTGTAAACTCTTGGAACACTTTTCAGCAAAGTAAAAAGCAAATGGTTTATATAATCAAGGCCTTTTGAAATAAAAACTATAAAAGAAGTTGTTCCAAAAATAGAGAAGGAGGGAATTCTCTCTAATACATTCTATGAGGCCAGTATTATCCTGATACCAAAACCAGATAAGGACACAACAAAAAAAGAAAAATATAGACCAATATCCCTGATAAATATAGACTCAAAAATCCCCAACAAAATGCTAGCAAACTAATTCAATGGTACATCAAAAAGATAATATAATATAAAGATAATATCAAAAAGACAATATCAAGTGGGTTTTATCCAGGGATGCAAGGATGATTTAACGTATGCAAATCAATAAATGTGATACATCACATAAACAGATTTAAGGACAAAAATCATATGATCATCTCAATAGACTCAGAAAAGCATTGATAAAATTCAGCACCCCTTCATGATAAAAACCCTCAACAAATTAGGCATAGAAGGAACATATCTCAAAATAACAAAGCCCATGTAAGATAACCTCACAGCCAACATTACATTGAATGAGGAAAAGTTGAAAACATTTCCTCAAAAATCTGGAAGAAAACAAGGATGCCCACTTTTACCACCTGTCTTCAACATAGTACTAGAGTCCTAGCCAGAGCAATCAAGCAAGAGAAAGAAGTAAAAGGCATACAGTTTGAAAAAGATGAAGTCAAATTATTCCTGTTTATTGATGATATGGTATAGTATGATATATCCAAAAAATAAAATTTAAAACTTCACCAAAAACGCTTAAATTTGATAAATGAATTTAGAAAGTTGCAGAATACAAAATCAACATACGAAAATCAGTAGCATTTCTAGATATTGATAATGATCTAGCTGAGAATGAAATTAAGAAGGTAAACCCATTTATAATAGCTACCAAAAAAAAAAAAATACCTGGCTGGGCGCAGTGACTCACACCTGTAATCCTCACACTTTGGGAGGCCAAGATGGGTGGATTGCCTGAGCTCAGGAGTTCGAGACCAGCCTGGGCAACATGGCAAAACCCTGTCTCTACTAAAAATACAAAAAATTAGCCAGATGTGGTGGTGCTTGCCTGTGATCCCAGCTACTTGGGAGGCTGAAGCTGGAGAACTGCTTGAACCCAGGAGGCAGAGGTTGCAATGACCCAAGATTGTGCCACTGCACTCCAGCCTGGGCGACAGAGCAAGACTCTGTCTCAAAAAGCAAACGAACAAAAAAAACCCAATACCTAGGAATATATTTAACCAAGGAAGTGAAAGATCTCTACAAAAAAAACTACAAAACACTGAAGAAAGAAATTGTGAATGACAGAAATAAATGGAAAAACATCTGATGCCCATGGATAAGAAGAATTACTATCAATAAAATGACCATACTGTCCAGAGCAATCCACAGATTCAATGTAAACCCTAAAAAATACCAACATCACTTTTCACAGAATTAGAAAAAGCAATCCTAAAATTATGTGGAACCAAAAAAGACCCCAAATAGCCAATGCAATCCTAAGAAAAAAGAAAAAAGCTGGAAGCATCACATTATCTGACATCAATTATATTACAAGGCTATAGTAGCCTTGTAATAAATGAAGTGCTGACATCAAATTATATTACAAGGCTATAGTAATGAAAACAGCATGGCACTGTTATAAAAATAAATACATAGATCAATGGAACAGAATAGAAAACCCAGAAATAAAGCCACATATTTGCAGCCAACCAGTCTTTGGCAAAGTCAACAAGAACATACAATAGGAAAAAGACACCTCTTTCAGTAAATGGTGGTGGGAAAATTGGATTGCCATTTGCAGAAGAATGAAACTGGATCCCTATCTCTCACTATATACAAAAACCAACTAAAGATGAACTAAAGACTTAAAAGTAAGACCTGAAACTATAAAAATACTAGAAGAAAACCAAGGGAAACTCTTCTTGACATTGGTCTAGGCAAAGAATTAATGACTAAGACCTCAAAAGCACAGGCAACAAAAAATAGGCAAATGGGACTTAATTATCTAAGAAGCTTCTGCTCGGCAAAAGAAATAATCAGCAGAATAAATGAATAATCTGCAGAATGGGAGAAAATACTTGCAAACTATGCATCTGACAGGGGACTAATATCCACAATACACAAGGAACTCAACAACAATAACAAAGAAAAGAGATAATCCAATTAAAAAACAGGCAAAGGGACATAAATAGACATTTTTCAAAAGACATACAAATGGCTAACAGGTATATGAAAAATACTCAACATCACTAATCATCAGAGAAATGCAAACTAAAACCACAATGAGATATTATCATACCCCAGTTAGAATAGCTATTACTAAAAAGTAAAAAAATAACAAATGTGAGTGAAGATGCAGAGAAAAGGGAATACACATTTCCACTCTTTGTGGGAATGTAAATTAGTGCAACCTCCATGGAAAACAGTATTTAAAAAAATTTTTTTTGAGGCATGATCTCACTCTGTCACCCAGGCTGGATTGCAGTGGCACAATCACAGCTCACTGCAATCGCAAATTTCTGGGCTCAAACAATTCACCTGCCTCGACCTCCTGAAGTGCTGGGATTACAGGCATGAGCCACCATGCCTGGCAGAGATTTCGCAAAGAAGTAAAAAGAACTATCATTTGATCCAGCAGTCTCACTACTAGGTATCTACCCAAAGGAAAGGAATCAATATATCAAAAAGATAATTGCACTCATATGTTTATCACAACACTGTTCACAGTAGCAAAGACATGGAATCGACCTACATGTCCATCAATGGATGACTGGATAAAGAAAATGTCATATATATACACAGTTGAATACTATATTCGACCATAAAAATATATAAAATCATGTCTCTTGCAGCAACGTAGATGGCACTGGAGACCACTGTCTTAATTGAAACAAGTAAGACACAGAAAGGCAAATATCACATGTTCTCACTCAGAAGGGAGAGCTAAATATTATGTACACATGAATGTAGAGAAAGGGATGGTAGACAATGGAGACTCAGAGGGGTGAGAAGGTGGGAAGGGGATGGAGGATAAAAAAAAAATTACTTAATGAGCACAGTGTACATTATTCAGGTGATGGAAACCCTAAAAGCTGTGACTCAACCACTAATGTAGTCTACACATGTAACAAAATTACTTTTACCCCATAAATTTATACAGAAAAGAGTGTCCACCCAAAAAAAATATAAAGAAATTGATGCTGGAAAGGTTAAGTGAATTATACTTAGCCACACAGTAACACAACTAGAAGTAGAACTAAGCTCCAAACGTGATGGCCCTATTGCATAGCTGTTCCTTCTAGACCTTTACACCTTTATAGTTAGTACCATAATACATCCTCACTTAAAGGAACAGGCATGTGAACACCATCTTTTCCCAAGTTGGCCACAGAAGGGTGTGATCCAAGGCCATGGCCCTAGACCAGGTTGGGACACCTCCCTGCCCAACAGCATTACATACACACACACACATACACACACACACACACACACACACACACACACAGAATAAGGCTTGTTTGGACAGAACGGTGTTGATAGCTAGTGGAGGGCTAAGGGGAGGGCTGCTGTTAACAGTTATGCAGGATGTCCACTGAATAACCCATGGGGGAGCCATTCACATTGTAGATATTATAGGCTGTGTATTTATCATGACAGCTTTCTGGCACATTAAAAGTCCCTTGAAGAGGAGACACCTTTTTCTATCTCACACAAAGGCTCCATATGGGTTGGGGAGGGACAAGGCCAGCAAGAACAGGAATGGGGTAGGTAGGGTAGGGTAGGATCAGTGAAAGAACCAAATTGATGTAGGAAATGGCCAGGCCTGGGCGTAATCATCAAGGCTGAGGTTGGTTCCAGAGAAGGGTCAGAAGAGGCTGGTGAGTGAATGAGATGAAGAAAGGGAGACAATAAATGGAGCCAATTTTCTGAAAAGTTGGCTTGTGAGTGCTTACAAAGAAATGAAATAGTGGCTGGAAAAGTAGCTGCCATCAAGGGAAGATCTCTGTTTTGGTTTTATTTTTAAGGATGGAATATAGTAATGCTTAATTGTATGATGATAGGAATATCAAGGAAACAGAGATCAATAATGCAGAAAGAGACAATGGAGGGGCTGAAAGTAAAGTCCACAAGAATGTGAAACAGGACAGAAGAAGCAAGGAAGGGGAGACAGCAGCTTCATAAATAGAGTGAATGTTGAGGGACTTCCCTCTTACCTAATATTTCATCCTGCTTGTGAGTCATGAGAACCATAGCTGTCCACAGATATTTGGTGAACAAATCCACCAAACAATATCTATAAAAAGATGTATACCCAATCAAGACAGAATAAGTACAAAAACACAGGACACCAACCTCTGAGGAGCTGAAGGAGAAAATTAGGATAAAATTATGAAGGATCCTCATTCAACATACTTTTTTTTTCTTTTCAACTTTCAGGTGGTTTTTGCTCTTACAGACTTTGTGATAGAAAATCTTGGAAAACAGTTTATAGAGACACCACCTGTGGACCTGCCTACCCTGTATCAAGACATGTCATGCAACACTCCCCTGGTATTCATCCTAAGCACAGGCTCAGATCCCATGGGTGCATTTCAGAGGTTTGCCAGGGAAAGTGGATATTCAGAACGGTAAGTTCATGTTGTGCAGTTTTAATAATGCAAATGCATATGAACATCTCTTTGTTAAAATTTGCCTTTGTTCTTCCCCTTGTAGAGCATAAATTCTTACATTCAGGTATCACTTACTACATAAATTTAAGATATGTTAATAGTTAGCTATTGTTAAAACAGGGTCAAAAGTCATAAACGTAGCTGTAAATTTTATTTAAGCAAAGGAGAAATTGCTTAAAATATTAAAGTTTAATAATCTAGTGGAATAATTATTGAAATTTGTTTGGTATTTAAGACAGGATTTTAACATAACCAAAAAGGTACTGCAGTTTACTCTCTATAATCAAATGTACAAAAAAAGAGCTCTTCATGTTCTATTATTAATCTCTTCTTTTTCATGAGTCTTCACTCTTCTGGGTAATAGGGACAAGGGGGATGTTTAAACTTGCCCATTTACATTATTTTCTTCTGACTTAAATGTCTCCTTTACAGTAAGCTGATTTGGTTTTTTTTAATGAAAGTTCAGTCTTCCTGACTCCTTTTTCTATCCCTAATCCTCTCCAAGATGTCATCCAGGTAGGTAAAAAAGTATGCAAGACCACACAATGGCAGAGGAGAATAGGGGTCTCAGATCCACGAGGTAGCCTCCAGCTCTGATGGGTTCCTTCATGGAGTGGCTGGTCTGGCCTGGTCCCTGGACGTGGAATTAAGGATGGATTCCATTTCTTCATTTGGAGTTCATGTTCTGTATTAGTCAGCAGTCTCCAGAGAAATAGAACTGATAGGATGTGTGTGTGTGTGTGTGTGTGTGTGTGTGTGTGTGTGTGTGTGTGTGTGTGTATGAAGTTGCAAGATTTACAGGCAACAACTGGAAACTCAGCACAGCTGATGTGTAGTTCCAGTCTGAGTCCAAAAGCCTGAGAGCCAGGAGAGCTGATGGTATAAGTACCAGTCCAAAACTCAGCAGGCTTGAGACACAAGAAGAGCCAATGTTTCAGTCTGAGTCTAAAGGCCAGAAAAAAACCGATGTTCCTGCTTAATAGTCAGGCAGGAGAAGTTCTCTCTTATTCAGCCTTTTTATTATATTCAGGTCTTCAATTGATTAGCTAAGTCCCGCTCACTTAGCTTAGGAAGGGCAATTTGCTTTACTCCATCTATTAATTGAAATGCTAATCTCACCCAGAAACACCCTTACAGATATATCCAGAATAATGTTTGACCAAATATGTAAATATCTCATGCCTCAGACAAGTTGACACACAAAATTAATCATCAAATGATCCTAAACATTTGCCTTTGGTTCTGAAATCTCAACAAAGTATTACTACAGACTTATTAAGAGTTTCTGTGAATCAGTAAGAAAAAGAAAACAACCCAAAAGGAATAAAGTCAAAAAATACAAACAGAATTATCAGAAAAGGAAAACTAAATGCCCAATGAGCATATGAAAAGATGTCCAGCCTTACTAGTAATTTGGAAACAACAAATTAAAACCATGAAAAGATGCCATTTCACACCTATCCAACTGGCAAAATGGTAGCAAAGATATGGAGCTATGGAAACAATTCATACTGCAAGGGGAGTAAAAAATAAGCAAAAATTATTTGGCAGTATATATTAAAGTCGGAGGGCATCTTCAATAGCTCAACAATTCACTACTGAATTTGCATCATAGAGAAAAAATCAATCATATTTGTATGAGAAGCCACATTCAAGTCCTTTTTTTATAATTTCAACTTTTAGACTTCTGTGATATTTCATTTTCTGTTCCTGCATTAATTCATTTAAGATAATGGCCTCCCACTGCATCCATGTTGCTGCAAAGAACATATTATTCTTTTTTATGACTGCATAGCATTCCATGGTGTATATATACATTTCCTTTATCCAATCCACTGTTGATGAGTACCTACCTAAGTTGATTCCGTATCGTTGCTACTGTGAATAGTGTCAAGAACATTTACAGAAACATTGTTTGTAATAATAAAAGTTGGAAATAACCTAAATTTCCAACTAGAAAATGAGTATATAAATTGATATATTCATAAAATGTAATATAATACACTATGGCCATGAAAATGAATAAACTAGAATAATGTCTATCAATATGACTATGTCACACAAACTAATATTGAGCAAAAAAATTACATTTCAGAAGAACTTAAATATTCAAGAAGTAGAATAAAATATGTAAAATTATTAAACAAGCAAATAATTGCATGTATTATTTAGGAATTCATATTTTTTTAAAAAGTGTAAAGAAAGGTAGAGAAATTATATGAAATCCAGAATAGAAGTGACCTTGGGAGTGGAGGTTAGGTAATGAGAGAGAAGTAAACAAGGAAAGGCAGACTGAAGGCTCAGATCATGTAGATAATGTTTTATTTCTTAAGCTGGATTGTGGATACATGAATATGCGTTGTATTAACTTCATCGCTTTTGTGACTCTTAACTATTTCATAATAATTTTTAAAGTAAAGGTAGAATTCAAGATGACAATTAGAAAATTAGGAAGGTTATTAATCAGTAGCTAATGAGTGCTAATTTCTTGATATATTCAGGAGGAAAAAAGAAGTATAGAATCACTATATTCGCTTAGGAAAATTCGTGGTTTCATGTAAGTGTTAAAATTTTAGGGGAAAAGACTAAAAGGATAAATGATCTGTAGTTTCCAAACAAGCAGAGGAGAAAAAGGATATACAGTCGAATATTTCCATCCAAAAGCAGATAGGAATAAAGAAAATCAAAAATGAAGTATAGTAAACCAAAAAGTCAAACTAGAGAGTAGAAATTAATGCAAATACCTAAATAGGTATAAATATCTCACCTAAGAACAAATAAAAGTGATCAAGTTAGATTTCAAAAACAATTTTTATTTATATGCTATTTAGAAACCACATGTACAATACAAAAACAATACAGAAGGTAGAAAATAAAGAAATTCAAAAGATATATGCCATGCAAATACTAATGAAAAGAGAGCTAGTAACAGTTCCAATGTATATCACAAAACAGCGTTTGAAGCAAAAGATTTTATTAAGGATTAAAAGGAAAACTACATGGTATACAAAACAATCCACAAAGAAGAGACACCAATTGTGAAACTGTACACAACTAACAACAAATGTTGAATTTATAAAGCAAAAATGGAGAAATTTATACAAGAAAAAATTGATAAATCAACATTAATATGGAAAATTTTAACACATCCGATAGAAACTGTCATGAAGCAAACAAAAGTTGCAAAATGGGTAAAAATATAAAATATTCAGACAGTGAAATTAAGAACTTTGATTTCTATACTTAACAAATATAACAAATGCAAGATTTTCAAGTATCCATGGAACATTTACAAAAATTAGCCATGCTTTTAGAAAGACACATATTTCTAAAAGAAGACAGATATTTTCTCTGACCACAATAAAATCTTGGGAATCTATCTTAAAACATTATTTTTTAAACATTTTGGGAAACAAAAAAATGCACTTCTGCACATCCATGTGTTAAAGGGAAAACAAAATGGGAATTTCCGTAAGTGGAAGTAGATGACAAAAACAATATTACATATAAAAACCTGTAGGATGTAGTAATGTGGCACTTAGAGGTAAATTGATGCATATTTGTGGACTTCTCATTCCAGTAATAACAAACTAAGGACTCAGATCAATATTTCCACTAAGAACACCTAGAAAACATAGACAAAATATTTAAGGAAATATATGTTTGAAGGTCTGGAGAATTAATAAAATAGTGAAGAATATTTAGGAGGAAAGGAAAACCTAGAGCAATGAGCCCGGCACTCATGGCCATTTTTTTCCTAGAGGCACCAGAGGAGGAGGCTAAGGGGCTGTGAAGTGAGCCAGACATTTTGATTGCTTCAAAGGACAAAGGAGACAAAATAAGAACCCAAAGCCCACTAAGTAGGAGGGGAGGCTGGTAAACCCCCTTACTTTAGGTTTGCACTCCAAGGAGATTTATCAAAACAAATAATGCCAGGTAAGAAATAAATGGTTTGTGGAAGAGGTGAAGATGATCCCTGACTACTAGTATCTCTGGATGCCTGCCAGAAAACATAAATCTTATCTGGGGGAACAGAAAATTTTAGCTGCACAAGGAAATGTATACAAGAGAACCCCGGACTACATGTTTAAAAACCAAGAAAAACAGTGTCTATTAGAAACAGAGCACAGAGTATCCTGATAATGGATATACGACATTAATTTTAAGATAACTTTAAAATGTTCAAGGAAATAAAAAATTGAGAAAATTGGCAGACAATTTAAATTACTTCAAATAAAATTCTAGAATGTAAAAATATAACTGAGCCAGGCACAGTGGCTTATGCCTGTAATCTCAGCACTTTGGGAGTCTACGTAGGAAGATCACTTGAGCCCAGGAGTTTGAGACCAGACTGGACAACATAGTGAGACCCCATCATTACAAAAAAGTTAGCCAGGTGGAGTGCTGCACACCTGTAGTCCCAAGCTACTCAGAAGGCTGAAGTAAGAGGATCACCTGAGCCCAGGAGCTTGAGACTGCAGTGAGCCATGTTCATGCTACTGCACTCCAGCCTGAGTAACAAAGTGAGATCCTGTGTCAAAAAAAAATGTATATATATAGATACACATATTTATAAGCGTATATATATATATATAAAACTGAAAGTAAGAATTCAATATATCAATTTGATGAATTGAAAGTATGAAGAGACAAAACAATAGAAAAGATGGAAGAGAAGATAAGAGGCAGAGATACAGTGACAAGATCTATTAAAGTGTAATTTGAGTCCCAGAAGGAGAGAAGAGTGCAGAATATTTTAATAAACAATGACTGAGAATTTTCCAAAACAAAAGACATCAATCCACAGATTATATAAACTCTACTAAACCCCAAGCATAATAAATGCAAAGAAAATTCTCTACCTAGACCCATTACAGTGAATTGTGGGGGGAAAAAAAAGAACATATTAAAAACAGATTAATTTCAAAGATGCAACAAATATGCCATTGACTGATTTCTCTGCAGAAATAATGAAATCTGGAAGACATATATTCTACGTGTGAAAAGCAAATTACTGTCAAAACTTCTCTTAAAAAATAAAGTCAACATTAAGCCTCTTTTAGACAAAGAAGAAATTGAAAATGGAAACCCAAAAATAAATTAAGCAGAATAATGGAGGAACTATATCAAAACTTGTGAGATGCTCCTAAATTCAGAATTAGAGGGAAATGTATAGGCTTAAATATATATGTTATATAAAAAACTATCTAAACTTAGTAGTTAAATTCTACTAGAATTTAAAAAATAAAAATAAGAGCAAGAATTAATGACTTAGGAAACACACAATAGACAGGATCCAAAAGACCAAAAGTTGACTTTTTAAACTTAATAAAACTAAAAAATTCCTGCTGAAACTGATTAAATAGAGAGAGTCTAAAAATATTTATCAAAATGAATAAGGGAATATCATTGCAGATCAGCAGACATTAAAATGAGTGTATTATTAAAAAAAAAACTTTTGCCAATGAATTTGAAAATTTTAGTGAAATTTAAAGTTCCTCAAAAAACATAACTTTTAAAATTGATAAGCATAAATAGCATTTCTGAATAGTCCAATAATTTTAAAAGAAATTTATTATTAAAAACCCTCCCACAATAAAAGCATAAAAAATAAAATACTTCAAGACAAATATAATAAAAGATATGCAAGATCTCACCACAGAAAAGTATATAATATTACTGAAGGAAATCAAAAATACCTAAATAAAGGATGGATATGCCATATTTATTAAGTGGAAGACTCAATATTGTAAAGATATCAGTTCTCCTCAAGTTGATCTATATATTCAATGCCACCAAATCAAAATACCATTTGGTGTTTTGGGTGGAAATTGACAAGATACTTCTAAAACTTATATATAAATGCAAGGACCAAGAATAACCAAGCCAGGTGTTATATCAGCAATGGCAGAGTAGAAATTCCAAAAATCTATCTCTACACGTGTAAGGAAAATCTATGTGCTATGGTGAGTTGAGTCAGATATCTGGGCCAGTGTGACTCAGTGAGTTTGGAGCACAGGTGCAAAACTCTACTTGTTATATAACCTGTTCATGTAAACTCATACTTGGCTCCCAGCCACTATTGTCTGTAAAAGGTACAATTGCCCTGCTGATGCTGTACATATGGTTCACACCCAGAAAGAGAGAGTGGAGCTGCTGACCCTGTAAGGGAGAGCCATGGGGATGGCAGGAGCTGCGGATCCAGCCGCTGAGAAGGGCTGCAGCCAGAGCGGGCAACCAAGATAAAGACAGAGCAGCCAGAGAATAAAAGCCATATTTTACGTGCCTATGGCCCCCTGAGTGTTCTTTCAGCTATCTGCCATCCGTCCACCCACTCCCCTCAGACCTCAGCATGGGCTGGAACCTGACACTTGGCGTGACAACACAAAAATAACAGTCTGGCAAAAACTGTCCTAATCAACTTTATCAAAACTCTGGAAAATAACCAAAGGTTTCAGCAACCAAGTGAATGCTTAATAAAGAAAAAGCAGCTGAATCTAGACAGGAGAGCTTTGTGGCATTTTAACTTACCCCAACCCTCATTCTCTAGCTTAGCAATGGTGTGAGTTCCTGGTGCCATAGTGAACAGAAAATATCTTGTTCTTGGGGGATTGTAGTTGTTTGTTTTGGCCTGTCTGGTGGCTCTTTGAAGGACTAGCTCACAGGTCTTAATTTTATTTAATCTAACTAGGAATGCTCCAGTAGAGAGGTACTACCCTGGAAGATTTTGTCAAAATTATATAAAGGCAAATATATGAGCCACTGCCTCGTGGCCCAAGGGATAACAGTTGAGGCAACTAGCAGACAAAGCAGAAAGCCTGGGAGGAAAGATGAGAGTAAGATGCTTTGGGAAACAAAAGCTTTGAAAATCTCCTACATATTTTTGGGAATCCAGAAGGACACACTCATGCTCAAGGTTGAGTGTGTACTCACAAAAGACATGAGAAGAACTAAGCTCTAACCTCTGGCTAACCTTCAGCTTGGCCCAACCAGGAAGTGAAGGCTAATGCAGATTTGTAAACTGCCCAGCTGAGTGTTGAAGTCATACCCCAAGGCACACACAGAGCCCATCTGCAAAACCTGGGAAATTTTTGTTGTTGTTTCAGACATTTAATGAAATCTCTGTTGAATTACTAGCTGAACACTAAACTGATTGAATAGAGACATACAACAAAAAATACTGACCTTACAAAATTAGTTTATAAAAGTCTTTAAACAAACCAAAGACAGCAACAAGAAACCCTGGGAAGTGGGGACCGTCTAATTTCCAGAGTTGTGACATTATAATATTCTAAATGTCTGCTTTTCAACAACAAAAAATACAAAGCATCCAAAGACATAAGAAATTATGACCCATTCAAAAACAATAAAAACTGACCCTAATGAATGCCAGACATTGGGCTTACTAGACAAAAACTTTAAATCAAATATTTTAAATGTGCTCATACAGTTAAAGGAAACATGAACAAATAACTAAAGGAAAACATGAGAATGATGACTCACCAAAATAGAGAATATCAATGAGATAGAATTTATTAAAAGGAAACAAGTAGAACTTTTGGAGATAAAAAGTACAATAATTAAAATGAAAAATATACAAAAGGGATACAACAATAGATGTTAAGAAACAGAAGAAAATGTCACGAACATGCAGATAGGTCTATTGAGATTACTCAATTTGGTGAGCAAAAATAAAAAAATACAAACAGAACCTGCCAGGTGTAGTGGCTCACACCTGTAACCCCAGCACTGTAGGAGGCCAAGGTGGAAGGATCATGTGAAGCTAGGAGTTACAGACCAGCCTAGGCAACAAGGTAAGACCCTGCCTCTACAAAAAATAATAATAATAATAATTAGCCTGGCATGGTGGCATGCGCCTGTAGTCCCAGCTACTTCGAAGGCTGAGGCAGGAAGATTGCTTGAGCCCAGGACTTTGAGGTTCCAGTGATCTAAGATCATGCCACTGCACTGTAGCCTATGTGGCAGAGCAAGATCCTCTGTCAAAAAAAAAAAAATGGGGGCCCAGCGTGGTGGCTCACACCTGTAATCCCAGTACTTTGGGAGGCCAAGGTAGGTGGATCACCAGAGGTCAGGAGTTTGAGACCAGCTTGCCCAACATGGAGAAATCCTGTCTCTACTAAAAGTACAAAATTTGCCGGGTGTAGTGGTGTATGCCTGTAATCCCAGATACTCAGGAGACTGAGGCAGGAGAACCACTTGAATCTGGGAGGCAGAGTTTGCAGTGAGCTGAGATTGCACCATTGCACTCTAGCCTGGGCAACAAGAACGAAACTCAGTCTCAAAAAAAAAAAACAAAAAGAAGTTAACAGAACCTAAGATACCTGAGAGATACCATCAACCATACCAACATACACTAATGGAAATCTGAGAAGAGGAGAGAGAAGGGGAAAGAAAGAATATTTGAAGAAATAATGGTCCATACTTCCCAAATTGATGAAAGGTATGAATCTACACATCCAAAGACCTTAATGAATTCTAAGTAGGATAAACTCAAAGACAGCTATACCAAGACATGCTATAATCAAACTATCAAAAGACCAGACAAAGAAATAATCCTGAAAGCAGCAAGAGAGAAGTGAATTTTAACAGATAAGAGATTCTCAGTAAAATTAATGGCTGATTCTCATCAGAATCCATGATGTCAGAGGCAATGGAATGGCATATTCAAAGTGCTGTGGGGGAAAGAGGGACTGTTAACCAAGAATTCTATATCTGGCAAAATGATCCTTCAAAAATGAAGAAAAATTTAAGATATTCCCAGATAAACAAAAACTGAGAAGGTCTGTCACTAGTAGAACTGCCCTACAAGAAATACTAAAAGGAGTTGTTCAGACTAAAATGAAAGGACACTAGACAGTAAACTGAATTCACACGAAGAAATAAATAACACAAGTAAGCGTAACTACATAGGTAAATATATGTCACTAAGAATATACTTTTGGCTTATAATTTCTCTTTTCATTTTGTATATAATTAAAAAGGCAAAAGCATAAAACAATAATTATAAATATATGTTGGTCATGCAATGTATAAAAATATAGTTTGTGACACAATAACAACACAAGAGAGGGCAGAGCTATGTAGTAGCAAATTTTTTATACAACTGAAACTAAGCTGGTATTATTTCAAATTTAAATTTTTATGAATTCAGATGTCAATTGTAGTCCATGACATGATCACTATGAAAACAACTAAAAATATATACAATATAGTAAAAGAAATCAGCAGAGAATCAAAATCAATATCTAACTAACAAAAAGAAGGCAGTGATTGAGGAATTGAGGAACAACAAGGATATGACATGTAAAAAAATCAGAGAAGTAAATTCTTCCTTATTAGTAATTATATTAAATGCAAATGGATTAAAGTCTCCAATTTAAAGACAGAGATTGGCAGAATGGATTTCAAACACACACACACACACAATTCAGTTACATGCTGCCTACAAGAGATTCACGTTAGATCCAACCAGTGACTAAAAGAGCTGAAGTGGCTATAATAATATCAGGAAAAAAATAGACTTCAAGACGAAAGTTGTTACAAAAGACAGGGATATAATTTAATGATAAGACAATCATCAAAAAGACATAACAATTGTAAATACATATGCACCTAACAACCAAGTCCCAAAATATATAAATTAAAAACTGACAGAATTGAAGGCAGAGATAGTTCAATGAAAACAGTTGGAAATTTCAATGTCCCATCTTTAATAAGGGATAGAACAATTACGAAAAATAAATAAGGTAATAGAAGACTTCAACAACATTAAAACTAATATTAATAGATTTGGCAGATGTATATAGAACACTGTACCCAACAATATCAGAATAAACATTCTTCTCAAGTACACATAGTACATTCTCCTGGATAGTTTATACGTCAGGCCACAAAACAAGTCTCAATAAACTTAAAAAGATTGAGCCATAAAAAGCATCCTTTCAAACACTAAAGGAATAAAATTAGAAATAAATAACAGAAGGAAATATGGACAATTCACAAATATATGGAAATAAAATGATACACTTTTAAGAAATCACAAGGGAAATTAGAAAATACTTTATTCATTTTTTTAAAACTTCAACTTTTACCTTAGATTCAGGTTTCTTAACACGTGCATATTGCATGTTGCTGAAGTTTGGATACAAATGATCCTATCACTGAAGTAGTGAGCATAATACCCAATAGTTAGTTTTTCAACCCTCTCTTCCTCCCCTATCTGGTAGTCTCCAGTGTCCATTTTTCCAATCTTTATGTCCATGTGTACCCATTGTTTAGGTTCCCCTTATAAATGAGAACATGGAGTATTTAGTTTTCTGTTTCTGTGTTAATTTAGTTATAATAATGACCTCCAGCTGCATCCATGTTGCTGCAAAGGACCTGATTATATTCCTTTATGTGGTTGCATCATATTCCATGGTTTATAGTGCCACATTTTCTTTATCCAGTCCACCATGATGACAGAATCTAGGTTGACTGAATATCTTTGCTATTGTGAATCTTTGCTATTGTGAATACTGCAAGTGCATGTGTCTTCTTAGTAGAACAATTGATTTTCTTTTGGATATATACCCATTAATGGGAATGGTGGATTGAACGGTAATTCCATTTTAAGTTATTTCATAAATCTCCAAACTGCTTTTTAAAGTGGCTGAATTAGTTTACATTGTGAACAAATGCACAGTTTATACACCAACAGTGTATAAGTGTTCCGTTTTCAATGCAGCCTCACCAGCATCTGTTAATTTTTGACTTTTTAATAATAGCCATTCTGACTGGTGTGAAATGGTATCTCATTGTGGTTTTTATTTGCATTTCTCTGATGATTAGTGATGTTGAGAATTTTTATATGTTTTTGGACGCCTGTATGTCTTCTTTTGAGAAGTGTCTATTCATATCTTTTGTCCACTTTTTAATGGAGTTGTTTTTTGCTTGTTGAATTAACTTTCTTATAGATTCTGAAAATTAGACTTTTTCAGATACATATTTTCTCCCATTCTGTAGGTTGTGTTTACCCTGTTGATAGTTTCTTTTTCTGCACAAAAGGTCTTCCACTTAATTTGGTCCCATATATCAATTTTTGGTTTTGTTGCAATTGCTTTGGAGGACTTAATCATAAATTCTTTTCCAAGGCTGATGTCTAAAATGGTGTTTCCTAGGTTATCTTCTAAGATTTTTATAGTTTGAGGTCTTACATTTAAATCTTTAATCCATCTGGAGTTAATTTTGGTATATAGTGAAACATAAGAGTCCAGTTTCATTCTTCTGCATATAGCTAGTCAGCTATCCTAACACCATTTATTAAACAGAAAATCTTTTCCCCATTGTTTATTAGTGTCAACTTTGTCAAAGATGAGATGACTGTAGGTGTGCAGCTTTATTTCTGGGGTCTCTATTCTATTCTATTGGTCTGTGTGTCTATTTTTGTACCAGTACCATGCTGCTTTGGTTACTGTAGCCTTATAGTACAGTTTGGAGTTGGGTAATATAATGCCCCAGCTTTGTTCTTTTTACACGGGATTGCTTTGGCCATTCAGATTCTTTTTTGGTTATATATGAATTTTAGAATAGTTTTGCAGTGATATGGGTAGTTTGATAGGAATAGCATTAAATTTGTATATTGCTTTGGGAAGTATGGTCATTTTAACAGTATTGATTCTTCAAGTGAATTAGCATAGAATGTTTTTCCATTTGTTTGTGTCATTTATGATTTCTCCTGGTGGTATTTTGCAGTTCTCCTTGTAGAGATCTTTCACCTCCTTGGTTAGATGTATTATTCTTTTTGTGGCTATTGTAAGTGCCATTCCTTTCTTGATTTAGCTCTCAGTTTAAATGTTATCGTTGTATAGAAATGCTATTGATTTTTGTGCATTGATTTTATATCCTGAAACTTACTGAAGACATTTATCAGTTTTCTAGTTATAAAATCAAATGGTTGGAGAAGAAAGATTGTTTGAGTTCTTCTTTTCCTATTTGGATGTCTTTTATTTTTTTCTCTTGCCTGATTGCTTTGGCTATGATTTCCAGTACTATGTTAAAAAGGAGTGATGAGAGTAGGAATCCTTGTCTTGTTCCAGTTCTCAAGGAGAATGGTTCCAGCTTTTTCCCATTCAGTATGATGTTGGCTGTGGATCTGTCATAGGTGATTCTTAATATTTTGAAGTATGTCCCTTCAATGCCTAGTTTCTTTTTTAATAATTTTTGTCATGAAGAAATGTTGGATTTTATCAAAAGCATTTTCTGTGTCTATTGAGATGATCATATGCTTTTTTATTTTAATTCAGTTTTTGTGGTGAGTCACATTTGCTGATTTGTGTATGTTGAACCAACATTGCATCCCAGGAATGAAGCCTACTTGGTCATGGTGAATTAACTTTTTAATATGCTGCTGGATTCACTTTCCTAGTATTTTGTTGAGAATTTTCGCATCTATGTTCATCATAGATATTGGCCTGACGTTTTCATTTTTGTTGTGTCTGTGCCAGATATTGGTATCAGGATGATGCTGACTTCACAGAATGAGTTAGAGAGGAGTCCTTCCTTTTTTGATTTTTTGGAATAGTTTCAGTAGGATTGGTACCAGCTATTCTTTGTATATCTGGTAGAATTCCACTGTGAATCTTTCTGGTCCAGGGCTTTGCTTGGTAGGATTTTTATTCCCAATTCAATTTCATTACTCATTATTGGTCTGTTCAGGATTTCTGTTTTTTCCTGGTTCAATCTTGGGAGTGTCTTGGGTGTGTCTCCAGAAATTGATCCATTTCCTCTAGACTTTTCATGTTTCAATGCATAGAGTTATTAATAATAGTCTCTGAGGATCTTTTGTATTTCTGTAGCATTGGTTGTGATATCACCTTTGTCATTTCTGATTGTGTTTATTTGGATCTTCTCTCTTTTTTCTTTGTTAATATAGTTAGTGGTCTATCAATCTTGTTTATCCTTTCAAAAAACAAACTGTTTTATTAATTCTTTTATTTTTGCTGTTCAAGGTTTATTGGGGGTTTTAGTTGGTATGACACTTGGATAGTTGGTTGTATTGTTTATATGTAGATCTTTTCACATTATATTGTAATGTACACTATTGACATATATAGATCACAAAATAAGATCCTTTGGAACAATTATGCACAAGACATACGATACTGGATTTATACACTGGATCCCAGGATGTGACTGATTGGGAAAGAATGTTGGACTAGAAATGTCCAGTGAAGGAGCCAGGAAGTTATATAAGACACACTAAACATCCATCTGGCTCAAGGGGCAACTGCAGCATGTGCAGCATTGGCAGTGGTGCCTCAGAGGTGGTAGAACTATTTCATACTGACCAGTTTAGGACTACACAAGATTAGTACCATCTAGCATCAGGATATAGCTGTAGGATTTTACAAACCATTCCTATGTCCAACTTCAGGAATTGATGTTTTTCCCAGTGGATCTTAAAATATAACTGCTTTGATCACAGATCAGATAAAAAGGACAACATGCACAACCTCCAACTAAAATCCTATTGTAGCCTAGACAGTGAAATGATCTGACATCAGAAGACTTTAAAATTGCAGGTCTTCTAGTTCTAGATCCTTGAGGAATCTCCACACTGTCTTCCACAATGGTTGAACTAGTTTACAGTCCCACCAACAGTGTAAAAGTGTTCCTATTTCTCCACCTCCTCTCCAGCACCTGTTGTTTCCTGACTTTTTAATGATACCATTTGACCCAGCCATCCCATTACTGGGTATATACCCAAAGGATTATAAATCATGCTGCTATAAAGGCACATGCACACATATGTTTATTGCAACACTATTCACAATAGCAAAGACTTGGAACCAACCCAAATGTCCATCAGTGATAGACTGGATTAAGAAAATGTGGCACATATACACCGTGGAATACTATGCAGCCATGTAAAAGGATGAGTTCATGTCCTTTGTAGGGACATGGATGAAGCTGGAAACCATCATTCTCAGCAAACTGTTGCAAGGACAAAAAACCCAAACACCGCATGTTCTCACTCATAGGTGGGAATTGAACAATGAGAGCACTTGAACACAGGAAGGGAAACATCACATACTGGGGCCTGTTGTGGGGTGGCAGGATTGGGGAGGGAAAGCATTAGGAGATATACCCAATGTAAATGACGAGTTAATGGGTGCAGCACACTAACATGGCACATGTATACATATGTAACAAACCTGCACGTTGTGCACACGTACCCTAGAACTTAAAGTATAACAATAAATAAATAAATATAAAATTGCAGGTTTTTTGGATTCCCCAAAGTGTAAATGCACTCTTCTTCAAACAGATCTCTTCCTCAGGAGTCAGACTCACCTTCACAAGATCTGAGATTCCATTCTGTCCCAAAATGCAAGGAACATTAAGGAAGACATTATCCTTTATTCCATAGAGACCCTTAATCATGGTGGAAATTAGGTGCAACCGCCTAAGATTCTTCATTATACTTTCTGCCAAATCTGCCACAGAGGGTCCAATGTCCCAGCCTTTGAGTTTGATCACCTCATAAGCACTCTCAACCACCTACTTGTGAACCTCTTTCCACTGTTACTTATCTGTATCAGTCCCTAAATCTGGGTGCAGAGTCTTCAGGGAGACATCAGCAACATTCACTCCACTCCATACAGGCACACTGGAATCTCCACGTTCCCCAAGGACCTACCCATGACAGCTTAATGGGTGAACTCCCAGCCCTTCCCCCATCAGGTAACGGAATCGGGCTGAATCCAGATTGCAACCACTTCCAATAATACAGTTTTTGGGGAAGCCACTTATCTTCCAAGCCACATAGGTCAAGATATCCACTGGATTTGAAACAATAAGCAAATTGCAGTTCGTGCTGTATTTTACAACATTAGGAATGATGAATTTAAAGATGTTCACGTTAGGCTGGACCAAATTAAGACGGCTTTCTCCCTCTTGCTCACATGCCCAAGCAGTGATAATGACCAGCTTGGAATTTGCAGTTACATTATAGTCTTTGCCAGAGACAATCTTTGGTGTTCTAAGGAAAAGGCTGCCATGTTAGAGATCCATCATCTCTCCCTTCAGTTTATCTTCCAGTTAAACTGCCCGTCAGTTGTGGCATGGCACAGGCCATGCCAACAGCACCAACCCCAACAACTATAATCTTATCCTGGGGAGGTCTCTTCTTCCTGTAGAAGATTATGAATCAGCTGATCCTTGAGAGTTGCCATATTGGACTTGGAACCAAAAGGAATCAGGAATGCATGTCCGGCGGGCATCGGTGGCATGTGGCAATGAGATCCGGACTTGGTGGCAGTGGCTCCAGCGCCTGGCTTTATTAATTCTTTGTATGGATTTTGGGGTCCCAATTTCATTTAGTTCTGCTCTGATTTTAGTTATTCTTTTTCTTCTGCTAACTTCAGGATTTGTTTGTTCTTGTTTTTCTAGTTCCTCTAATTGCAATATTAGATCATGAATCTAATTCTCAATGTAGGAATTTAGCACTATAAACTTTTTTTTTTTTTGAGACAGGGTCTCACTCTGTTGCCCAGGCTGTACTGTGGTGGAGTGATCATGGCTCACTGCAGCCTCAACCTCCCCAGGGTCAGGTGATCCTCCCTCCTGTACCTCCCAAGTAGCTGGGACTGCAGGCACACACCACTATGCCTGGCTAATTTCTGTATTTTTTGTAGAGACAGGGTTTTGCCAGGTTGCCCAGGATGATCTCAAACTGAGTTCAAGTGCCCTCCACCTCCGCCTCCCAAAGTGCTGGGATTACAGGCACTGCACCCAGACACACTGTAAACTTTTAACACTGCTTTGCTGCATCCCAGAGATTTCAGCATATTGTGTCTCTCTTTTCATTTGTTTCAAAGAAGTGTTTTATTTCTGCCTTAATATGTTGTTTACCCAAAAGTCACTCAGAATAAAGTTGTTTAGTTTCCATGTAATTGTGTGGTTTTGAGAGATCATGGTATTGATTTCTATTTTAATTCCACTGTTGTCTGAGAGTATGCTTGGTATGATTTTGATCTTTTTGCATCTATCAAATCTATTATGGTTGAGCATGTGGTTGATCTTAGACTGTGTTCCACATACAGATGAAAAAAATGTATATTCTGTGGTTGATGGGTGGAGTATTCTGTAGATAGATCTTAGATCCAATTGATTAAGTGTCTGATTTATGTCCAGAATTTTTTTGTTAGTTTTCTGCCACAATGATGTGTCTAATACTGTCAGTGGGATCTTGAAGTACCCCCACTATTATGATGTGGCTTTCCAAGTCTTTTTGTAGGTCTTGAAGTAGTTGTTTTATGAATCTGGGTATTCCAATGTTGGGTGCATCTATATTTAGGATAGTTAAGTCTTTTTGTTGAATTCAACCCATTACCGTTATGTAATGCCCTACTTTGTCCTTTGTTACTGTTGTCAATTTAGTCTTATTTCTACAATATAAGAATAGTCACTTCCTCTTCTCTTGTTTTCCTTTTGCATGATAGATCTTTCTCCACCCCTTTACTTTGAGCCTATTGGTTTTGTTGCATGACAAATGGGTCTCTTGAAGATAGATGGTTGGGTCTTATTTTTTTATCCAACTTGCTACTCTGTGCCTGTTAAATGGGGTGTTTAGACCACTTATATCCAAGGTTAATATTGATATGTAAGGTTTTGATCCTATTGTGATGTTTTTAGCTGGTTGCTTTGTAGTCTTGATTGTGTAGTTGCTTTATAGAGTCTATGGGCTCTGGACTTAAGTGTGTCTTTGTGGTAGCAGGTATCACTCCTTCATTTCCGTGTTTAGAGCTCTTTTATGAATCTTTTGTAACGCTAGTCTAGTGGTAAAGAATTGCCTTAGCAATTGCTTATCTGGAAAAGCTTTTATTTCTCCTTTGCTTATGAAGCTTAGTCTGACAGGATATGAAATTGTTGGTTGGAATTTCTTTTCTTTAAGAATGCTGAATATAGTTCTGTTATCTCTTCTGGCTTGTAATGTTTTTGCTGAGAAGTCTGCTGTTAGCCTGATAGGACGACCTTTGTAAGGGATCTGACCTTTTCCTCTAGCTGCCTTTAAGAATTTTTTTTTTCACATTGATCATGGAAAGTTTGATGACTATGTGTCTTGGGGATGGTCATCTTATATAGTATCTCCCAGGGTTTCTCTGAATTTCTTGAAATTGCATGTCAACCTCCCTAGCAATATTGGGAAAACTGTCATGGACTATATTCTCAAATATGTTACCCGAGTTGTTTACCTTTTCTCCTGTCTCAGGAATGCCAGTATGGCATAGGTTTTATCTATTTGCATAATCTCATATTTCTCATAGCCTTTGTCCATTTTTTAAATTCTTTTTTCTTTATTTTTGCCTAACTGGGTTGTTTTGAGGGGACAGTCTTTGAGCTCTGAAATTCGTTTTTTGACTTGGCCTAGTATGTTGTTAATGCTTCCAATTGTATTTTGAAACTCCTGTGGTGAATTTTTCAATTCCAGGAGTTCAGTTTTGTTTTTTCTTCATATAGCTATGTCATCTTTCAACTCTTGGATCATTTTACTGGCTTCTTTGGACTGGATTTCAACTTTCTGTTAGATCTCATTGAGTTTCATTGCCATCCAGGTTCTGAATTCTATGTCTGTCATTTCAGACATTTCAATCTGGTTAGATACATTGCAATCTTTTAGAGGTAAGGAAACACTGATTTTTTGAATTGCCAGAATTCTTTTGCTGATTCCTAATTATCCAAGGGGGCTAGTGTTTATCATTTTCAAGTTTCTGTCATTTCGTTGAGGCTTTTTTTTTTGTATTCCTGTTTTCCTTTGAGGGCTTGACTGTGGTGTATGTTGTGTATAGTTCATTGGCTTTGTTTCTGGGTGCTTTCAGAGAGCCAACACTTTGCACAGGTTTCTTAGTTGTAGCTAGTTTCCCACATTGGCTTTCACAGATGTTGTGTGATTAATCAATGGCATTAGAATTCAAAATTGTTTTTGCCTTTTGGGATAAGGAGGGGTACTGTTTTTTGACCTAGGTGGTGGTACATGTGCACATTTGCGTTGTGAGAATTCATTGACCCATACACTAATAATATGTATTTTTCTGTATATGTTAGACTTTAATTTTTTAAGTGTTTAAAAACTGATCTATAGTGTTGTTAGAAGTTAGGATAATGATTACCTGTGGGAAGAAGGAAGGGGAAATCATTGCGGTGGAGAGAGGCATGAGAGAAATGTCTCTAGTGTATCAGCACAGGTCTCTTCTCAACCGCAGGTATTGATTTGTGATCATTTGTAGAGCTGTATATTCGGTTTTTGCACTTTTCTATGTGGGTCATGGTAAAAATATTTTTAAAAACAAGAAATAAGGAAAACATACTTGTACTCCTATTGGAATGAGGATTCAAAATGTTTATATATCCTAAGCAAGAGTCTACTGTATTTATATTTCTTCATATTGATTTTGCTTTAAAATAGCATAAGATGATATTGTGTTCTTGCTGTTCAATTCAGGGTGCAGTCAATTTCACTGGGGCAAGGACAAGGACCTATTGCTGAAAAAATGGTCAAGGATGCAATGAAATCAGGAAACTGGGTATTTTTGCAAAATTGCCATCTTGCTGTTTCTTGGATGTTGGCAATGGAAGAGCTCATTAAAACCTTCACAGATCCAGGTATGTTGAGCATATAGCCCTTGCATAATAATCACATTTTTATGTAACCTTTTCTTGTTGAATTCATTCCTTATAGTAATTCATTATTGTAGGCACTGTGTTTCCATATATGAAAGAGGAGAAATTTGAGGCCTAGACAGATTTAGCTAATTTACACAACCAGGGTTTGATAAAAGGCCTTCAGAATTCCAAGTTGAGGCTAGGATCCACTGGATCATTTCTGTTTCTTATTGCCTTCTATGAGAGGTCATTTGAATTTGAAATATATTACTTATAGGCATAATAAAAAGAAAAATATACTTAGGACAAACAAAGGAAATTAAATCCTTCCCTATAAAATGAGAAATGTAAAGGAACAGAGTTCAAATTACCACCAATTCCCTTAGAGTAGTGTTTTACCACCTTTTATCTTCTGTAACCCGCATGGCAACTAACCTTTACATGTGCCTCAGAGCCACACCTAACCCATGGGCGTGCTCAGCATTACTCATAGTTGCTAGCACTAGTTTTATCTCACCACTTTTTTGCCTACTCAAGAAAGTGTAACGGGCTGCAAAGAGAGGAAGTGGAATTAGAATCTACTCATTTTAAAGTGTTACTATAAAAATAATCAAAACCTCAGGAACTATTTTATTGGTAACAAATTGTGTGGGTCCCACTCTACCACTCTGCTGTGAAGCCCTGGGAGAGAACCTCCAGGCAAGCATATCCAGAGAGAGCCCTTTCTCTGAGGCCTTTATTTGTGCCCTCCCTACAGAAAGCTTTCTGGAAAGGTGAAAGCTCTGCAGATGATCTTGCAAATCACTTTATTTAGTGCTGCTTATTAAGGTGAAGAGCTGCTCCTTTACAGAGTCCCCAGTCTGCTCTGGTCACTGAGCCAGCTCAGGGTTTAGCAGCCTTCCCCTAAAAGCCCTTCACTTCCTGGCCCCCTGCCCTCACCCACAAGCCTTCTGCAGGCTGCTTCTGACAAAGGTAAGGACTCATTTTTATCCACCATTCAGAATCTCCACTATTTCCACTCTTTTGCTGTCAAATAAGAGAGGGCCTGCTTCCTGCTGGGCCTGTGGCTTATTTCTACTTAAATAATTAAAGAGAAATGACAAGGAGGTCTTCAGTACTGGTCAGGGGTCCCCAGTGATTAGGAATATAATTAAGAAAAAAATGCTAGAGAGGCAGCAAAAAAGCAATTTACTGTGGTGGTACTACATGAGGCTCCAGAATATGGAGATGCCATTCAGTTTCACTGTAACTAGGACAAGAACATTTGCCAGTTCTTCAAGGAGACTGGATCGGCTAATGAAGCCAGCTGAAGTTGTTTGTGTATTTTAAGTGCTTACTAAACTTAAGTGGATAGAAAAAATCCTCTTATGGCCCTTGCTATAATCATTTATCACCTAACCATTTAAGTTCTGATGTTTAACTTGAACCAGTAGGAAATAAAATACATTCAGGTAATAAGCTGAAAATACAAAAGGAAGAAAAAGAAAAAAAACAAAACAAATAAAACCTCAGAACTTGAAATCCTAACACCTCCACAGAGTTCTGCCCCACCACTTCCTGACTGTGCATGTCATATCTTTTTTCTGGGCCAGTTTCCCCAGCTATAAAATGACTACATGACATCATCATGAAAAGTCCTGTACTAAGATGATTTCTAAGATGCTCTTCTAGTCCAGCCCTAAAATTCTATGATGTCTATGAAAGTTAAGAAGCTTGGTGCTTTTGCAATTATAAGAACAAAAGTATGGAAAAAATCCTTCTCCAAACCTGGCCTTCTTCTTTCTTTGGTTTTTTGGTTACTGAAATCATTGGCCCTAAGACTTTGGTTGTTGTTTGACTTCTTTGCCTAATAGTTTTTACTATGCAAACAGTGTTAGTATTGCTCTAGAATTTGGTAGAACTAACTTTTAATTTGGGCTATTTAATGTGGCTTGTGAATTTAGATTACCAAACCAAGAAGCATGAAATCAGCTTTGACTTGTTGTCATTCATTCCATAAATAATTAAGGGCCTAGTGTACCATGTATTGTTCTAGGATATGTTGATAAACAAAAGAACCATAGATATTTGTCCTCGTAGAGTTTCCATTCTAGTTGGGGGGAGACAGACAATGAATAAACCACATGGTAAATAAGTAACGTATACGTTGTGTTAGAACATGGTTGTGCTTTGGAAAAAATAAAAAGGAGAGTAAGGTAAGGAGGACCAGAAAGATTGAGATGGGATGTGAGTAGGGAGCAAGGAAGATAGCAATTTTAAGTGGTTTAATCTGAGTAGTCCTCTTTCAGAAGGTGATATTTGACCAAGACATGAAGAAAGTGAGGGAATCTGAGGGAACAGCCAGTGCAAAGGCCCTAGTGAGGGAGCCAGCCTAGCATGTTTGAGAAACAGCATAATACGTACTTAAAAACCAATGCCAAGGAATTTGTCCTTGAATGATGCCTGTGTCTTCCTGTGATGGGAACAATGATTTTTCCAACTTTACTTTGGCCTTTTGAACCTACAGTGGAGCTCATTCTTTCTTGGGTCCTCTGTCCATATCTCAGAAAGTAAGTGCATTGACTTAACGTGCTAATGCCACACATGAGGTCTCTCCATATCCTGGCTCCCTTGTTTCCTTTGCAACTTTTCTGCTGAGGGGAGAATTTTCTCAGTAGGGGTTTTTGGCCATTTTCATGCAACTTGTGTTAAATTGAAGGGTCAAAAAATCCTCATGAAAATAAATACATGGGCAATAACTGCCCTCTTTTTCAACTGAAAATGTTTCCTATTTCAAAGATAAGGCCCTTAATAGTTCAGCAAGTATTAAAAATTATCGTGTTCCTAATTTATTTACCCAAATGTGCCTGCTTCTAGACTGCCAAACCTTCCTAACGTGAAGTTTCTAAAACAATGCATCTTACTCCCATTTTGAAACAGTTTACACTATACTTGTAATAGATTAACTAGATCTTTAAACAAAGCTTATAGCATTTTTTCCTTCTCTAGAAATAATCATGTCTTATAGAAAAGTGCTACTACCAACTAAACATTTTCCTTTTTTGTTGTTTTATCTTTGTTTTAAGCAGATAGTGCTATCAAGGACACTTTTCGACTTTTTTTAAGCTCCATGCCTAGTAATACATTTCCTGTTACAGTTCTTCAAAATTCTGTCAAGGTAATGTATGCATATGGTTGGAACAATGTGAAATGGTTGGTTTCAGAATATTCACCTAGTGCCTCCCAGGAGATCAGAGCCTGCACAGAAGCATGTGGAGGTCTGTGTGGCCAGCATGGGGAGGTGAAGTCAGTATCTTTTCACCTATAACAAGCAGAGAAACGATTTCCCAACCCCATCCTTGCATATTCTAGTCCTATGGGTCATTCAGCTCTCCCAGCCGTCACCCTCACAAGAAAATGTTAAGGGTACAGAGTGATAAGAAGAGAACCCCTTCTAGTGTTAAGGGAATGTTTCAGTATTTGAGAGACAGGAAGGCCTACAAGCCATACTAGTATGGCTGCTGGATTTCAATGCTGGAAGTTTATGATCTGTGGCAAGCCTCTGCATATGAGGAACAAGAGTTGCTTCTTCCCTCCCTGTCCCACGTCATGGGACATCAGGGGACAAACTATGGAACAATGCCCTATGTAGGGATGATGCAAAATTCAATGAGGAAACCCTGAGCATGCTTTCTGACCTGTGTTTAGAAAAAATGGACACTAAATGGAAGTGTCTGAGGTTCTTGTCATGTGGTTCAACCACTGTAGGTCTGAGAAACCTGCCATTCCCTATTCTCCCTGGACTGTGCCTGAGCAAGATACAAAGCAGGCTCGAACATGCCAGGAATGGTCCCCACCTCCCCATGAACATCAGCAATCTACATCATTTCAATGGCTTCAGTCTATGTGTGTTATTCAGAAATAATGCAAATCTATAAAATCACTCTCTCTGCCACATATATTCTATCTAAATCCAGGTGACCAATGAGCCTCCAAAAGGCTTACGTGCAAATATCAGACGAGCATTTACTGAAATGACACCTTCGTTTTTTGAAGAAAATATACTTGGAAAAAAATGGAGACAAATAATATTTGGCATTTGTTTCTTCCATGCAATTATTCAGGTACACTCAACTCTGCTTTTCAATAGCAACAAGGAAGTGTATTATGAAATAAATAAATAGTAATAATTAAGTGAAAGCTTATAAATGTCATTGTGAAATGCTGAAGGCCCCATTCTGTGTCTGAACCCAAGTTGTTTTCATTCAATCTCTATACTCCCCTTGCCTTCGTATTTCACAGCTTCAGCTCTCACCTCTCGTCTGATCTGCCTACAGAATACCATCAATTGGATGAATGCAGTAGGTTCAATTCAGTTCAACAAGCACAAAATAGATTTCCTCATAGGTGGCATATTTACTATATTAGCTTCCCAGTTTTCAAACGTGTGTGGTCTACAGAGAAAGAAAGAATGAATGAATGAATGAATGAATGAATGAATGAATGAATCAGACTGTGCACAGTGGCTCATCCTTGTAATCCCAACATTTTGGGAGGCCAACATGGGCAATTCGCTTGAGCCCAGGAGTTCAAGACCAGTCTGGGCAACACAGCGAAACCCCATCTCTACAAAAGTTTTAAAAAATAGCCAGGCATGGTGGCACACACCTGTAGTCCCAGCTACTCAGGAGGCTGAGGTGGGAGGATTGCTTGAGCCTGGGAGGTCAAGGCTGAATGAACAGTGATTGTGCCACTGCACTCTAGCCTGGGTGACAGAGAAAGACTCTGTCTCAAAAAAAAAAAAAAAAAAAAAGAAAAGATGCCAGATATAAGATAAATAGGTTAAAAGGTCTTAGAGGAGGTCTGACAGGTTGGGATCAGAGGTTCTGGGTGAGGCCCTTGTTCCGCTAACAAAAGCAGCTGAGATGAGGAGGTAGTTTAAGCTTTAGGAAAATTTTGAGATCAAGAGCTAGGAACTTGGAATCAAACCTCTGGCATAATTATCAGTTTCAAATTTAAGAAATTAAGGTAGGATAGGGAGATAACAAAGGAAGTTGGGGGAGGATTTCATGATGGTATGCCATGAAACAAAAAAATATGATTCTGTGTGTGGCATAACTGAAAAATCATGGACAGACTCCTTAAAACAGTAGGGAGTAGCTCTCTCCACCAGATGGATGATTGCAGGGTCAGTATTTTTATGCCAAAAGACTGTAGGTGAAATTTTTTTTTCTGCTTTGATGAGAAAATGCTTTATTTTATCCTGAAGGAAAAATGTTCTTTTGACAGGTCTTTCAAATTTCTGGTAATAGCAAATTTTCTTTTGGAAATATGGGGAGGAGCCAGTATTGAAGGAAGAGGTGCTTTCTCTGTTTGGTGAAAGCCTAGCTGAAGTTGAGCCACATGATTTTACTGATTTTGCAGTGTGGGGATGCCCATTTTCAATGGAAATTTCTTTTTAGTTTCCAGTATTTTACACAAAATTAATTTTATCAAATTTTATTTCAGATCATTTTCATTTTTCATTTTAGGAGAGAAAGAAGTTTGGCCCCCTTGGTTGGAATATCTGCTATGAATTTAATGACAGTGACAGGGAATGTGCTTTACTGAATCTCAAACTCTATTGTAAAGAAGGAAAGATTCCCTGGGATGCACTAATTTACATTACTGGTGAGTACGTCCTTGTGGCCAGGCCTTCCATCTATGTACCACAAAGTTGTTGGTTTACTCCCACCTGGCCCTTACAAAGATGGTGTCCTCCCCCAGTGTTTAATGGTGGTGATGATGATATTTTATGTTCCTTGTGTGAAGACAAGATTGTAACAAAAATATATAAGGACATCATGAGAATATTCACACACAGAAAATGGGACAGCTGCTTTCTCAATAATAATAATAATAGGAAAAATAGTGCTTGCTACATGCCAAGCACTATTTTAAGCACTTCCCAAGAATTAGCAGATTTAATCCTCGTAATAACCTTACAATGTGAGGACTATTATTATCACCGTGCTACACATGAGAAAACTGAGGCACACCATTTACAAAGTGCTGGGGCCAAGATTTGAACCCAAACAGTGTAGCCTCCAGAGTCCATGATCTTAAATTCAAAAGAACCTAAACATTAACTGACTAGTAGAGACCTGTTAATTCAGATATACCTGTAAAAAAGGAAAAACCTTTCAGGAATTAAATTTTTGGTAAATATTAACTGTGACTACATAGGGATCTTGTTGCCAAAATTAGAACCAATTTGGACCATGTGGGCTCAAGTAGTAAGGGAGAGGATATTTGCACTGGGAAGTGGGGGAAGGAGGAGCTCTGAAAAGGGACAGAAAGGAAATCGATGATTTTCATTGGCAAGTAAGGGAAATGGAGAACAGCAGAAGGGTATCAGGTGATCTAGAGCCTAAAAGGTAAAATGAAACCTTAAAACATGTTTGAGATGAAGGCAGCAAAATAACAGTAAAAATAGATTAGGACCAGTCCCCAGAGTGAACCAATAGGGAAAGGCCTGGAATTTGGGAGGTTACTTTGTACTCCTGCCCCAAGCCATCCCAATGGGGCCGAAATTGCTTAGCAAAGTGATGATGTAGGCAAAATTGTTCTCTGGTATCCTCTGCTTACCCTGAGTTTTCCTGTTTCTCATTTTCCTTTTCCTTCTCCCTCTCCTAGAATCCTTGATGTTTCAGGTTACCTCAGTGTCTACTGCTGTGGAAGTAATTGTGGAGGTAAAAAGTAATTTGCCAGACTGGTCTGTAGATTTAATGCAATCCCTATGTAACAGCAGACTGTTACACCCAGATCAACTAGCATGTTGCAGGAATTGATAAGCTGATTATAAAATTCATATGAAAATGTGAAGGGCCTCAAATGGCAAGAACAATCTTGAAAAAAAGAATGAAGTCAAAAGAATAACGTTTCCCAATTTCAAAACTTACTGCAAAATTATAACAAGTCATTGTGGCACTGGCATAAAAATAGACAGATTTTGACTTGGCAGTGGTGACCATAGCTTTATCACATTTTTTGTTTCTGGCATGAAGGGAGCAGAGCCTTTATCAGGTCGATTTATTTTTATGTGGCACCCATCCACTGTTCCTTCCAGGCCAGCACCTAGTCTTGGTCAGAAGAGTCTCAGAGCTGTCAAAAAGTTGCGCTGAAGAAAACAGGACATCTCAGCAACAAATGTCCCAAAGTATTGCTGTAAATAAGACTGATTTTATGGGAAAATTAAGAAAGGTGTTGTAGTTCTTACAAATTTGGATCTTCATCTATGTTGAAAATTCCATTTCTGGATCTAGTTTGAGGCACTAAGAAGGATAAGACATCAATTTGCAAGGAGCCCTTGCCAGGGTAACATCAATTCTGCTAAAATTGAAGCAGAACAAGCATCAAATTTACGGTGAAGCTTGTGTGGAAGAAAGGCAAATATTGATACTTTACAAAAAGTTTATAGGGACAGTGCCCCAAACAAATCAGTAGCAATTTATAAATGGATAACTAGTTTTAAGAAGGGCCAAGACAGTGTTGAAGATGAAGGCCACAGCAGCAGGCCATCCACATCAATTTGCAAAGAAAAAATTAATCTTGTTCATGCCCTCGCTGAAGCACACCAACAATTAACAGCAGAAACAACAGCCAACACCATAGACATCTCAATAGGTTCATTTTACACAATTTTTACTGAAAATTAAAGTTGAGCAAACTTTCCACTCCATAGGTGCCAAAACTCTTACATCCAGATCAGAGGCAGACAAGAGCAAAGCTTTCAATGGAAATTTAAGCAAGTGCAGTCAAGATCCTGAAGCATTTCTTTGAAGAATTATAACAGGAGATGGAACATGGCTTTACCAGTACAATCCTGAAAGCAAAGTACAATCAAAGCAATGGCTACCAATGGATGGAAGTGGTCCAGTCAAAGCAAAAGCAGACTAGTCAAGAACAAAGCTCATGGCAACAGTTTTTTGGAATGCTAAAGGCATTTTGCATCTTGACTTTCTGGAGGGCCAAAGAATGATAACATCTGCTTATTATGAGAGTATTTTTAAAAAGTTAGCCAAAACTTTAGCAGGAAAATGCCTAAGAACACTTCGCCAGAGAGTCCTTCTCCACTCCAACAATGCTATTCAGGCCTCTCATCAAACTAGAGCACTTTTACAAGAGTTTTTATGGGAAATCATTAGGTATTCACTTTACAGACCTAATTTGGCTCCCTCTGACTTCTGTGCTTCCTAATATTAAAATTTTGTTAAAGGGCACCCATTTTCTTCGGTTAATATAAAAAAAGACTGCATTGACATGGTTAAACTCCCAGGACCATCAGTTCTTTGGGGATGGACTGAATGGCTGGTATCATTGCTTACAAAAATGTTTTGAATTGATGGACCTTGTGTTGAGAAATAACATATATATTTTTTAAAAAAAGAATTGGCTTATAAATCAATGGAACAGAGTTGAGAATCCAAAAATGACCTTTATATTTATGACCACTGATTTTCAACAAAGGTGCCAAGGCAATTCAATGGGGGAAGGATAGTCTTTTCAACACATGATGCTGGGACAATTGGGTGTCCATATACAAAAGGATAAATTTGGACCCTTATACCATACACAAAAATTAATTCAAAATGGGTGACAGACCTACAATTAACAGATAAATGTAAATCTCTTAGAAGAAAGCTTTGGAGTGAATTGTGATTTGGGGTTAGTCACTGACTTCCGAGATATGACACAAAAAAGAAAAAATAAATTGGACTTCATCAACATCTAAAACTTTTACACTTCAACACACACCATCAAGAAAGTGAAAAGGCAAGACACAGACTGAAAGAAAATATTTGCAAATCATATATCTGATAAGGGCTTGTATCCAAAGTATATAAAGACCTCTTACAACTCAACAATAAGAAAAATAACTCAATATTAAAATGGTTGAAGATTTTATTTGAATAGACATTTCACCAAAGAAGACATACAAATGCCCAGTAAACACATGTCAAGATGCTCAATTTGTCATGAGGGAAATGAAAGTTAAATCTCTAATGAAATGCCACTTCACACCTACTAGGATGACTATAATTTTAAAAGATAATAACAAACGCAGGTGAGCATATGAGAAAATTGGAAGCCTCATACCTGCTGGTGGCAATGTAAAATTGTCCTGCTGCTTTGAAAAAAATTTTAAATAAAGTTGCCATATGACTTAGCAATTCTACTCCTAGATATGTACTTAGAAAAAATTAAAACATATGTCCTCACAAAAACTTGTACACAAGGCCGGGCGCAGTGGCTCACGCCTGTAATCCCAGCACTTTGGGAGGCCCAGGTGGGCGAATCATGAGGTCAGGAGTTCGAGACCAGCCTGGCCAACATGGTGAAACCCTGTCTCTACTAAAAATACAAAAATTAGCTGGGTGTGGTAGTGCACACCTGTAATCCCAGCTACTCAGGAGGCTGGGGCAGGAGAATCACTTGAAACCAGAAAGCAAATGTTGCAGTGAGCCGAGATCACGCCACTGCACTCCAGCCTGGGCGAGAGAGTAAAACTCCATCTCAAAAAAAAAAAGAAAAAAGAAAAAAAAAACACACACAAAAACAAAACTTGTACACAAATGTTCATAACAGCATTGTTCATAATGGCCAAAAATGTCCATTAACTGGTGAATGGCTAAGTAAAATATGGCATATCCATAAATAGAATATTATTCCACCATAAAAAGGAATAAAGTACTGATACATACAACAACATAAATAAATCCCAAAAACATTATGCTAAGTAAAAGAAGCCAGACACAAAAGCCCACAAGTACAATTCTATGTATATGAAATTTCCAGACGAGTCAAGCCTATAGAGATGGAAAGTAGTTCAGTGGTTTCATGGGACAGGGAGTAGACATGAGGACTGACTGCAAATGGACACAAGATTTCTTTTGGGGGGAAATGGAAATGTTCTAAAATTAGATTGCAATGATGGTTGGACAACTCTGTAAATTTACCAAAAATTAATGAATTTATATATATATAATTATATATATAAGAATAGACATATTTTCAATATATATTCTTTTATATATGTTTTATGTGAATTTTATGGTTTTTTAAATTATATCTCATTGAAACTGGTTTTTTAAAAAAGATAGGAGTAAAAAGACAATGCTTTATCCAGGTGACGATACTTGCTAATGGCGAGTTTTTTTAGGCATTCATTTATGGATTAATTCAGAAAATATTGATTAGTACTATTATGATAAATGCTGGATATCAAAGATGACATAGTCTCTGCCTACCAAAAGCTGATGGAGATAATGAATCATTCGTAGTAGCCAAAATATGGAAACAACCCAAATGTCCATCAACATATAAATGGACACAGAGAGTATCGTATATACATACAATGGAATACTATTTATCCTTAAAAAAGAAAGATCCTACCATTTGT
Source organism: Homo sapiens (assembly GCF_000001405.40). NCBI lineage: Eukaryota > Metazoa > Chordata > Mammalia > Primates > Hominidae > Homo > Homo sapiens. The sequence goes on from NC_000002.12 coordinate 84,792,074, forward strand.
GACAACATGGATGGACCTGACTGACATTATGCTAAGTGAAATAAGTTAGTCACAGAGGGACAAATACTGCATGATTCCTCTTATGTGAGGCCTCTATAATAGTCAAAAGTCTAGAAGTAGACAAGAGAATGGTGGGTATCACAGGATAGAAGGAGGAGGAAAATGGGGAGTTGTTGTTCAGTATAAAGTTATAGTTATACAAGATGAGTAAGTTAGAGATCTGTTGTACAATATAGCACTTACAGTTAATCAGAAGGTATTTTGTACTTTAAATTAATTTATCAAGAGAGTAGATTTCATGTTAAGTATTCTAACCACAATAAAAAAGTGGGTGGCACAAAGAAATTGTCGGAGGTCATGGATATGTTTACCATATGGATTGTGGAGATAGCAACATAAGTATATACGTATGTCAAAACTCCCCAGGTTGTATACATTAATTATGTGCAGTTTTTTGGATACCAATTATACCTCAATAAAGGCGCGGGGGTGAGGGGAGGCCAAGAGTGTATGGGACATGGCACTACTAGAGAAACAGTTAGTAGCTCCAAAAAAGGAAGTGTGTATGGAGGGCAGTTGTGTCTTCAACAACACTAAAAAAGGTAAGCCGGGGGCATATCCTGAAAGGCCTATGTGTCTTGCTAATAAATTTTGCTCTAACTTACAAACATTGGTTAGCAATTATGGTCTTTTAGGTTAGGAAGAAGTGCAACAATTCACAAAGCTATAATAAAAGCAAAATGAGGGATTGAACATGGAGATATAGCAATACCCATGGGAAAACCAGACAGGAGAGAATAAACAGAGAAACATTTAGGAGGCTTTAAATACTGGAAGGTGTTTGGGATTGGAGGAGGACCTTCAGATTTTATAGTGTAGGTTACAGCAATACATACATCCAGGAGTGGTATTGGGGGTGGATCTGAGCTCAAAGTTGGCAAAGACAAAGTCAGACCTCAGGCCTCTCCAGTTTTTATTGGACCATGCCCAAGCCAGCCCACAGGGATGGGAAAGGAAGGGAAAGGGGAAGCCACTATGTTGGGTTCTGCAATGGTACCCACAGGAACCATGATGCTGGGGCCAGACCAGGCAGTGGCATGGATGGTGGACACCACCACACACACACACGCATGCACACACGTACACACACACGGGCGTGCACACACACAAGCGGTCCCTCTTCTAAGAAGACCAAAGCCAGAAGACTCCTTCTTGAAAGTGAGCTGTGAGTCATCTACCCTGAGTCAAAATGACAGATTTCCTTGTTTACTCAGTTTGACCCATGAAAAAGGATAGAGTCAAATCTGGATGGAGAAGCGCAAAATCTGTTGATTTGTAAGGAAAACACTTCTGTGCTGCTTGTCAAAATGCAGATATTTTAGTTAGAAACTTATTTTAGAATAATGTATGTTAGGACACCCTTCTTCCCCTGACATCATCATGCAATTGGAGAAACTAGAGCTTTATGTTCCAGCGCCAAGGACCCAAGAGGAGCTTCAAGTCCGACCATATTAGATGGACCCACGACAGAGATTTAACCCAACTTTATGTTCCAAGATTTCCCAGAGGGTCGCTAAAGAATACTCCTAGGAAGCTACAGAACATCTCCTTTTTACATCTTGGAATTGCCGATACAGGGATTCAGCAACTTAACCATCAGCCCTGGTACCTACTTCCCTTCCCCTCTCCCTGAGTGGCTTGTCCAACAAGACTGACAAGAGTTACTCCAACAGGAGAGGGAAGACAGGCATCTCTACAGGATATGCAGATAAAGACATTGCTGTCTTGGAAGAAATAAATTATTGAGATTCCAAAGACTGAAATAACTTTCTCTCAACCAACCATCTCAGCTATACTACAAGGCTACGGTAGTCAAAACAGCATGATACTGGTACCAAAACAGAGATATAGATCAATGGAACAGAACAGAGCCCTCAGAAATAATGCCGCATATCTACAACTATCTGATCTTTGACAAACCTGAGAAAAACAAGCAATGGGGAAAGGATTCCCTATTTAATAAATGGTGCTGGGAAAACTGGCTAGCCATATGCAGAAAGCTGAAACTGGATCCCTTCCTTACACCTTATACAAAAATTAATTCAAGATGGATTAAAGACTTAAACGTTAGACCTAAAACCATAAAAACGCTAGAAGAAAACCTAGGCATTACCATTCAGGACATAGGCATGGGCAAGGACTTCATGTCTAAAACACCAAAAGCAATGGCAAGAAAAGCCAAAATTGACAAATGGGATCTAATTAAACTAAAGAGCTTCTGCACAGCAAAAGAAACTACCATCAGAGTGAACAGGCAACCCACAAAATGGGAGAAAATTTTTGCAACCTACTCATCTGACAAAGGGTTAATATCCAGAATCTACAATGAACTCAAACAAATTTACAAGAAAAAAACAAACAACCCCATCAAAAAGTGGGCAAAGGACATGAACAGACACTTCTCAAAAGAAGACATTTATGCAGCCAAAAAACACATGAACAAATGCTCACCATCACTGGCCATCAGAGAAATGCAAATCAAAACCACAATGAGATACCATCTCACACCAGTTAGAATGGCAATCATTAAAAAGTCAGGAAACAACAGGTGCTGGAGAGGATGTGGAGAAATAGGAACACTTTTACACTGTTGGTGGGACTGTAAACTAGTTCAACCATTGTGGAAGTCAGTGTGGCGATTCCTCAGGGATCTAGAACTAGAAATACCATTTGACCCAGCCATCCCATTACTGGGTATATACCCAAAGGACTATAAATCATGCTGCTATAAAGACACATGCACACGTATGTTTATTGCGGCACTATTCACAAGAGCAAAGACTTGGAACCAACCCAAATGTCCAACAATGATACACTGGATTAAGAAAATGTGGCACATATACACCATGGAATACTATGCAGCCATAAAAAATGATGAGTTCATGTCCTTTGTAGGGACATGGATGAAATTGGAAATCATCATTCTCAGTAAACTATCGCAAGGACAAAAAACCAAACACCACATGTTCTCACTCATAGGTGGGAATTGAACAATGAGAACACATGGACACAGGAGGGGGAACATCACTGTTGTGGGGTGGGGGGAGGGGGGAGGGATAGCATTAGGAGATATACCTAATGCTAAATGACAAGTTAATGGGTGCAGCACACCAGCATGGCACATGTATCCATATGTAACTAACCTGCACATTGTGTACATGTACCCTAAAACTTAAAGTGTAATAATAATAAAATAAAATAAAATAAAATAAATTTAATCTGTTTAGTGCATAAATTTATTAGTTTGTGTACATGCTCTGTAAATATTCAATGAAATGTTATTCATATTTAAATAAAGTCTAGATTCATATGATTAATAAATTGGAAAATAAACTAATTATAAAACAAAACAAAAAGAAAGAGAAAGAAAAAACAATTTTTTCTTCCTGACATGATGGAAGAAATAGAGATAAGAATGGATCAACAGTTGGAGGATTCAGAGGTTGACAATGTAGGTATCACAGGTGAAATCCTTCCAGGAACACTACAGTGGTGAATGGTGAATTGTAGCAATGGATCTGGAATTTTAAAGAAATTATATCAGCAATAGATTCCAGTGTGCTTCCTTGCTACACATAATTTTGGGATGACAATGGGGCACATGGAAAGTAGCTTCTCTGTGGAAAGAGAGATGGGATACCAATCAGTTATAATTCCTTATAATTACTGTGAAGTGAATTGTCCCTTTTGCTTTGAATCTATCTTTCCTCCTTACCCTGATAGCAATAATTAATAAGAAATGTATAGAGGTTGAATGCCTTGCTGCAAATACTTGATTCCATTTTACTCATTGTCTCCGAAAGAAGCACTGTTTGATGGAAAGTGTGTATGTTTTAGAATACTGCAATCAATGATAAGACTCAAAATCAGTATTTCAAAGCAAAAGAACAAAAACAAAAAAGAAATATGTAAATAGAGCTCAGTGGCTTTAGTCTCTGAAAACTAAAACAGCAAAATAATGAGAGTAGAGTACATATAGTAGATTTTTTCTACTTTTCAAAAATTGACTTCTATTATCTTTGAGGGGGTGGTGGAAGGAAATTCTGTTGTGTGCTTTCCATTTTCAGTACCAAATAAATGTGTGTATAAATAAACATTAAAAATTTAAAATTAGGTATGCCTATCAATTTTTTAAAAACAGCAATAATTTCAAAATACAAATTTCTTTTCAGGTGAAATTACTTATGGTGGTAGAGTCACAGACAGCTGGGACCAAAGATGCCTTCGTACTATCTTGAAAAGATTTTTTTCTCCTGAAACATTAGAAGAAGATTATAAATACTCTGAATCAGGTGAATGACTTTTCAATATTACAGAAAAGGCCTTTCCCAAGAAGATGTTGACAGCATCTCTCAGTTTCCCACCCAGGGGCTGTCTGTGTCAGGTCTCCACAACGCTGTTATAGCCACACCCTATCCCCATGCTTGGCCACCTTCAGAGCTGGTTTGATAGTAGGATCACAGAGATACATAGTACATGGTAACTACTTTGAATTACTTCGATTTTAAAGCTTATTGCACTGTGTCTAAATCTGTTTTCAATGTTATGTTCTAGTATGTTTTGAATGTAATCAAATAAAACATCCAGACATAGTGGCACATGTCTGTGGTCCCAGATACTCAGGAGGCTGAGGTAGGAGAATCACTTGAGCTCAGGAGTTCAAATCCAGCCTGGGCAACATAACAAGACCCAGTCTCTAAATCATAGTAAATATTATTATTACTACTATATAAAAGTTTTTAAAAAAATAAAGAAAAGAAAATGTCTATTACAGCAAGTTGAGTAAAAACCAGATCTGTGAGTTGGAGATAGTTTATTATGAGTCAGACAGCAAACAGATTAATTGTCCTGAGTGATCCCCTTGGAAGGAGCAACTTGATTAGTACAAGCTCATAAAAGCTCCTACCATAGAGCATCAGTCAGAGCTGGATTCAACTGTATATCCTGCAATCACTATAGATAGTTGAATAACCCTAGATTTCAATGTAGCTTTTAGTTTGGGCAATTAGAGAGGGCTGTTGTTGTTTATCAAACAAATATAAAAGCAATCTCTAACACAAGCATAAATTTAAGCCCTTAATGAGTTACACCTTTCAACATAAATTTGGAGCCCTTCATGAGTTACACCTTTCAGCAGCATATCCCTGGATTCTCCGCATCTTTAAATGCGCTGGAGAAGGCATCTGACAAGTTAGGACAGTAATGAGATTCTCAAGGCCTGAAGAAAAGATAACAAAACTAGACACAGCAATGAAAGCATGAAAGCTTAGGAAAAACAATCCCCCTTTCTACATGAGCCAGCTGATTGCAGCCACCATCTGCACCACACAAAGAAAAATCAAACTTGGCAGTACAAAGCCAGTCTATTTGAGACATATTTGTCTTCTGTGTTTTTAATAACAGGCATCTATTTTGCACCCATGGCTGACAGCCTACAAGAGTTTAAGGACTACATTGAAAATCTGCCTTTGATCGATGACCCAGAAATTTTTGGAATGCATGAAAATGCTAATCTAGTCTTCCAGGTATGTGGCCTTTCATCTTAAAATACATATTTATGTTGTGTATGTAAACTCAAAACATCAATAATCACCCCCACTCACTCTGGAAATTATAATCTTCCTAAATAAACAAATAAAATAATTGTTTCACCTTGACTTCAACATTTGGTTCCAATTTAGCCTGTTACCTCTGGGTCCTTCACAGAATCCTAAGACCATCATGCATTTTCCCTGTCACTGGCCAAGCCCCTACATCTCCAGGCCTTCTGCCTAGTCCATCCATAATCTACCTGATCACAGTCCAACAATTACATGAGGATTTCAATAATAATATAACCCTCTCCCTTTGCCCTTCTTCTACCAGGCTGGGCACATTTGTGTCATATTACACAAAGGTCTGTGGATCCATACGTGATTCAATTATAAAAATACAGTGACAAATGTCCAAAGCAGATAAATTAAAACATGGTTTATTAAAAGCATGATCACAGTGCCAGATCATAACCCAGAGCAAACTGGGTTGTTTTACTCCTCTGTGTAAGACCTTGTGATGCTGCACCATTACCTAAGGGTAGTCCAAGCTCTTCAGCATGCACTCGAAGCTCTCCCATGACCTAGGCCTGCTCAGAGTCACCAGGCACCAGAAGCAACCCCTGGACTTGGACTGGACCTAAAGAAGGAGTCAGTGAAGGAACCCCAGGGCACCACGTTCCTGCCATGGACCTCTGAGATCCTAGACACAGGAGTTCTTGTGACCCCCACAGACCTTTGGACTGGCAGGCAGAGCAGCCCAAAGAATAAGCAGAGGCACAGTTTGAACCCACACACAGCCCAGAAGGCTTTGCTGTGCTGTGCAGCTGCAGGATAACACTACCACACTCATCCCCCAAAGCTCTCCATGTTACACTGAGTGGCTGCAGCTCCTGCTATCTGCCAGGCCAAGAAAGAGCAGGTCCTGAGCATGCTCATGCCTCAAGACAGGCCCCACCACCACTGCTACAGGCCCAAAGTGCATCTATTCCATGCACCCCTTTGCCTGCTGGCCCCTCCCAAGACCACCTCTGAGGCCGCTCCTGTGGGAGAGTGCCCACAGCACAGCCTCCACGGCCCTGCCTGAGTGTTTTATTGGCAGCCCAGGAGTAGTTCACCACCCCCATCACAGCCAGTGCTTGACCCCTAGGGGCCAGGGGAAAAATCCACAGTTCTGGTCCCAACTCCCCAGGACTCAAGCACACCACCCAGGGATATCAAGTTGATATCTGTGGCCTGAGCTCGAGTAGGGGAACACAAGGAAGAATATGGCATAGGTTTGTATGCCAGCAAGGGAGCTGGTCACTCCTCTTTTTTTCTTTCCTTTTTTTTTTTTTTTTTGAGACGGAGTCTCGCTCTGTCATTCAGGCTAGAGTGCAGTGGCACAATCTCAGCTCACTGCAACCTCCACCTCCCAGGTTTGAGCAGTTCTCCTGCCTCAGCCTCCCAAGTAGCTGGGATTACAGGTGGCTGTCATCATGCCCAGCTAATTTTTGTGTTTTTAGTAGAGACAGGGTTTCACCATGTTGACCAGGCTGGTCTCGAATTCCTGACCTCAGGCGATCCACCTGCCTCGGCCTCCCAAAGTGCTGGGATTACAGGCATGAGCCACTGCGCCCAGCCCACCCCTCTTTTTCCAGGATGAGCATGGCCTAACAGCCACCACTTTTCCCTTACTGAGTTCCATAGCCCAGAATGCCTGGGCTGGCTCAGTGATCTGGACAAAAATGGCTTGGGACAAGCCTAGCTGGTTGGGCCTGCTACTTGGGCAGAGACTGGAGGGAGACCCACCAGGTCAGGGAACATGAGCTGGGCAGGCCCCACAACCATCCGCTGGGCTGAGAAGCCTAGGCAGCAGGTGCCATATTGGTTGTACACTGGCAGTGCCACTAACCTGTCCAGGGAGTCTCCACCTTTGAACAACTGCATCACCAAACCACCTGCAGACATACTCCACAACTCACTCTAACTTTGGCAAGCACAGGGGATAGGCAGTTACCTAAGGAGTAAATGGTCTTCTAGAGACAGTCTTTGGTGCAAAGCACCCCTAAGAAAGGAGGGAGCGCACTCCACCAAAGCCCCACTTGGGAAAAAGGAAATGGGGGTGTGATGCCAGCCACTAAAAGAGACACCACCAAGGCCTAGGAATGGACTTAAAGAGGGAGCGTCTCTCATTTTCCACCCTCACCCACATTCCCATTGGAGCCCTTCCTGTTGGGGCCTGGTAAGTGTGTGTACTTCAGTAAGCTGCTTTTCTGTGATTCTCCATTGGACCCACCCTGCTGAAAGTAACTGTGAGTTGGAGGAGCATGCTTCTCTGTTGCCTCCACCCCCACTGAGGGCTATTGCAGCTAAGAGCCTATGTGCTGGCTCTTTTAAGCCAGGACTACAGCCTGAATTACAATACCAAACAAAAATAACATTGCTACAAGCAATGCCTGTCAAACACACTGCACAAACCTCTATGTAACCAAAGAACCCATATAGAGCCTTGCCCCTCTGAAAGCACCCAGAAACAAAGCCAATTGATTGTACACAACATACACCACAGTCATATCCTCCAGGAAAAAAAAGAATAAAATGTCAAAAAACTCCATCCAAACAAGCAAATTCAAAAAGATAAAGAGGCATCAATTCCTTCAGATAAGAAGAAATCAGCACAAGAACTTCAGCAATACAAAAAGCCAGAGTGCTTTGTTACCTCCAAAGGATCACACTAGTTCCCTAGCAATGGATCCTATTCAGATTGAAATGTCTGAAATAATAGATACAGAATTCAGAATATGTATGACAAGGAAACTCAATGAGATCCAAGAGAAAGTTGAAATCCAATGCAAAGAAGCCAGAGAAATAATCCAAGGTTTGAAAGATGATACAGCTATATTAAGAAAGAACCAAACAGAGCTTCTGAAATTGAAAATCTCACTACGGGAGTATCAAAATGAAACTGGAAGTCTTAACAACAGATTAGACCAAGCAGAAGAATGAATTTCAGAGCTCAAAGTTTGGTCCTTTGAATCAACCCAGTCAGAAAAAAATAAAGAAAAGAGAATTTTTTAAAAAATGAGCAAAGGCTCTGAGAAATATGAGATTATGTAAAGTGACTAAATCTACCATTTATTATCATTCCTTGGAGAGAAAAGAAAGTATTATTCACAATAGCAAAGACTTGGAACCAACCCAAATGTCCAACAATGATAGACTGGATTAAGAAAATGTGGCACATATTCACCATGGAATACTATGCAGCCATAAAACATGATGAGTTCATGTCCTTTGTAGGGACATGGATGAAATTGGAAATCATCATTCTCAGTAAACTATCGCAAGAACAAAAAACCAAACACCCCATATTCTCACTCATAGGTGGGAATTGAACAATGAGATCACATGGACACAGGAAGGGGAATATCACACTCTGGGGACTGTGGTGGGGTGGGGGGAGGGGGGAGGGATAGCATTGGGAGATATACCTAATGCTAGATGACGAGTTAGTGGGTGCAGCGCACCAGCATGGCACATGTATACATATGCAACTAACCTGCACAATGTGCACATGTACCCTAAAACTTAAAGTATAATTAAAAAAAAAGAAAAAGAAAAAGAAAAAAAAAAAAAAGAAAGTAAGCAACTGGAAAACATATTTGAGTATATAATCCAGGAATATTTCCCCAATCTCACTAGAGAAGTTGGCATGCAGATACAAGAAATCCAGAGAACTCCTGCAAGATACTGTATGAGCTGACCATCCCTAAGACATAGTCATCAGACTTTCCAAGGTCAAATCAAAGAAAAAATCTTAAGGCATTAGAGAAAAGGGCTATATTACCTATAAGGGGAATCCTATCAGAGTAAGAGCAGACTCTCAGCAGAAAACTTAGAAGCCAGAAGAGATTGGGGGCCCATTTTTAGCATTCTTAAAGAAAAGAAATTCCTGGGCCAGGCGCAGTGGCTCATGCCTGTAATCCTAACACTTTGAGAGGCTGAGGCAAGTGGTTCGCCTCAGCTCAGGAGTTCCAGACCAGCCTGGGCAACACGGTGAAATCCTGTCTCTACTAAAATACAAAAAATTAGCTGGACGTGGTGGTGTGAACCTGTAATCCCAGCTACTCAGGAGGCTGAGACAGGAGAATTGCTTGAACCCAGGAGGCAGAGGTTGCAGTGAGCTGAGATCACGCCATTGCACTCCAGCCTGGGTGACAGAGTGAGGCTCTGAAAAAAAAAAAAAGAAAAGAAAAAAAGAAAGAAAGGGAAGGGAAGGGATTCCAGCAAAGACTTTCATATCCTGCCAAACTAAGCCTTATAAACAAAAAACAAATAAAATCTTTCCCAAGCAAGTAATCACTGAGGGAATTTGGCACCAGCAGACCAGCTCTACAAGAAATGCTTAAGGGAATCCTAAACATAGAAATGAAAGAACAATACATGTAACCACAAAATCACACATAAGTACATAGCCTACAGACTGCATAAAGCAACTACACAATCGGGACTACAAAGCAGCTAGCCAACAACACCACAACAAAAACAACACCTCACATATCAATATTAACCTTGAACATAAATGACCTAAACATTCCACTTAAAAGATATAGAATGGCAAATTGAATTAAAAAACAAGACCCATCGTTCTGCTGTCTTCAAGAGACCCATCTCACATGTAATGACAACTATAGGCTCAAAGTAAAGGGTGGAAAAAGATCTATCATGCAAACAAAATAAAAAAGAGCAGAGGATGCTATTCTTGTATCAGAGAAATCAGACCCTAAACTAACAAGAATAAAAAAGGACAAAGAGGGCATGATATAATGATAAAGAATTCAATTCAAGAAGATTTGATGATCCTAAATATATATGCTCCCAACATTGGAGCACTCAGATTTATAAAATAATTACTTCTACCTAAGAAAAGACTTTTACAGCCGCACAATAATCAGAGGAGCAGGGGGTGGGGGGACTTCAACACTCCACTGACAACATTAGATCATCAAGGAAGAAAATTAACAAAGAAATTCTAGACCTAAATTCAATACTTGACTAATTGGACCTAATAGACATCTACAGAATACTCCACCAATAACCAAAGAATATACAGTCTTCTCATCTGCACACAAAACATACTCTAATATTGACCACATGCTTGGTCATAAAGCAAGTCTCAACAAATTTAAAAAATCAAAATTATACCAAGCATCTTCTCAGAACACAGTGGAATATAATTAGAAATCAATACCAAAAGGAACTCTCAAAACCACACAAATGCATGGAAACTAAACAACTTGCTCCTGAATGACTTTTGGGTAAACAAAGAAATTAAGGCAAAAATCAAAAAATTATTTGAAACAAATGAACATAAGAGACCCAAGACACCAAAAGCTCTGAGATGCAACAAAAACAGTGTTAAGGGGAAAGTGTATAAAGCTAACTGCCTACATCAAAAAGGTATTAATAGAAAGACCTCAAATTAACAACCTAATGTTGCACCCAAAGGAACTGGAAAAATAAGAACAAACTAAACTCGAAGAATGCAGAAACAGAAAACCAAATACTGCATGTTCTCACTTACAAGTGGAAGCTAAACACTGGGTACACATGGACGTAAAGATGGGAACAATAGACCCTGGGGACTCCAAAAGGGGGGAAAAGGAAGGAAGAAAAGAGTTGAAAAACAACCTGTTAGATACTATGTTCACTATTTGGGTGATGAAGTTCAATAGAAGCCCAAACCTCAGCACCATGCAATATATCCGTGTAACAAATGTGCACGTGTACCCTCTGAATCTAAAATGTTTTTTTAAAAATTAAGACAAGTGGCAAATCAAAACATTTTTGAAACAAAAAACAGAAAATTTAGCTTTCTATATTATAGAATTATCTTATAAATTAATAATAAATAATAAAATGCTAAAAATCAAAAATGTTAAAAAAACATTATGAATAATTCATAAAGGAGTAATATAGATGGTCAATGAACATATTTTTCAATATTTAAATACTTAAAGTGCAAAAAATGAGAAACTATTTTATCCATTAAATTAGAAACATTTGTTTAAGTAATAATATTAATTCTTGCGAAGACATAGAAAGGCTTTATGATACACTATTGTTGGAAATATAAATTGATACAATGTTTTTAGAAATTAATATGGTAATACCCAGTTTTAAAATATCGCCTCTACTTAATCTATCATTTAAAGAATTTCAAAAATGGTGGATGAAATTCATACAAACATATTCTATTCCCGAAGTGTAATAAGATCAGCTGGGCACAGTGGTTCACGCTTGTAATCCCAGCACTTTGAGAGGCCAAGCCACGTGAGTCACTTGAGGCCAGGAGTTCGGGACCAGCCTGGCCAACATGGTGAAACCCTGTTTCTACTAAAACTATAAAAATTAGCCAGGCGTGGTGACAGGTGCCTGTAATCCCAGCTACTTGGAGGCTGAGGCAGAAGAATCGCTTGAGCCTGGGAGGCAGAGGTTGCAGTGAGTCAAGATCACGCCACTGCACTCCAGCCTGGGCAACAGAGTGAGACTCCATCTCAAAAAAAAAAAAAAAAAAAGTCTAATAAAATCAAAAAACTAGAAATTTCCAAAAAATAGATAAGTAACTCATATTAATTACAATGCATTTATACCATAATTAGTATCACATTGTCACTTAAATTATCACAGTCACTTAAAGCATGGTTCATGAGGATTTTTCAGTGATATTAGAAGACTCATAATATTGAAAATGAATTAATATTACATAAATTTATTAGCTCAATTTTGCAAACTTTATGCACATATATACAGAAAGTGTCCAAGTTGAAGTAAGCTATAGTTTATTTAATTAAATATTACTTCATTATAAGTAATTATATCTGGAAAGTAAGTATCATGAATATTTTTTATTTATATTTTTCTACCTTCAAATTTTTCTGTAATAAGCCGTATTTTTCTAATTTTAAAAAAAAGTTAATTGAATAAAAGAATGACCTGAAACTGTGTTCTCATGATTTTTCCCTCACTTTCATAATTTCTTTTAACTGATCAACTTAAAAATGTTTAACCATTCTTTATTGTAGTAAAATATGTATAACAGAAAATATACATTTTAATCATTTTTAAGCATACAGTTCAGTGGCATTAAGTACATTTATTTATTTATTTTTATTTTATTTCCTTTTGAAATAGGGCCTCCCTCTGTTGCCCTGGCTAGAGTGCAGTGGGGAGATCATAGTTCACCACAACTTCTAATTCCTGGGATCAAGCTATTCCCCATTCAGCCTCCCAAGTAACTAGGACCACAGGTATACACCACCACACCCAGCTAATTTTTTTTTTTTTATAGGGACAGAGTCTTACCATGTTGCCCATGCTGGTCTCAAACTATTGGGCTAAAGCAATCCCTTTTGGGCTAAAGCAGTCTTCCTGCCTTGACCACCCAAAGTGTTGGGATTACAGGCATGAGCCACTGGGCCTGGCCCATTAAGTACATTTACATTGTTGCTCAACAAAAAAATTTTTAGTATAACAGTAACAACTATGTACTAGGCATTTCCAATGACCACATTTTACCAACTCTACCTCCAAGACAGAAAATAAAATTTCCTTAAGCCAGTCACAAAAAGACAAATACTGCATGATTTAACTTTTATGGAGTTATCTAAAATAGTCAAATTCATAGAATTAAAGAGTGGAATGGTAGTTGCCAGGGGCTGGGGAGAGGGGGAAATGGGGAGTTACTAATCAACAGGCATAAAGTTGCAGTCAAGCAAGATGAATCAGCACTAGAGATCTTTTGTGCAACATTGTACCTATAGTCAGCAATAATTACTGTCTTAATTTGTTAAGAGGGTAGATCTCATGTTAATTGTTCTTACCACAATAAAATAAAGTGAAAATAAATAATATGGTTTTAGAGAACTGCCTTTACTTTTGTAAATAATTATGTGTGCTGCAAATTTGTTTTCTGAGAATTTGAGTCTTCACTGTTCTGTCTCTTATTGCCATTACAGTACAAAGAGACCAGCACTTTAATCAACACCATACTTGAGGTTCAGCCAAGGTCATCTACTGGTGGAGAGGGAAAAAGCAATGACGAAATTGTTCAAGAACTTGTTGCTTCTGTCCAGACCAGAGTTCCAGGTAATAAATAATTCTAGGAATCTGTATGTAATGGGAATTTTAGGAATAAACTCAGAGAACTGAGTGATAAACAGGTGTCAAAACCTGCTTATTATGTAGACTTTTTTTAACCTAAAGAGCTCTTTTGACATGGAGCTCTTCATTTATAGACTAGAAGCTTACAGCATCTCAACATCTCAACTGCCAGAAGCATTAGGAGGAAATTGGTTTCCAGCTCAATGTAACTTTAACCAGACTCTTTCCTGAGCTTCCCTTGGTTTCATTATTCTACTGTCTCTAGACCTGTGCTGTGGAAGAAAATAGCCACTAGCCAATATGGCTACCTAAATTTAAACTTAATGTAATTTAAAATTCATTTCCTCATTTGTACCAGTCACATTTCAAGTGCTATCATATTGGACAGTATAGAGATAGAGAACAATTCCACTAAAAGCTCTACTAGACAGTCCTGCTGTAGAATCCATTTAAATTTTTTCTCCACTTAGAAGACATATGGCTAAATTACTTTCACCTTGTTTTCTGATAAGTGAAAGAGTCTTCCCAGGCCGGGCACAGTGGCTGATGCCTGTAATCCTAGCACTTTGGGAGGCCAAGGCAGGCGGATCACAAGGTCAGGAGATCAAGACTATCCTGGCTAACACGGTGAAACCCCATCTCTACTAAAAATACAAAAAATTAGCCGGGCGTGGTGGCGGTCGCCTGTAGTCCCAGCTACTCTGGAGGCTGAGGCAGGAGAATGGTGTGAACCCGGGAGGCGGAGCTCGCAGTGAGCCGAGATCACACCACTGCACTCCAGCCTGGGTGACAGAGCAAGACTCAGTCTCAAAAAAAAAAAAAAAAAAAAAAAAGGTCTTCCTGAATGATCACAAGAGATCTATTTTAACACTTTTCTTAGATCGATAGGAGATTTAGATGTCTTCATTATTCATGGTTGGAAGAGATGTCATTATAGGAAAAAGAAAATTGAGGCAGAAAAAACAGCAACTGAGTCCTGCTAATGCCCTTAAAGCCCCTGGAAGAAAAGGAGCCTTGTGGTTTCAGAAGTCAGTTATCTGCCTCCTAGAAGCAGGCCCTCAAGAGAATGTCTACTTGGGTAGAGAATTCTGTTGTTGAAGCAAACAGAGTCATTAAATATAAGATCAATAAATATAAGATAGAGTGCTGGTTGGGAAAAGGATGGAGAGATGAATGGATAGCTGCAGAGACCATGCACTTGTTTGGTAGAATCCCACTGACACCTAGGAGGGTTTTCTCTCCAGGCTTCATAAAGCTTGTACTTTTACTGTGAAATGCTAAGCAGATCATCTGCTGAGACTGAAGGGGCAGGAAAACAATTGGCTCAGCAAAAGAACTGAGGGTTTGAAATAGCCCTGAGAGGAATGGTGGAAAGAGAAGACCAGGGACATGTAACCACAGCACAGCGGACCCAAGAGATTAGACTCATTGGCACTGCTGTGGGATTTTTGTCCAGCAGCCAAATGTGTGTGGTCAAGAAGGAATTTGATACATGTATGTCATAGCCATTTGTTTACACATACTTTTCTCAAATACGCAAGAAAAAGGCTGTTCCTTCCTCTTTCGTAGCTCATATCGTTCTTCATCTGAGCCTGCATTTGGTGGATTGTAGGGAGAAAGAAGAGCTACATTTTCCATCCAGTTTGAACTATGGGCCTGTTTAATAATGCAGTCAGTCCCTTTAAATAATGCCCAGTAACATGCGATAAACACTAAGTCTCTCTCCTGTCTCAGTCTCCTGCCCCCAACCTTTCCTATGCAGTGCAGGTGAGCAGGGAAGTGGGAGATTTAAACGCTTGTATGGTAGAGGGGGAGACTTAGGGTCCCTGGGCCGTCTAGTCTCTGGAATGTTCCTTGTCTGCCAGGCAACCGCTTCATCCTGCTAGCATTTACCACTGAAGCCTTCAGGGCTCTGCCTCCCAATCAGCCAAAGCCAGGCACACCTTCCTATGCCCTCCTGCCAACCCCCTCATTCCACATTGGAGACCTTTCAAACCCCTCATCAAACTTGCAGATACCACTGAGCCATGCTGACCTTCCATTACATCCTCTTCCCTCTCAACCCCTCACCTCCTCCCCACAGTCAACCAGAATGAAAATAAGCAGGCTTCTCCTTCCTTTTTCCAGTCCTCCTTCTACATTAGCACAGCCAGTCTTTCTATGATCTCACTTAAGCAACAAGGACCTACCTCTCCTGTCCCAGGGCCATAGATCACATAGCTCACACTGGCTGGGAAGATGAAAATACCCATGGGGAACATGCTTTAAGGGAAGAAACAAAATGCAATGGTTTAATGTTTGAGAAAAAAAAGTGTATATATATGTGTGTGTGTGTGTGTGTGTGTGTGTGTGTGTGTGTGTATGCCCTGATACACTGATACACATGAATTTAAACATAATTTTCTGTGATTGCTTCTATATAAACACAGTTGAATCACAAAAGCATTCTAAATTATAGAAACATCACATTTAAATCCTATGTATCTGGCTTAAACAATGAGAGAAGCTGGCTTTTTAAAAATGTTAAGATAAGCACATTGCCTTAGCAATATTGTGAGAACAAATCAATGGTGACTGGCCTGAGGAATCGCTGTGTATGTTTCAGAAAAACTGGAAATGGAGGGTGCTTCTGAGAGCCTTTTTGTCAAGGATCTTCAAGGACGTCTGAACTCCTTGACCACCGTTCTTGGACAGGAAGTGGACCGGTTTAACAACCTGCTGAAGTTAATTCATGTATGAGAGCTTACTTTCATCATTGCTATTGAGCATCAAAGCTTTGTAGAGAGTTGTATAATATGAAATTCTTCCATTCCCATCACTTCAGCATTTCCATTTGGATACACTAACAACTCTTCAAGCCCAATGAGTCTAAAAATGAATTTATCCTTCTCTAATGAATCTGTATTCCCATTTTCTAATAATGATGGAGTGAATATGTAACATTACAAATTCTCAGTCTCCTCCTTATCCTTACACCCTTAGATTCTATTGACTCACTAGAAATTGTTCAGAGACCTAAGCACTCAATTAAGAGTAATTCAGTGTTTGTTCCTAATGTCTAGTTTGCATTTCATAACATAGTCTTTAAGCGAGACTGTGAAAACCATAATCTGTCAAAGTGTGGGCCACAGAATGCCTGCATTAGAGTCCCCTGTGGTGTGTTCAACATGTGGATTACTTGATCCCACTCAAGACCTACTGAGTTAGAATTTCTTGAAGCAGGGCCTGGGAATATGAATTTTAAATAAACTCCCCAGATAATTTTAATGTCACTAAAATTTGCAAACACCTGTTTGATCTTCTGCTTTATGTTCATAGATACTTTCTCTCTGCATTGCCTTGCATTTGTAATGATGGTCAAAGGCCTTCCTAGTTTCTCTGTGCATAACTTTGATAAGAGAAAAAGAATAACTATTAGAAAATATTGAGCATTGACAGGAAAAGTGTTACTGCTAAGCAGGGAACCAAACACCTACTTCAAGGTCAAGACTTGGGGATAAGATTGGGGGAGAACTGGGAGAGATCTTTTACAGCTAAAGACCATTTCTGTTCCCTATCAGAAAGGCAAAGTCTCCGGAAGTTGCTGCTTGGCTGGCAATACCTAGGCTTGTTGGTTAGGCGGGTCAGCTGAGTATGTAGTCTTCACCTTGGGACTATGGCATCTAGTCAGGTATGCACCAAAGTCAGCAGGCTAAGTCTCTCTCCTCTCTCAGTCTCCTGGTCAGGTCACCAGGTCAGGGCTTATTTCCTTCTATATTGAATGAATTGGGGTACAGACTAAGCTGCTATGATAAAGACCCCCATAACATAGTCCAAAACAAGAGAAAAATTCACTTTACTCTCCCCTAACAGCCCTGAGGGAGCCCTGTCTAGGGCAGGTAGTTAATTCTGCTTTGTGAGCTCATCCAGGGATAAACAGGTTGGCTCTTCCAGTCTCAACAGACAACTTCTGTGTCTGGGTCTAAGGTGGCTGCCCCAGTTGTCCCCTTTTGCCAGCCAGTGGGAAGCAGGAAAGAGAGAGGCAAGGAAAAGCAGCTTCCTTATAAAAATGTGATCCAGTGGTAGTATACATCCTTTCTTCTTATATCCCATTAGCCAAAACTTGGTCACATGACCACAGCCCAGCCTCAAGGGTGGCTGGGAAAGGAGTCTCTCGATGGGGTGCTATGTGCCCAGCTAACACTAAGGAGGTGCTTTTGTTCTGAGGAACACCAGCTTATGTCTTGCCCTTTCCACATCATGAACTTTCACCCACTTGAATTTAAGTCCAGATGTCACTTATCCATAATGTCTTCCTGGAGACCAGCCCTTCCCTCTACTGCCAGATGAATTAGGGTCCCATCCTCAAGGCCCCATCATCTCAGGTCTCTGTGTCCACCACTGTATTCATTACATTTTTTGTAATTTCCCCCCTATGAGTATGGCTACTCTAACAAAGAATTTCTTAAAAACAAGGGAGATGTTACACTCGTCATCTTTGTTTCCTTAGTAACTGACATACTAAATCTTCCGTGAATATTTGAATGTACAAGTGAACAAATGTGACTCTCAGGTCTCCTTTGGTCACTTTTTCTGGTCAAACAAACCCCAGTCCACCACTAACAGAGGAATTCCCCTAATGGAAGCATAAGGGGAGGAGCCCAGGGACAGGTGACCTGCAGGGCCATCAGGAATCACAGCCAAGCATTCCCATCAGAAGGGAGGTGCTCACCACGGCATGCTGTAATTGCCAGAGGCCTTCCTCACCTGACCTCTAGTCCTAGACCTCAGGCCTGGTCCTGCCTTGCCATGGCTTTGTTCCCAGCCTCACCTTCCCTTCCCCTTGGGAACAGCCAGGCAGTACTATGGTGGCAATAAGAAAGCCAGGGGAAGGGAGCAGCACCCAGGAGTCTTGGGGAATGCCATCCTGGTGAACCCACTCTCCTCCAGACAGAACCGTGGGATAGGACAGGTCCTAGGAGTGACAAGGCCACCCTGTGTAGGCTTCGAGCCATAGGAGAAGGAAAGCCTTTGAAGTACTCTTTCTCCCACTTAATACATCTGTGTGTTGGCTGCCTCCTTTGGGAGAATCGACTGCAACATGACCTCTTTCTATTTTAAGCAGACCTTGAAGATCTCAGCAGTCTGCTCCCTCCACCTCTATCATTTTTTGTGTTCTCTCTGCATTTTAGATGAGTCTTCTGCTACTTCTTCCTATTTCCAGGTCTATCATGGAGGATGGTCTTGGCTCTGGCTAAGGGCCTCTTTCCTGCACTCTGCTGCAGATGGTTCCTCAGATCCTAAGGACAAATCTAAGTAAAACACTTCTTTTTTCTACCACTACCTCTTGTGAAAAGAGGTACAGGGAGAAGGGAACCAACAAATAAATCTGTGAAAGAATGGAAGGACACGTAGCCTTGTTTCATCCACACAATGCCTGTCGCTAAGATGCTGTGCATGTGGTCCCAGGCCTTATTTGGTTGCTTAGTCAACATAAATTTTGCCTCTAACGTCTTCCTATTATATTTTCCCAATATATGGCAGTTTTCACAACACTGCGACCCATGGGGGCCATAACCCAACTATATGCTCTCCCTTGTCTTTAGCCAGGTGGCAAACATCGCCCTGTACTCCACTCCAGCCCAGTGTCTCCCAGGACTGTGGCCTGCCTCCATCTTCTGGTGAGAGAAGGAGAGGCTTGGAGACATGTTTTAAGGAGGTGTTTCCAGTTCAAGGAGACCCTCTGATGCCAGCTGGAAGATTAGTCTCATCTAAGACTCTCCCCTTTCCAGCCGGGCACGGTGGCTCACACCTGTAATCCCAGCATGTTGGGAGGCTAAGGTGGGCAGATCTCCTAAGGTCAGGAGTTCGAGACCAGCCTGGCCAACATGGCAAAACCACATCTCTACTAAAAATACAAAAATTATCTGGGCATGGTGGCACATGCCTGTAATCCCAACTACTTGGCAGACTGAGACAGGAGAATCACTTGAACCCAGGAGGAGGAGGTTGCAGTGAGCCGAGATCATCCCACTGCACTCCAGCCTGGCGACAGAGCAAGATTCTGTCTCAAAAAAAAAAAAAAAAAGGAATCTCCTCTTTCTGCACTAACTCTGGGGTTTGGGGGAACCCTCTGAGCAAAAATGACCAGTAGCATGAGGTGGTTCTCACTCCCCATCTCCCCCTCCTCCTCACACTCTGTGCTTCCCAAATCACAGTCAGGCCTATTTTTCTTTTGGCCTGGAGGAGTGCTGGACAGTGGCATTTCTCCCAGCCACTTCTCCAGGCTTCAGGAGACATTTCTGCTTCCTTCTTTCCACTGCACTGGACTCTGCTTTCAACTGCCACCCTCAAGTGTTACACCGCAACGGTCACGTATTGTAGTAATGCGTGAAATATTGGAGGGTCTGGCCCAGCAGACAGTGTGCAAAGAGGATAGAACCTAGCAACTGGCGCCTCCAGGCAAGGCAGCCCCTGCTGTCATTAATGTGTGTCACTGACACTGGATAATGACATCTGCAAAGGCCACCAACCCCTTTTTTGTTCTTTCAGACTTCTCTGGAAACACTCAACAAAGCCATCGCTGGATTTGTGGTGATGTCTGAAGAAATGGAAAAAGTGTATAACAGTTTCCTCAACAACCAGGTTCCCGCTCTGTGGTCCAACACAGCCTACCCATCCCTGAAGCCACTAGGATCATGGGTCAAAGACCTTATCCTGAGGACCTCATTTGTGGATGTAAGAAAATTCCTTTCACTGGGTTTTGATGAATCTGATGGCATAGTTGGCCTAAGGTCCCTAGGAAGCACTGGCTAAAGATATCCACAGTCACTGATGGATAATCTGAGCCCAGAGAAAAAGAGATGTCCAGAATGGCATCACTTTAAAAGTCTTATACTGATTATAATATCGTTTGCCCTAGGCACTCATCCCCACCTTCCACTTTAATTCCAGGCATCCTTGGGGTTTCAGCTCTAATTCATGGGACCCCACAGTGAGGTATAGACCAACCAAGATGAGTCCAGATCCCAGATAACTTTGCTGCTGTCTCCCTCTCACATACCCCACAATAACCAGGCTCTGTGTCCACAGTCATCAGGCTGGCAGAACAGGAAGGGGAATGCGGCAGGCAGTGAAATGGGGGTGGTGACTAACTCAGGGCTGCTTTAGATTCTGCCTCCTGAGAAACTCTCCCCAAATAGGACTTTGCTTTAGAAAACAAATTCCATCCCAGAAATAACGTTTATTATGAATATGTTTCTCCTTCAGCTGTGGCTCAAAAGAGGACAGCCTAAGTCCTACTGGATCTCTGGTTTCTTCTTTCCTCAAGGATTTCTAACAGGTACCAGCGCTTTCTAGAAAAACCCCATAGGAATGGCCATGACTTCTCATACACAGGGTTTTGAGGTGCTGGGGAAATGACATGGCTGCTAATGCTCTAGCAATGAGGCTATTGATCATAGGGCAATCTAACAAGGTCGTGCTCTTCCTCACTTGTGGGGGGCAGAGGAAAGATGGCAGAGATAGCAGATGTTCCCCAACAACCTAATCCCTGCCCCTCTCAGGTTACATAAGTGCAGGCACTGCTGCCTCCACAAACACAGAATGTGCCTCAGTTCCCCATATGACCCACGCTCAAGGGCATCAACTGCTGTCCACCTGCTCAGGCCCCAGCTGTGAGCAGCTCCCTTCCCTCTGAGAAATTCTCTTGATGTGCCTCCATCAGCTCTTGGGGAATCTGGCTAGAGAGCCTCAGAGGGGGCTAGAGCCTGTGAGCAACTCAATGCTAATTACCCAAGCCCTTCATCTCTCTCATTCTTAATACCTATTAAACAGCCCATATAAAACAAGCTGGGCAAAATCCTAAAGTTAGCGAGATTGGGCTCTGAAACTGCCTCACTGGTTTGTCTCCCTCATGACAGGGCAATGCACTGAACACTGGCCTTCCCTCCCTTCCCAGCCAGGACCAGAGCTTGTCCATCCCTTGGGCCCTTACCTCCCAACATGACCCGCAGGCTTCCTGACCCTGTGAACTAACTCAGAGGAAGGTATTAAGAGTTGGGTCTTCTCTGTGGTGGGAAGGCTCTCTAATGCCAGGGCAGCCTGGTTTGGATGAAGGGGAATAGTGCCTGGGGAGTAGCAGTGTTGTTTGAACGCAGCTTTCCGATTTTCACAATTACAGGAACTCTTCAAAATCATGCTCGAAAATACAATTTGCCTATAGATGAGCTGAGTTTCAAATACAGCGTAATTCCCACCTATCGGGATCAAGCTGCAGTGATAGAAGCTGCCAAGACAGTGCAATTTGGACAAGAACTGCCCATGGACATGGAGGTATTGTCCACCTGGCTGTTATGGCAAAGCAGCTTCTATCCCACTGTCTTTGAAGATTTCAGACAACCTTCCATGCCCCACTCCCCCACCACCTCCCATTGGCAGGAGCAGGAAGGGCAGGGTAGTAATCACACCTCCAAGATAAGCTCCCCAATTAGCAATGACCAGATGGGAACTGCCTAAACTAGTCTAAGTTATAGAAATATTTTTAAAGCAATATTTTTTTTATTTTTTAGCTACCTTTAGTAACCTTCTTCATCTTACAGAATCAATATAGCAAGAAGTTAAAAGCAAGGGTTTAAAAACGAGAGAAGCCTGAGTTTGAATTCTGACACTACCTTTCACCAGCTGCATGTGCTGGAGCAATTGTTAACATGTCTGCACCTCATATTATTTTAAGATCCTTCTTGTCTTAAGAAGAGAGTGTCAACTTTCCCATGTCAGGAAAACTTGAGGCTCCAGGAAGGTAAAGCAACACCCACATAAAAGCCCCCACCGGAGCTTTCCGGGACCAGCCTGCCCTGGTCCATGCTCAGCACACTCCATCTGCCACAGAGGCTGATTCTGACAGACAGAAGTTTACAGTGACCACCAGGGCTCTGTCCCTCCACCCTAGTTCATACCATGTCTCTGCTTGGGTCATGTGCGCTGAGCCATGACAATGCCTTACAATCTCTGAGATCTGGGGAGACTTCAGACTGTCTAACTGGCCTGTCTCCTGGCCCACCTAGCAAATGTCTGCCACCAACAGACCAGGAGACAGGCCAGTAGTGTGGTGTGAAAGAAACAGCCAGTGTCATGTGACCAGCACATATACTGGTCTAAACACAGGGTATGTGTTTAAACAGCTTTATCTCTGTTGCAAACAGGCAAGACCACTGTCAGCCCATTTGCCGCCTTGGCGCAGCATAGGAAAAGGTGCTCCCTCTGGGTGATGCCCAGTTGGTGGACACCCAGTAGGTAGCAGGATAGTTTTCAGGCAAACCTGCATAAACATATGTGCAGCCCAAAAACAGGAAGTCCCATCCTGCTGCACCCAAGAAACAGAAAGGTTAGGACACCAAAAAGCAAAGACCAGCTAAAAAGAATTTAGTTTACCATCCTTTTATTCACTATAAAATGCACTACATATTATCCAAACAGCTTAGTCCTCTGCCTGCAGACGTGAGGCTCCAATTATCCAAAGACCTCGGGCCAGAAATGGCCAAATCCACTCAGGGTTTGAGGAAGGATGACTCAGATGCCCACAATTGGAAAAAAAAAAAAAAAAGTGTGCACCGGTGGAGACATCCAATCACATCACAGGAATCTGATGGGCAGGGTCTCTCCCTCTCCCTCTTTCTTATTTAATACAAACATTTAAAAGTAAGCATAATTTTTAAAAAAGAGAGAAAGAACAAAAAGGAATTGTCCATGGGCACTCTGCAAATATTATTGCAGATATATAATCTGTCTTCTAGGAGGGCATCCAAATCCTTGAAAAACCTTGCTAAGAATAACAGACGATGATCTCAGTACTCCTCCACCTCCCATGAAAAGGGGAAAAGTCATCACATTATTATTACATTTTTTTGCCTCTCAGAGCCTCAGGATTGACCTCTCTAAAATGTGAATAATAACAGCAATGTATAGAGTGTTTTTTAGAATTACCTGGTGAGGATGTGGGACATAGGAAGTGGCTCACACCTGCTGATCCCTTTTCCCCCATCTCACTTTGAGACTTGTGGGTATCTTTCAGTTGCCCTCTCCTGAGGATGGTGTTCTTGTTCATGGGATGTTCATGGATGCTTCTCGATGGGATGATAAGGAGATGGTGATAGAAGATGCATTGCCCGGACAGATGAATCCAGTGCTGCCTGTGGTGCATTTTGAACCACAACAAAACTATAAGCCAAGCCCAACACTTTACCACTGCCCACTTTATAAAACAGGAGCCCGGGCAGGAACACTCTCAACCACAGGTGAGGATGTTCTTAAGATTAGTTCAAATAATGACCAAATGCAATCTTCAATCAAAGTCCAAACACTAAGCTGTGATTGGCTCAAGATCTCCCTTGGGCCAATAAACTAGACTTAAAATGAAGCCACCTATAACATACAAAATTCGTAAATGTAATTATAAATTCTATTTGTTCTGAGTATAGATTAATATTATAGAATTAATTCTTGCTTCTATTAGAATCCAAGGAGTAGAAAATAGAGTTTAACAAGTAGAGACTTCCACTTTCAAAATGGCGGCCTGAATAGACACGAAAATCTCTTTTTTCTCACTAAATCCATTTTTACTCATCATAAAAGAAATTTTAAAATAAATGAATAGGCCGGGAAAGGTGGCTCACCCCTTTAATCCCAGCACTTTGGGAGACCGAAGCAGATGAATCACCTGAGGTCAGGAGTTCAAGACTAGCCTGACCAACATAGTGAAACCCTGTCTCTACTAAATACAAAAAATTAGCCAGGCATGGTGGCGGGTGCCAGTATTCCCAACTACTTGGGAGGCTGAGGCAGGAGAATCACTTGAACCTGGGAGGCGGAGGTTGCAGTGAGCCAACATTGGGCCACTGCACTCCAGCCTAGGTAACAAGAGCGAAAACTCCATCATAAATAAGTAAATAAACAAATGAATAAATGGACAGCCCTGATGCAAAACTCTGAGTGCATCTGAAACTGAGATACAGCCCTGAAAAAAGAAACCAGACAGAAAGAAAGCCACCTCAACAGATACACCAAGGGACAGCTGAAGAATGAGAAGAGAGAATGAACTGGGAAAATCGCCTTGAATACAGCACAGTGAGAGGGGAAAGAAGTGACCCTGTGGAAGGAGCCAGAAATTGCAACATTTTTCTTGTTTTCTAGGTAACCTGAAAGGAGAAAATAAAGAATGGAGGAGAGAGAATGTTTGAAAAAATAATGGCTGGTAATTTCCCAAAACTAAAGAAACACTTGAATCATTAGATTGTGAGGTCTCACAAAGTGGAAGGAATGATTTTTAGCAACCTACAAGTAATCAAATCTTCAAAGAAACCTAGATATACCAAAGTGATACTTAAGACTGTCAGAGACCAAAAAAAAAAAATGCTCAAAATAACCAAAGAGAAGAGACAATGTATAATATATGCTGGAACTGAAATCCCAGAGAATGAGAATCAGATTGATATCAGTCAACTCCCATTATCCACCGTGCATATAAAAAGATAATGGAGAATCACCTTCAAAGGGTTGAGGGAAAATACCTTTGAACCAGAATTCAAAACACAACCAAACCATCTTTCAAAAGGGAAGTGAATAAAGACAGTTTTGAACATACAGAGGCGCTAAATTAATCATCACTGACCTTCTATTTTGAAAACAATCCAGCTGTCTAGCCAGGTGTGGTATCATGTGTCTGTAGTCCCAGCTACTCAGGAGGCTAAGGTGGGAGGATCACTTGAGCCCAAGAGTTCAACACCAGCCTGGGCAACATAGTGAAACCCCCATCTCAATTAAAAAAAAAAAATCCAACTGTCTTTGTTTGTGTTTGTGTTGCTATAAAGGAATACCTGAGGCTGAGTAACTTTAAAGAAAAGTTTATTTGGCTCATGGTTCTGCAGGCTGGTGCCAGCATCTGCTTCTGGTGAGAGCCTCAGGATGCTTCCACTCATAGCAGAAGACAAAAGGGAGCTGGTGTTTAGAGGTCCCATGGCAAGAGAGGAAGTAGGCAAGATGGGAGGGAGGCGCCAGACTCTTTAACAAGCAGCTCTCGCAAGAACTAATAAAGTGACAGCTCACCCCCCATTCCAAGGAGTATTAATCTACTCATCAGGGATCTGACCCCCATCAGCCAAACACCTTCCATTAAGCCCCATCTCCAACATTGGGGATCAAATTTCAACATGAGATTTGGAGGGATCAAACATCCAAACTATAGAAGCCTGGCATAAAGAATTCTTACAAATCAGTAAGGAGAGGGGACCAACAAACTAACATTATCTGAAACTGTGACAGAAACCCCATCTTGTACAAGGATCAAAAGAAACTCTTTTTCAGCTATTTAAAAGAGGGGTAGTCCTATGTAGTAGTCATCAATGGCCACTAATATCCCAAAAAAGAAAGACAATCAGACATAATGTGCTTCCTGATAGAAGTACCTACTACCTAAGAATTATTCTTGCCATAAAACTCAAACCTGCCAGCCTGGGCAAGATGACGAGACCCCGTCTCTACAAAAAATACAAAAATTAGCAAGGTGTGGTGCACACGCCTGTAGTCCCAGCCGCTTGGGAGACTGAGGCAGGAGGATCGCTTGAGTCCAGTTCAAGTCTGCAGTTAGCCATAATCAAACCACTGCACTCCAGCCTGGGCAAAAGAATGAGACCCTATCTCAAAAAAAAAAAAAAAAAAAAAAAAAAAAAGGGAAAAAAAACCTCAAACCTGAATGTAGTCACGCCTCTAGATCTAACCACCCCTTACAGGAAGAGAGGAATATATTTAAAATCACCACAGCAGTGCTGTCATAAAATCCAGATTCTGGGAAACTTAACAGGACAAACAGTCTGGTTGTTTCAACAAATATATTACAAGGGGGCGGCAAAAGAAGCAGAGGGAAACCTACCAATTGAAAGATTTAAGAGACACATCACTGTTGCAAGATATGAAACTCATTTGAATCCTGGTTATTAAGAAATTATTAGGCTGGGTGCAGTGGCTCATGCCTGTAATCCCAGCACTTTGGGAGGCCAAGGCAAGCGGATCATTTGAGGCCAAGAGTTTGAGACCAGCCTAGCCAACTGGTGAAACCCCGCCTCTACTAAAAATACAAAAATTAGCCAGGCATGGTGGTACGCACCTATAGTCCCAGCTACTCAAGAGGCTGAGGTAGGAGAATCACTTGAACCCAGGAGGGCAGAGGTTGCAGCAAGCTGAGATCACGCCACTACACTTCCAGCCTGGGTGATAGAGTGAGACCCTGTCTCGAAAAAAAAAATTCTATGAAGTCTAAGCTGGACAAGTCCTAAAGAATTATTTGTTCTAAAATCTTCATTTTATAGAGCATAAAACAGACCCATAAAGGACTATTTGTCCAGCATCTTTAGGGGCAAGTCAGGCCTGGAACCCAGATGTCTTGACTCTTTGTAGCCTCTCTCTTTGTATGAGGAAGTTATTCTCTTAAGTAACAACCTTTTTTTCCTATATCCTTAATTAGGACATTCAACCAATTTTGTGGTAACCGTCCTGTTACCCTCCAAGCGGTCCAAAGACTACTGGATTGCCAAGGGATCAGCTTTGCTCTGCCAGCTGAGCGAATGAAAAGGTGCCACCTCAGCCCTGAAAAAGAACCAGGCCAGAGATCTTTCCTAATGGGAGCAAAAGGTTTGAATAATTTATATGTGAGCAAAACGGTGTTAATTCTGATTTGACTTAAACGTATTGTGACTTTTATTTCTCTTATGACCTTAAAATAAAGTGTTTGAGTTCTTTCTGTTGGCAATCCAAGCTCTGCTGTAGAAGCAGTGGGTTCAACAACCCACCTGTTAAGCCTGCTCCCCCACCCTAAGTGAGAGGCAGCTTCCCATCAGTTACTTTCTGGGACCCCCAGGAAGAGTAAGGACTCAGCACTCGCTTCCCCTCACAGGCTCCTTTCCTCTTCACCCTGATATGAAAGGCCCCAGGTGCTTCCATTTCTAGACAAGATGAAGGCTCTCAGAGTCCAGTGCATGGGAGGTTGATGCAGTGAGCACAACTGGTAGAGCAAATGAGCAGGATAAGAAGAAGTTGGCCTATGATGTCAGTTCCCTGTTCTGTGGGGCTTCATCACAATCCTTGGAAGAGCCTGTGCTTTCACAAAAGGGCAGGCCAATCCTGCCCAAGTACGGAGGATTTTCCCCTTCCACTTTAGGATGAATCTGTGTGAAAACTAACCAAGTCCCAGCCAGGTGCATTTGAGCCTCTGCCACCTCAAAAGCAGAGGTTGGTGGGTCAGTTCTCAAATGGAGCAGCCACTGTGACAAACCATCTTGTGTCAGTCCTGCCAATAATGGTCTGCCTGCTTCCTCGGCCATAATGTGACCCAAGAAACAAGGAAATCACCCAGCTAGGATTGAGCCCTTGGTAGGAGCCATACCACCCTCTTACAAAGAATTGGAGGAACAGAGTCAGCCACAGTGATCCTACCCTCCCAGTTTATCTCTGCCTCCCCACTTCATCCCCATACCTATCGAAGTTAAGAGCAGACTCAAGTCGCAGAGAAGCAGGGAACACCACTTTTACCAGAAATCAGTGCACAAATCAGAAACTACTCTTGGTGTTTCAAGCAGAAATAGGTACTAACATGGGCACAGGAATGGCTGCCACTGCAGAAGTCAAAGAGTTGATATCAGGCATCACAGCATCTGTACTCCAAGGTGGGAACCCTGAAGGAAAAATTATGCCAACCTCACAGCTACTTCACGCTGAAGCAGGGGAATAGAGGGGGCTGCAGAGACTGGCTACTGCACAAACTTGTGTCTGCTGAAGCCTGCACATAACCACGCCCCCTGCTCAAGAAAAATTCCCTCTGCCCACTTTTGTTTTCCAAATATCCCATGAGTGTATCTCATTAGGAGAATCGAACATAGCAGCGAGGGGATTTGGGAGTTTTTGCCCGCCTACGCCTGCAATACAGGTGGTGCAGAATGGAACCAAAGTGGTGGACATGGGTCCTGAGTGCCATCACACCGTTTTAGTAAGGCCACTGAGATCTTCTGGGCCCTAGAAATAACTGAACATGAACCCACAAAAGCCTCAGAAAAGGAAGGGAAGCCAGAGCTACAAACCCAGGCAATCAGCCTTACCCTAAGCCAGATTAGGGGACAAATACAACTACTTCTTATTGACCCCACCCAAGTCCTGGACAGACCTTCTACCCAGGGTTTTTATGGGCTATTCAGAGGCCCAGGACCATAAAGGACACTTGCCACAGGTGGGAGACCCTGATCTGGAACCATGGTGGTTAGGGGAGGGAGATCACCTGGGCAGGGTTAAAAGCTCCCATTTCAGATTCAACTGGGGAAGTTCTACTCTTACACATTTTATAGAGTCCCAATAAGATTTGTATTTAGAAAAGACATTGACAATAAACATGTAAATAATAAATAACAAAATGGGGATTGGGGGTAGTTTGAAAACCACTTTCTTGCACAGCACCTCTGACAAAGCCTACCCACGCCCCCCAACCCCCCCACCCAGCCTCCAGCATGTCAGTGAGACACACACATTATACAAAATAAAAGCATCTCTCAGGACACAGGGAGCACCCTATTCACCAGAGCTTGAATAGAGAGGTGCAGACCACAAGTTCCGTGGCCCACTGACTCCCCTGCATCCAGAACCAAGAGTGACACAAAGAAAGAGAGTGGAAAGAAGAAAGGGTCAGGATACAAAGCCAGGGCCTGAAGGGATCAGAGCTGCAGCTGAGAAGTGCAGGGCCTAGGGGGAGGCAGTGGAAGGATTCAGAGGGTGTGAGAGAAGAAGTTGTCTGCCTGATATATATATATATCATGAATAAAAATCTATACAAAAAAAGGTATTTATTTTCATACAACTCATTTATAATTTATTTTCACACAACTCACTATGTTACAAAACTGTACACCTGCCCCCAAAGTTGGATAACCCAAAGTCACATTCCTTGGAAAGAGAAGAATCAACACTGGGCCGCTTTTTCAAGAGCAGTCTCTTCTGGATTGGGCCCAACAAGGCTAGACCAGAATGTGGAGTACAGGAATGGCCATTCTTCAAGTCCGAGGGGTCAGGTTCTTAGCCTGGTGCTTCCAGTCGTTACAGGAGGGGTGTCTCTGTTTGGAAAGCCAGCACCAGCACCCAGAACACAGGAGTCCAGAGAGACAGGCAGGCACTGCTGGCCACCATCTGGCTGTGGTGGGAATGCCCACGGCGAGGGAGCCGCAGTTCAGTGGAGATGTGCCTGTCCAGGACAGGGACCTGGAGTTGCGGGACTATGTCACTAGGAGGCAAAGAGAAAGACAGAGTCTGAAGTCACAGCAGAAACCACTGCACACGCCAAGGCCCCCAAATGCCCACACAGCTTCTCTTCATCTCCCCTCCTTATAGACAGGAATGGGTATTAGTATATTAATAGGCTTCCTATATCTCTGGCCCTCTTTCATGTCTTTGGCCACTGCTACCAGAAAACCAAATGGCAGAGGATATTAAGACCAGCAGACTGGCTAACTGTCCCTGGCTATTTGGCTCTTTATTCAAAGATTAGTGAAAGTCTTCGTATAAGGCCGAATTCAAAGTTTGCTAACATTAGTCTCTGGGCAATCTTAGGCAGGGACCCTCCTCACTGGCCACCACAGAGGCAGAGCCAGACCATGCAGATTCCTCCCTGGGTCTCTGCCTCTCTCATCTGCCCAAGTCCAGGCCTGATGTGCACAGCATATAGGCATACCAGGTCAAGACAGTTCAAGCTGAGGGGCCCATGACCTCAGGCTTACCCAGATCTTTCAACTCAGCTGAGGTATAAAGTGCCCAACCCCGTAGTCACCAATGGCCTTGTTTGAAAAAGTACTAAACAGGTCAATTTATTCCTCTGTCAATGGAGGATGGTTCATGAGTCACCCTGGGACATGAACACCATCAGAAGCTGTCCCCATTCTCCAGGTCCCATCTGGCTGCCAGCTTCTGTCCATTTAAAATGCAGATCACACAGCATATCACATATCTGCTTCAAACCTTTCAATGGCTCCCTACTTCCCTCCGTGTTTACCTCTCTGGACACATCTCACCCCATTACTCCTTCACTTCCCAGGCTCCAGCCAGAATTACTTTATCTCAGCTTCTTTAACGCAATCGTTCCCTCCAACCAGGCTTTCACATTGTTCCCTCTGCCTTCAACTCTTCTCCTTCCCTATTCAGTTGTTCACTCACTCACTCATTCATTCTACATTTATTAAGCACCTGTGCAGGCCCTGAATCCCTGCGTCTACTGATCCAGACTCAGAAGCTCTATTCACAAGGTTCCACTTTGGCTTCTACTCAGTATAAGCCAAAAGGATGCTTCCTCAAGGGAAGACTTTCCTGACCTCTGACCCTAAGTAGTAACCTCCAACACACACACACATATGCATGCACCACAAACACACACACCCACAGCAGCTTACACTTCCACTGCAGATTATCTATTCAAAAATCCATCTTCTTCACCAGACTGCAAGTTCCATGAAGGCAGGGCCCGTGTCTGGTTGGCCCCACACACATAGCATCCGACACAACAGCAGGCACAAAGGAGGGACTCAATAAGGCTGAGATTAATTTAACTGGATTCCTGCTCCCAGCCTCTCTGGGGTAGTTCTTCCAGAAGCCTTGTGCCCTGCAGACTCAGGCTCGCCTATCCACCTCTGGTCTACTCCCCAGCCATCTCTGAGACTACATTTGGTGTAGGGTCACGACCCTTCCCTTACAATGTGGGGGTTAAACATGCCCATTCCTACCGAGCTGCTTCCAGCTCTGCAAGTCTATGACATTCTCCCTAAGTCTGCCATGGAGAAAGATATGAAATATCTAGTTCTTTGCAACCTTTCCAGATGCCTTCCACTTTTAACAGACTCATCCTACCCCGAAACTTGTTCTTTAACAAGCATAAACATGTTGCCCTTGCCCTGGCTTGAAGCAACTATCTTAAATCTGGATTCGCTTCTGTCACAGTGGACAGAAAAAGGGTGCCTGGGGTCATGAGGAAAGGGAAAGGTTGCTCCATGAGGGGGGCTCCCATTGCAACCAGTGTGAGGGGCATTCCTGGGTCCGCTCACTAGGGTAAAGGTGGATGCCAACCCGACCCAGCCTACTCGCCTGACCTCTCCTCCAGGCGGACCCACAGATCGCTGAATTGCCGGAGTCGCGGCCTCCGCTGTGACCGCCTCCGCTTCTTCCGGAACCTCTGTTCGGCCTCACTGGGCGTGTCGGCACTTCCAGGCCGGGACACAAGGGGAGGCAGCGTTGAGTGCCCTGAGGATACGGCTTCTGGTGCCGGTACTTCCAGGGTAGGGACTTTTGGAGCAAAGATGGTGGACAGAGTGGGCCGTGTGGAGGTCTTTTTACTCTTCCCTCTGTACGCAAGTGGAAGGAGAAGGTATTTGGAGGAGGGTCACACAGCATGGCGCCCTCCCCAGCTCTCTTACACCTCAGGGTTTCAAGACAAAGGCAGATAACCTGAAAGTTCAAGCTGGCCAGGAAGGGCAGAAATTACCCAGTTCTTGAAATTACCTTGGGAATTTATCTCTTTGACGCCTTTTTTTTCCCCTCAGATATCCTCACCCTACCTTCTCCAAATCCCCTAGTCCTGGGGAGAAAGATCCAAGATTTTTAAACTATTACATGTACAGTAATTACTGTAGTTTTCCAACAATGAACAGGTCAGCACTGTCTAGAAAGACACTGACAATTATAGCTTTTTTTTTTTTTTTTTTTTTTGAGATCGGGTTTCCCTCAGTAGCTCAGGCTGGAGTGCAGTGGCCCAATCATAGCTCACTGTAGCCTCAAACTCCTGGGCTCAAGTGATTCTCCCACCTCAGCCTCCCAAATACAAGCAAATGTCACGAATCTGACTAGTGAACAGTAAAGCTTTTAAAGACAGATGGAAAATGTTTAAATGCCATTTGCTTAAAACCACTGAAGTAGCTCTTAACCCTCTTAACACTTTCTGAACCCTCATGAGGGCTTTATTCAGGAAGAGGCTCTCAGGGCTGTCTTCTAACCACTTAATTGCAGATTTGTTCTTAAATCATCTTTCCCAAAGAGAGATTTTCACAACTAATGGGAAACTCAGACTGACTTCTAGTTTTCCCCTAAAGGTGACTATAGTCACCAAATACTTCTTTGAGTGAAGAAATAAGCTACTATAAGGACCAAGTTTCTTCCAACAACAGAACTTTTGTCAAGGGTTTGGTGAAGGGGATGGGGGAGCAGAAAGAGAAGAATTCTACTAGATGTCAATCCCATTGGTCTCCTGATGTAGGTAGGTAGTGAGAGTCCTGAAACTCACATCTGCCTGAGGAAGGGGAGCAGTGGATGCGCCATGTCTAGGGCTTTCCTCGTCCAATGATGTAGGTGCCACTGACCAGCACATGTAAGAACTCAATTACTTAGCCTTGAGGAACCATCTACCTTACCAGAGTGGGTCCCAGTTCTGAGCCACGACATGGCAGAACCTGAGAAGTCAGTTAGTATTAATGGCCGTGTGTGAGGAAGGGAGGAGGTATACAAGAAGGAAAGCAAAAAAGGGAAAGACTTATATTGGGCAAAAAAGTTAAAAGAAGGGAATTCCTAAAATGGCAAAGGATTAAAAAATGCCCCTACTCTGAACCTGAGACTAAGGACCCCAGAAACATAAATTCATAGCTAGAAGGTTCCTGGAGGACAGGGCTTAATATATTATTACTGTCTCCTGAGCTCAGCGCAATGCCTGGTACATAACTGTGAAGCCACTTAAATGAACCCTTTCATTGTTACAACAAAGAAACTAGAGCCCAGAAAGGGAATGTGCCCCCATCATGGCTCTCTAGGATTCAGGTGGCCTCCTAGGGCAGGGGTCCCCAGCCCCCAAGCCATGGACTAGCACTAGTCTGTGGCCTGTTAGGAACTGGGCCACACAGCAGGATGTGAGTGGCAGGCAAGCAACCATATTACCACCTGAGCTCCACATCCTCTCAGATTAGCAGGGACATCAGATTCTCATAGGATCGCAAACCCTGTTGTGAATTGTGTGTGCCAGGGATCTCGGTTGCACACTCCTTATGAGAATCTAACTAATACCTGATGATATGAGGTGGAACAGTTTCATCCCAAAACCATCCCCCCCTCCCCGATCCATGGAAAAATTTTCTTCTACAAAATTAGTCCCTGGTGCCAAAAACGTTGAGGGCCACTGTCTTAGAGGGTTCAAGAGCAGATGATCAGGTAGCTCCATGCCCATCAAGCCCTCTGCCCATGGCCGAAACTATGTCTTGGCCTCCATATGACCCAAACAGGTCCTGGTACATGGTAGGCACTCAAGAAAAGTCTGTTGCTTTGATTTAGTGAGGAACATGGTCTCTAACTCACTAGGGCTGTGTTCTATGGTTTGAAACAGTGGATCCTCACAGTGAGACAAATCATAGCTTTGTTTCTGTTCAACTCACAACAAACAAAGACCTCACCCCAGAAACTCCAGGTAGCCAAGGCCAGGGCTTAAGAGCCAAGTTAATAGCCCTGGGTGGGGGTTGGAGAGTAGGGATCAGGAAGGAATTAGCTTTACTCTTCCTGGTTTTTATCTCCCTTATATTTGTGAGTTAAGGAGTCCTGAGGAATCATAACACCTACTTTACAATTAAGGAAACTGAAGACCAGGGGGAGGAAACTGACCTGCACAAGGTTCCAAGAAGGATTCTATGCCATCTTTTGTTTTGTTTTGTTTTGAGATGGAGTCTTGCTCTGTCCCCCAGGATGGAGTGCAGTGGCACAATCTTGGCTCACTGCAACCTCCGCCTCCCAGGTTTAAGAAATTCTCTGCCTCAGCCTCCCAAATAGCTGGGATTACAGGCACATGCCACCACGCCCAGCTAGTTTTTTTGTATTTTTAGTAGAGACGAGGTTTCACCATCTTGGCCAGGCTGGTCTTGAGCTCCTGACCCCATGATCCACCCACCTTGGCCTCCCAAAGTGCTGGGATTATAGGCGTGAGCCACCGTGCCTGGCCAATTCTTTGCCATTTTTAAGTAACATTCATTGTTGAGATTTTTTTCAGGTCATAAAGCTAATCCATTCTCATTGTAGAAAATATAGAGAGTATAAATTAGTGTCACTGTAATCTCCAGGGAGATCCTACAGACAAATGCTCACATGGGCTCAGACAGGGGTTTAAGGGTCCCTAGGTCAATAGAGGTGGCTGCTCTTCTGTCTCAAA
The DNA here is from genome assembly GCF_000001405.40 of Homo sapiens. Taxonomy (NCBI): domain Eukaryota; kingdom Metazoa; phylum Chordata; class Mammalia; order Primates; family Hominidae; genus Homo; species Homo sapiens. The sequence continues at coordinate 84,827,039 of NC_000002.12, forward strand.
TAGAAAATCCCAGCTGCTGAACACACCCAATCCATCATAGAGCCTCTGGGCTGGATCCCATCACAGGCTCAAGATCTAGATTACCATGTTTTGACCCACCTGGATTCTCACAGTTTAGCTAAACTTCTACCCACAAAAGCTAAGCCCATGGTCATTTTGGCTACAATATAGGGCTACCCCCTTGTGCTGATAGCTTATTTGCCCCCTACCTGCATTTCACGCAGCCTCCTCACTTCATGGAAGTCTCCAAGAAAGAAACACACTGGTTGACAAGGAAAAGACCCCAGGCTTGGAGCCTTAGACAAGATAATTGACCTTTCTGAGCCTCTGCCCCTTGCATAAAATTAACCTATCCTACCTCATTGCTGTGAGGATTAAAACAGCCCAAGCACCATGTTTCACACAGTGCTGAGCACACAGTAGATCCTTACTTCAAGTGCATCCCCCTTTCTCCCAGTCTTCTGAGAATGAATGAAGCTGTATAAACCCTAGCAGGGCTGACCAGAACCTTAGAGCACCCCGCTGTGTAACCAAATGGACATCTGCCAGATCCCCAAAGATGTCCATGACCTAGCCCCTGGAAGCTGTGAACACATTACCTTACACGGTAAAAGGAACTTTGCAGGTGTATTAAGTTAAGGACCTTAAGTTGAGGAGAGTAGCCCAGGTTATCCAGGGGTGCCCAATCCAATCACACGGGCCCTTAAAAGCAGAGAACCCGTCTGTGGTCAGAGGGGGATATGACTATGGAAGAATGGTTATAGAGATGCAATATTGCTGGCTTTGAAGATGGAAGGCTCCACAAGTCAAGGAATGTGGGCAGCCTCTAGAAGCTGGGAAGAAAACAAATTATCTAGACCCTCCAGAAGGGAATGCAGCCCTGCCCACACCTTAGTTTCAGCCAGTGAGACCTGTGTCAGACTTCTGATCTCCAGAACTATACAATAATGAATCTGTGTTGTTCTAAGCTATTGAGTTTGTGATAATTTGTTATAGCAGCAATAGAAAACTAACATAGTATCCATTACCCCAGGGGGAGAAGGGAGGAACTGGCTAAGCCCTCTGCAGATTAGCCCAACAGGAACCCCATCTCTTTCTCTTCTCTGTTCTAAGAACAGCAACCTCACCTTCAGGAGCATTTCCTGTGTTTTCCAGCCTGCTGACAGGTGGAGAGTGGCAGCTGCTAGTTGCCCTCCCCACACACCAACATGCACACCCATCTCTGTCTCCCCAATACTGGCCTACCCCAAGACTAAGGGAGCTGGCAGGGCCTTAAGTAAGCTAAATCACCACTTAACAGCCCTCATGTCCCCAGCCACACCAGCCTGCCCTGGATTCAAGTTCCACATGACCAGAATCATCCCTTAAGGACTACCAGATGGCTGCCGAGGAGGGGAAGAAGGAAACAGGTATCCCTCCACTGCCCTGGTCCTCCTTGCCAGCCCCTCTTTGTGGGCATTCTCCCCAACCCACTTCCCTGGGCCCTTAGCCTCCCGGGACCCTGTCCCTTCTTCCTGAACAGGAGCTCCTTTGGAGACCTCATCCTCCCTCATGGCTTCACCTGGGACCACTGTATGCACGTTCACCCCTAAAACCTCTCAGGTCCCCCACTGGCTGAATAAATGAATGCATGTGAGCAGTACCAGCAATGATATTAACACATAATCAATCCTATTTGAGATCCCATCATGTGCCAGATGCCAGGATAGGTACTCCTGGAAATCCAATTTTGAAAATTAGATCCTTGTCCGGAAGGCTCTAGAAGAAAGAGAGAGCTCTTGCACAAACCATAGGTTCCTTGGGGTCATGCACAGGATGAACCCAGGCTGGAGCAATGGAGGAAGATGTGGCAATTGTGCTGGATCTCACAGATTCTGATAGAGAGAACTGGGGGTAGTGTGGGTAGGGAAAGGATCTCTGGCAGAGGAAACTGCACGAACAAAGACAGAGGCTAGGAAGTAAAAGGTGGGAGAAGAAAGGGTAGAAAGAAAAGGTTTGGGAGGTGGAGGGGTCTGTGCTATTTCCTGGTCCTGGTTAATAGTGTGGCCTTTCACAGTTTCTTCGTTAGTAAATGAGAAGGAACACTTCCCTTGCGGGCTGGTTTTGAGAATTAACAGAGAGCCCATATAAACCTGGCTACCACCTGATGATCCACCAATAAATGCTCTTTTTCTCCCCGGGGAAGTGAGAACACTTGTTCTCAGCCTTCACTGGGCATCGGAATCTCCTAGAGAGCTTCTAAAAAGACGGATTCCTGACCTTCCTTTCCCCAAGGGCAGGTGTCAGGGTTAGAGGCAGAATTAGGGAGCCTGGGAACAACCAGCAACACACACACACACACACACACACACACACACACACCACACACACCACACATACCACACACACTACACACACACAAAACACACGTACCACACACACCACACATACCACAATGCACACCCCACACATACACAACTCACACATCAGACATGCACCACACATACCCCACACACATACACAATACACACACCACACATACCATACACACCACACGTACCACACTGTACACACACAACACACGTACCACACACACCACAACACAACGCAAACCCCACACGTACACAACACACACATCAGACATGCAGCACACATACCCCACACACATACACACAACACACACACCAAACATGCACCACACACATGCACAGTACCCACACATGCACACACCAGCCATGTTCCACACACATCCACACTACACCACACACACCCCACATACCACACACACCCCTCACACACAGGTACCAAACAACACACATACCAGACATGCACCACACACACACCATACACATGCACACTACACACACACACATACACCCCACACATATTCCACACTAGATACACACCACACAAACCCTACACACAAACATCACACACAACACACCCCTCACACACACCACACACCAGACACACACAAACACAAACATTACATACTCCACACACATTACACCACACACACGTACACACTCCCCAGGTAGGGCCCTCTCCAGCACCCTAAGGACAGTGCGTTGAACCCCAGGCCAGTCAGCCCAGCGGGAAGAGCTGAGAAGGGACCAGAGGCCAGTGAGGGAGGAAAGACCCACAGTCCTGCAGGGCGCAGAGAACCCCTAAGGGCTGGCTCCTCCAGACCTGCAGGAGAACAGGAAGGAGAGAGGCAGGAGACGTGAGCCTGCAACAGAGCTGACTCAGGCAGGGGCGGGATCCTCCCGGTCAAGGGGAGGAGAGGAGGGCTCCTCAGAAGGGGGAAGTAGCGTCAGTAAAGGAGAGGCGGGGACGGGATGGAGGCTCTTCTGAAGCAAGCAGCAGATCCATGCTGGAAGGGTAGGGTCTGAGTGCCAAGACCTCCGCGTGAAGACAATGACCTTGAAAAAGAACAACATGAAACCACGGAGGGTTTGAATATAGGACACTGGAAAGAATAGTCCCACAGAAGGGCGAAGAGTGAACCAGAGGGAGAAGGGCCTGGAAGGGGGCGGTGGCCATGGAAATGGAGAAGGACAAATCCCAGCGAGTCTTTAGTGGAGGAAGCCAAAAGCCTGGTGGAGAAGGAAAATGAGCAGTCTCACATCAGCGCTTCTGTAAACTAGAAAGTGCTCTGTGAAGGGCGGTCAGTATTGACATACTGAATACAGGGCATGAAGACAGGTGGGGATGAGAGAAGTCCAGGATGTATCCAGGATTTCCCGCCTGAAGGGAGACTGGCAGGAGCCTCTGGGGTGAGGGGGAACAGGGAGACAAGGTGCAGTGAAGGGGGGCCTTCTGAGGAGAAAGAGGGCAGCTGGAGATGGGCGGCCTTCGGGCAGACACAACTGCTGGATCCTCTGCCAGGGGATGGGCATTTGCATCCTGGAACTCTCTCGCTACAGCTGAGACCTCTGCCAGGAGAGGGGGCTGCTGACCACAGATCGGGAGGCAGTGGGGGCCAGAGGAATGGAGGGGATATTAGGGGCTGATGTGTGCCCCCCACATTCACATGTTGAAGCCCCATCCCCAGTACCTCAGAATGTGACCATTTGGAGTTAGGGCCTTTAAAGAGGTGATTCAGTTCACATGAGGGCCCTAGTCCAATAGGACTAGTGTCCTTAGTAGAAGAGAGGCCAGGGATGCTCGCTTACAGAAAAAAAAAATGCCATGTGCCGGCAGGAAGAGAAGGCGGCCATCTACAAGCCAAACAAAGAGGTCCCAAGAGAAACCAGTCCCGTTGACACCTTGATCTGGGACTTTCAGCCTCCAGAACTGTGAGAAATGCATTTCTGTTGATTAAATCACTCAGTCTGTGGTTGTTGTTATGACAGCCCAAACAGACTACTACAGGGGAAGGGGAAGGACACCTGGGGCCCACCAGGATGGACGACCAGTTGGGAGGCCAGTGGGTGGACAGCATTGCTGAGGGCTGGGGGCTGGGCCTCCTGAGTTCTTTACAGAAAGGTCTGAAAGGGCAGAGGGCAGTTTGGCCAAAAAAAAAAAAGAGAGAGAAATAAACCTAGGGAGGAGGAAACAGCTCAGAGAAAAGGTGCTTTCTCCTGCCCCTGAGAAGGGTGAGACATGCACTCCCTGCACCCCTAACCCCTCTGGCCTGTTTACCACTGTCATGGCCCGATTTTGCCTCCCGAAAACTTCCAAAACACCTAGGGCAAAGGACACTGGGCATTAAGCCTAATTACTCCTCCTTTCCCCTACCCCTCAACCCCTGGGCAACCTTCCCTTCACCTTCCCCCGCTTGCCAAACACCACTGAGGAAAACGCCAGTGTGGCCCCTGCAGCCCAAAGTGTCCATCCTGCCAACCACGTCTGACACAGCCCCAGCCACACAGAGCCAGCTGAGCTGGTGCCAAATGTCCATGTAAGGTCAAGTGTGGGGGAAATGACGAGGCAGGGGTTCTCTGGAGCTCCTCAAGATAGCAGCCCACCCTGGTGCCCAGGCAGCCCCATGAGGGTCTCAGCTCCCCAGCCAAGATAGAAGCACAGGACGGTTACTTGTGGATGGGTCGTCCAGCAGGGGCGTGTTCTACCTCATAGCCTTCACGCCGCAAAACATCCAGCACTGTGTTGTTGCCCATGAAATGACCTGCAGTGAGAAAAACAACCTGAAATGCTGCAGCTCTCAGGACCACCAAACATACTCCCCAAACACACACCCTAGAACCAAGAAATTACCCTGCCAAGCCCCCTGCCTATCTGTCCAGCACAGTACAGTTCTAGAGAGCTTCTGGAATCAGGCCTGCCAACAGTCCTGCAAGGCAGGCAGGGCAGCATCAGTAGCATTTCAGAGACAATGACACTGAAGATCAGAACAATGCAGCAAGTTACCTGAAGTCACAAAGCTAAGGGGATAGCCTGGACATCAAACTGCAACCTGGTAAGACCTCCCAGAAGAGGTGATATGTGAGCAGGATCCTGAAAGGTGAGGACACTGGTCTGGAGAAAATACAAGAATTCAAGCTGAGCACAGTGGCTCACACCTGTAATCCCAGCACTTTGGGAGGCCGAGGCGGGTGGATCACCTGAAGTCAGGAGTTCAAGACCCACCTGGCCAACATGGTTAAACCCCATCTCTACTAAAAATACAAAAATTAGCCGGGCATGGTGGCAGGCACCTGTAATCCCAGCTACTTGAGAGGCTGAGGCAGGAGAATCACTTGAACCCGGGAGGCAGAGGTTGCAGTGAGCCGAGATCATGCCACTGCATTCCAGCCTGGGTGACAGAGCAAGACTCTGTCTCAATTAAAAAAAAAAGGAGGGGGGGGAATTCCCAACTACAGGATGGAATGCAATTGTGCTCTCTGAAAAAACAGGGAGGCTGGTGGGACGGAAGGAATGGCTACTTCCCAATCACCACTTTCTAGAAAAAGTAAAGGCAACCTAATCTAAGATCTGTCATTCTTGGAGGTTTCTGCATAGGACAAACCCACTGTAGTCTCAGGAGTCACAACCAGGGAACCCTGGGAGCCTGCGGCAGTACAGCAAATAGGCCCCGAGAAGGAAGCAGAAGGCCCATGGTTCCTGCTTTCATTTTCACCCTCATGCATCAAAGGGGGTGTTCATGGGTCAGCAGGGGCTCAGAAAGGGAAGTTTGGCAAAACCATTCCCTCCCATCCTCCCCTCTCCTCCCCACAGCCTAGACCAGCCTAGACAGCTGCCAGTGCAGGGGCGATAGCTGTAACCTAGAAATGTGGGGTAGGAGAGGAGGCCACTGGAGAAGTAACCCTGGCAAACAGGAGCCAAAAATCAGCATGAGCTGATTTAAGATCGACACCTAAATAAGAAAAAAAGTCATGTCTTTCACCACTGATCCTAGGTTATTCATTTGCAAATAAGGAACTGGCAATTTAGAACAAGTGATTATAGTTTCCACTTAGCACTTCTGACTTCAATTTTTCTTCTACTGCAAAGGTGATTTCCATTTCTAATCTTCGCATTTTATATCCAGATCCCCATGACAAAAGTCGCTGCTTGATTTTAAAACTCCAGTACTTTCCATTTTCAGTTATCCTCATTTTGCAATTAAAAGTTTGCTAACCACACAGCTTTTAAGTTTTAAAAGCACACGGTAATGTGTTTCGGAGCAATTTCTGTAGTTTCCTCTGTTCAACTTAGCCTTCAGAAGGCACAGAGAGAAAGCAGCTACAGGAATATAACTTTGCCTTAGAAGGAGCCAGTGCTAGATGGGGGCTCACAGCCCCTGGGCACTTCGGGCATCAGGAGTGCCCAGGGGCTGTCAGCCCCAATCTAGCCCTGCATCAGTATGACAAATCAAGCCCTGAGTACTGGGCAAGCTCAGGTGTTGGTGTTGCCTGTTCCACCTGCCTGGCAGAACCCCCACCACGAGGGCCCACCCACCGAACTGCTCAGACCAAGCTGTGCCCCAGCCTCCCACCAGCCCAGAACCCAGTCGACCTTTCCCCTCTCCCCAGCGCCCCATTACCCCTGCCACGGGACATACGGGAAGTTTTTGGGAGCTCACCTAAGTCTGGCAGGGGTGGAAAGCAGAAGCCCACACTCCAGCACCTGGGCACCTTCCATCCACACAGACCCGGGGTGGTGCATTGGGACACCACCACTGGCTCTGTTTCCTAACTTTCTCATCTGGGGTCTGCACCACTGTTACGGTGCCTCAAGAGTGAGGCCCAGGCTAACAGCTTTGTTCCAAGAAGCCATTTGTTGAGACAGTACAAATGTGCACACGGTGCCCAATCCAGACATGAAACACAGGACTTACAGAAGAAGAAAACTACCACATACTCACGGGCATTGCTGAGGGCACAAACTGCAGTTTGTTTGTGGCAGAACTTTTCAATGAGCATAATGTGGGAGCCAAACCCCTTATATTTCTATAACAGTTTTATTAATATTTGAATATAATTCACATAACATAAAATTCATCCTTTTAACGTATGCCAGTCGGTGATTTTTTCTGTATATTCAGAAAATCATGCAATCATGACCACTATCTAATTTTAAAACATTTTCATCGTTTTGACCCCAGCCCCTGGCAACCACTAATCTATGAATACTTTCTGTCTCTATAGATTTGCCTGTTCTGGACATTTCATATAAATATAATCATATGATTTTGTGACTGGCTGTTTTCACTTAGCATAATGTTTTCAAAGTTCATCCATGTAGTACCATATATCAGTACCTCTTTCCTTTTTATGGCCAAATAGTATTCCATTTGTGTGTATATATCACCTTTTATTTATCCATGTCAGTTGATGGATAGTTGGATTGGTTCCACTTTTTGGCTATTATAAATAATGCTGCCATGAACATCTGTGTACAAATTTTCGTGTGGACATATGTTTTCAATTCTCCTAGGCATATATCTGGAAGTTGAAATGCTGAATCAAATGGTAGCCCCATGTTTAATTTTTAAAAACTGCTAAACAGTTTTCCAAAATGGCTACACCATTTTAAATTCCCAGTAGCAATGTATGAGGGTGCCAATTTCTCCATGTCTTCACCAAAACTTTTTACTCTCCATCTTTTTTATTATAGCCTAGTGAGTATGAAATGGTATCTTCACTTTAGCACCACAACAATAGGACTCCAGTAAAATAACAGTGGATTATATGTGAAAGTGCAGCAAGACTCAGACTCTATTTAAGAAGGTTCTTAAGAAAGCACAAGACAAAAAATACTAGAGGAAAAACTAGAGGTCACTAGAGGAAACTGAAGCCTCTGGGACCTAGAGTTACAGCAAACATGCCTTAGTCTGTGTTGCTGTTACAAAATACCACAGACTGGGTCATTTATAAGCAATAGAAATTTATTTCTCACAGTTCTAGAGGCTGGGAAGTCCAAAATCTAGGCATAGGCATTCAGTGCCCAGTGAGAGCCTTTTTTTTTTTTAATACAGAGAGTCTTACTCTGTCACACAGGCTGGAGTGCAGTGGCATGTTCACAGCTCACTTCAGCCTCGACCTCCAGGGCTCAAGTGATCCTCCCACCTCAGCTTCCCAAGTAGCTGGGACTACAGGCACACATCACTATGCCTAGCTAAATTTTTATTTAATTTTTGTAGAGATGAGGTCTCACTGTGTTGACCAGGCTGGTCTCAAACTCCTGAGCTCAAGTGATCCTCCTGCCATGGCCTCCCAAGGTGCTGGGATTACAGGCATGCACCACCATGTCCAGCTGAGGGCCTTCTTCCTGAGTCTTTACATGGCAGGAGGGGCTAATGCTATATCTTCACATGGTGGAAGGCACAAGGGCAAAAAAATAGCCTACACTACTTTCCTCCAGTCCTTTTAAAAAGCATGAATCCACTCATGAATGTGGAGCCTTCATGTCTTAATCACTTCCCAAAGGCCCCACCTCTTAATACCATGACAATAATAATTAAGTTTCAACACACAAGTTTTAAGGAACATTCAGACCACAGCAAAACATTAAACAGCCCAACTCTGAGAAAGATTAACATAAACCCTCACACTAAAAACATATTTCCCTCACTTCCCATTGCCAAATACATCATATCCAGCTTTCAATTAAAAATTACAAGTCACACTGGGAGGCAAGAAAAATCACAATCTGAAGAAACAATGAAAGCATCAGACCCAGACTCAGACATGATAGAGATTCTGGAATTATCAGATAGGGAATATAGTTGAACTGAAGAGCATCATCAATCAAATTGATCTAATTGACATTTAAAGAATACTTCATCCAACAACAGCAGAATACAAATTCTATTCAGCTCACATGCAACAGATTTCTCCTTCGTTTTTGATTTTTGCTGGATGTGGAAATGTTTGTTGACAGTCTTTTATTTCAGCATTTTGAGTATGTCTCCCATAGCCTTCTGGCTTGCATGGCTTCTGATGAGAAATCTGCTGTTAATCCTATTGGGGATCCCTTGTCTGCTTTGCTCTCACTGCTTTCAAGATTCTGTGTCTTTGGCTTTTGACAGTTTGGCTATGACACGCCTTGGTGTGAAACTTTTTGATTTTATACAACTTATAGTTCATGGGTTGAATGTGCAGAGTAATATTTTTCATCAAATTTGAGACATTTTCAAGCAATTTTAAATTCAAATATTCTTTTTATTTCTTTCTTTTTTTCTCTCCTGTCTTCTGGGACTCCCGTTAGGTATACATTGGCACACTTGAGGGTGTCTCACAGGTATCTGAAGATCTATTCATTTTTCTTCATTCCTTTTCCTTTCTCTTTCTCATACTGAATCATCTCAATCAACCTATCTTCATGTATGTTGATTCTTCTTCTGCCAGTTCAAATCTACTGTTCAGCCCCCGTAGTGAATTTTTCATTTCAGTTCCTACACTTTAAATTCCAGAATTCCTATTTGGTTCTTTTAAAATAATTTTTATATTTTTATTGATATTCTGTATTGGTGAGATATTGTTCTCAAACTTTCCTTTAATTCTTTAGATATGGTTAATTTTAGGGTTTTTTTTTTTTTTTTTTTTTTTGGAGATGGAGTTTCACTCTTGTGGCCCAGGCTGGAGTACAGTGGTGTGATCTCAGCTTACTGCAACCTCTTCCTCCCAGTTTCAAGCAGTTCTCCTGCTTCAGCCTCCCAAGTAGCTGGGATTACAGGTGTGCGCCACAACGCCTGGCTAATTTTTGTATTATTAGTAGAGATAGGGTTTTGCCATATTGGTCAGGCTGGTCTCAAACTCCTGACCTCAGGTGACCCACCTGCTTCAGCCTCCCAAAGTGCTGGGATTATAGGCGTGAGCCTCCGCACCTGGCCTCTTTTAGTTTTTTGAACATATTTATAATAACTAGTGTTAAAGTCATTTTCTAGTAAGTCCAAGATATTAACTTCCTCAAGGACAGCTTCTATTGGTTGCTTGTTTTTCCCTGGGTATGGGCCATACTTTCTAGTTTTGCTCTGTGTCTTATAATTGTTTTTATTGAAAACTAGACATTTAAATAATATACCAACTCTGGAACTCATCTCCTCTCCCTTAGTCCCAGGTGCATTGTTGTTGCTGTTTGTGTAGTGATTTTCTAGGACTAAGTCTGTAAAGTCTGTATTCTTTGTTGTGTGTGATCACTGAAGGATCTGCTCAGTTAGTTTAGTGGCTGGCTAATGACTGAACAGAGATTTCCTTAAATTCCTTGCAAGTTTCCCAACCTTTGCAGAGGGGCTGTGTGAGTTTGGGGGCATGTATTTGATGCTTCAACAGGCAATTTATGACTTTGCCTTAGCTTTCACACTCTGCTTACACAGAGCCTCAAGATCAGCCAGAGGTGAGAGATTAGGACCTTCTCAGGTCTTTCCTGGGCATGTGCACAGCTCTTCTCATGCATGTGACTCTCTAGGAATATTTTAGAGCTTTTCTATACCCCCTATGGGATTTTGCTTTTAAGTTTTTTGGGCAGCCCCTTGTAAGCTTCAATTAATATTGCTATTTCCAGCAACTATGATGTTAAACAGCTGCTACTGATTGTTTTCAACACACACCCTAAGAATAGGGCTATTCACACAGAGCAAGCTCTGAGTCAGGTCAAATGAAGACAAGCTTGGGAATGGAAATTTCAGGGAACTATTGGACATGTCAAATAGTGATGATTCTTTAAGGATGGAGCTTTGGAGGAACTTTGAACCCATTCTGTCCCCTCCAGTAACCATTAGGCAAACAGTTTTCACAGCTACTGTAGTTCAAGGCTCCTGATTTTCAAGGCTACTGTGAAGCTGGGAAAAGGGAGATAAAAACAGAACAAGTTAAAATGCCACAAAGCCCACTGCTTCTATCAAAATTCATCCAGTTTTCTTAAATAAACACTTCTAGGATTGTTGCAAGCCTTTAATTAATTTCCAGAGCTGTGGAAAAGTTGATTTTGACCATTTTTTCCAGTGTTCTTATTGCTGCTATGGAAGAACAGGTTTTTGGAGGCCCTCACTCCACCATTTCAGAATTGCTTCTCTCCAACCCCCTATCTTACTGGTAAAGAAACTGAGTGACATGACTTGTTTAAGTTTATGAAGTTAGCAGAAAAATATGAAACAAAGCCCAGCCCAGCAAATGATCTTTCTGCATACTGTCCAGCCTCTGGCATTTCTATCCTCATTTCCTGAGGCTGCAAAGAATTCTGTGTCAGAGTCACTCCGGGGGAGAGAATTTATTTCAAGAAGCCCACAAAAGAAAATAATTGTCCTATTCTGTCTCCATGTGTGCTGCTAACAGTCAATAACAGCTGATGTATCAGCCCCAGGCCTTGGACTTGGGAGGCTCATTGTCAGGTAGAAGAGTAAAGACAAACATATTTGTAGTGAAAGTTTACAAAGTGAAAAGTACCAGAAAGAAGTTGGGATTAAGTATGAAATTCAGAGGACAAAAATGTTTTCCCAGCTGGCTTATGTGTGGAGAGAGCTATGGGTGATGTCACATGCACCAGCTCATCCAGCAACATTTCAACCATGCTGGATGCTCCATCCCCAGCTGGAGCCACTCTGCAACTGAAATAAGTCAAGGAAGGTGTCACTCCCTTCATCTCGCTTCATGACTAACACAGGCCCTAAGCAGGGGCTCACCTCAACATTCCCTTCTTGGGAGAAGCCTCAGATTTCAGAGGCTAATCAGAGGTGACCCACTACTCACCAGCTCCAAAGGCAAAGAAGAAGCCTTTGTCAGGGAACTCCTCCAAAAGGGCCTTCACCCGCTTCCCTATTCTCTCATTCCGCTTGTAGATCAGCTCCCGGCGTAAGTAGCTGTCAATCTCCTGAGCAGTGATGCGCTCCTGAGGTGGTAGCGTGGCATTAATAAAATTGGGAACCTCCACCAAAATAAAGAGAAAAAAAAATAAGGGGCAACAGAGTTATTAACAAAGTTACTTCATTGGAGCATCAAATCCCCCAACCTAGATGGTCAAGACGTTGTCAAGAGAAGAGTGACACCATTCTTGGAGTTTCCTGTCTGCTATGTTTCCCACTCTATCACATTCCCTGTAACCAAAGTGAAAAAAATATTAAGTGAAGTGCATTGAATGAACTCTTACACTATTTACAACTGCACTTCTGTTTTAGTTAAATGGCTCTGTCTGATGCCGTGTGTTTATAAAAAAAAAAAAAGGACACTGTCTTTGCACAGTACATCCATAGTTTTAACTTGTGTGATTCATACATGCTTTTCTTATAAAAATAGTCTTATATAGTTACATATTTTAGATTCTATTACCGAAAACATGAAATTTGTATAAACACTTAAATGTTTTATAAATCCTCTACTTTACATTTTCATTATTTCTCCACTTCCTATTTCTCTCTCTTGCTTTCCCCAATGTTCTTTGCCCTCCTGGCAAATATTTCACTGATTCTGGTATACATGTTAGCCAGTTTCAGTATTTTGGCTAATAACAGGATGAAAGTGCATCAAAATTGTGACAATCAGCGTGGTTCTTGCAGCCCAGGAGCTACAGGTAAGGCTGGCACTCTGTGTTTTCTCCCCACCCCCTCAGCTGTCTGGCTTCCCAAACCTCAGCCTCCCACTCCTCCCCCTGGGTGCATGCTCTCTCCTCCACCCAGGGACTTAACAATGTTACCCATTATCTTGGTCAGTATCTACCCTGCCTGCTGCTGCTGCTTCCAGTAGCCTCTCAAAAAGCTTTCCAAAGTCCTCAGACTCTGTGACAGCATTAACTTCCATCTTATGGATAACAGATCTCCTTTTGCGACGGCCTCGAAATGATATTCTTTCATTTTCAAATCGACAGCCTTCATCTTCTACTCTGTCATCTTTTTTTTTAATCATGTCATTTATGTAAGATCCCCTGCCCATTTCCCAAAATCTCTTCTCTTCAGCAGAGCCCCCCTCTCTACCAGCCTCTCTACAGAGGCAGCGTCAGATACACAGGGTGACCTCCCTCTGACATCCTGCTCCACCTTCTAAATTCCAAACATCACCCAAAGCCTGCACCACTCCCTGCTGGCCAGCCTGGCCCTCACTCACAGTGACAGCACATTCCCTGACCTCCTGTAGGGGCCCTGTGGGCAGAACAGATATGGGAAAGCCACAGGAGAAAAATGCATAAGACATCTGTATTATCTGCTCCATCAGCCTCACCATTTGCCCACGTAATGACCAAATCCTCCGCCCACATTAACTTTTTTCTGCTGCTTCAAATGTCAATTTCCCAATTGATCTTGACTTTTCTCCCCCCTTCCCTACCCTCAGCAAGAGTGCAGGTAAGATTTATCACCACCACCAACTCTATTTTTCCTTCTTTAATGTGTTTCTTGTTCTCCCTTTCCTCCTGCTTCACTTTGTCTCAATTTGACTTTTTTTTCCTCTAGATTTTTGGGGATGCTCCTTACATCTTTTGAGGCTTCTGTCATTAATGAAATGTCACCTTTCTGGGCTGATGCTGCACTCAGCCTGTACTGTCCTTCTCCCCATTGCTGCTATTCCTCCTTCAGCTCTCATGTTCACACATGTCTCCTTATGGTTGGGTCCCCAGATTTAACATAGACCTGTACAGCATCACCCACACCCACTAGCTCCTGTCTCCCCTCTCCAGTGTCTTCATGCATGTGGACACCAGTCCTGGGTGGGGGAAACAACACACTCCCCTACCTCAGAAGTTTAGCTGGTGTTTGCTATTTGCATGTAGTCCTAGAGAGGAGGCGAAGGCACCATGGCTTGTCCCATGGGAAGCCTGTTGATAAAAGCATAACAAAGATCCGTACCACTTCCCTCCTGGAAGGAGACCATGATCTTCTGAGGCTGAGCAGCTACTTCCTTCCACTCAATGGCCCACAGGTAAGGCCTGAGCTGGGCAAACACTCAATCCACCAGCTCAGCCACACTCATCCTGCAATACCACAGGATGCAATGATCCACGTCTGCAAATGCTAGCAGCCTTCCCAGCTCTGATGCCCTAAGCCTGTAAGCATTCTGTGAATACACAGCTATATCATGTTCACATGTTCCTAGAGGCCACTGAAGCTGCAGTCAAAGTTCTGCCCCATCATTTTGCAAAAGTATGACCTAAGTCAGCCAGGAGGCCATCAGACTCAGAACCCTTCCCTTCCTCAAGGCTGGTTCATGTGGCCTACTGTTAAATCCTTTGAAGCTTCATCCTTTGGCTGGAATACTGGAATTAACCCTCATCAATGCCCCTCTCTGTTCTTACAAGGTTTGTAAAGCTTTCATTCGCTGTAGTGCCTCATTCAATGACATCTAAATCTGCCCACTTTATTTCTAGAGCCCTCATGACCTCAATCCTTTGTACACAGGATGTACATGTTGCCAGGTAATGTTTTTATTCCTATAATTAAATGTGTGCTGAGCTTGGCAGGGGGAAAGGGTGCTCACCTGGGAGCTGTCATGGCTGAGGATGACGGAGCTGAGGTCCCCGCAGTTATAGTGTTTGATGAGATCCTCCGTCGTGTAGGGGATCTGAAGACTGCCTGCTCGCAGGCTTTCCTGCTGCAGGAGGGTCTGGTTCAAAGCAAAGATGACCTAAAAGAAAGGTCTCTTTTAAGTTCACTAACAAGGCAACTGTTTGCTGCCATCTTATTTCTTTTGTCCATGGCTGGAAATACCTTCACCTTTGTGCTCGTTATGTAAGGACGTGGATAGTGCTACTTAAAAAAGGGAACACAAATCCCTGGACAGCATCCAAAGAAAAGGAGAACAGTCCTTCCCAAATCAGCCCCAATCAGACACACCTAGGGAACTGCCTTATGGAGGACACAGACAACCTGGAACTCTTCCATGAGTGTGACCAAGAGGTGAGGGAACCCAAGAGCTGGCTTGTGAGGAATAGAAGCTAGGAGGTGGGGCAGCGAGAGGGCTGGGGACTCACAGACACACCTACCAGTGGGTCCCAATTATGTAAAGGACTGGGCAGAAACCAGTGCATTATCCACATCTTTTCTAACCATCAATGCAGCATTCCCAGCTAATGGCGTCATTAGATCCATGGGATATTAAGGGAAGTTAATGTGAAAAAATGGGAAATGAAGGCTAAAGAAAATTAAACACCAGCCTGGCCAACATGGTGAAACATGTCTCTACTAAAAATACAAAAATTAGCTGGGCATGGTGGCATGTGCCTCTAGTCCCAGCTACTTGGGAGGCTAAGGCTAGAGAATCGTTTGAACCCAGGAGACAGAGGTTGCAGTAAGCCAAGATTGTGCCATTGTACTCCAGGCTGGATGACAGTGAGACTCTGTCTCAAAAAAAAAAAAAAGAAAAGAAAAGAAAATTAAACAGGTTTTAATTTTACAGAACTTCTCAGAGTCTTTAATATACTAATGTGCGATGTGGGTCTCCTTGATGGGGAACAGAGTATGCCAGGTTTCCCAAACATATTTGAGGCATACATCACAAGAGAAAGCTTTGTTGAAACATATTTTGGGAAAATCCAGATTCAAGATCCTGATGCCAGGAACCCTATCTCTCCAGCTCTGACCCAGATCTCCAGTGTCCAGGAGAATTCATTTTACAAAGCAGGGAATTCTCCTGGGCACTGGAGAGCTGGGTCAGAGGTGGGGAGGTAGGGTTCCTGGTATCAGGTGGGTAGTGGGGCTGGCCACCCCCTACGAGGCTCCAGACAACACTTACAACCCGTGGAATTTTCTCTCTCACTTTCCCCAGGTACAGATGCAGCTCTATAGCCTCTGACAGCTCCCCTTTCTTGTGCTTCCCCAGTAATCAGCATACAGGATGCTGCCTTTGCTGGAATATCTCCTCACTCTTTGCTGCAATACAGACAGGCTTGGTCCATCTGTGTTGCAGCAAAGACTGACTATGAGGTCTTTAGCAAGATGTTTCAACTCTCCAGAGACAACGCATTAGAGGTCTTAAGTCAGCAAATGACCCTACCCAGCCCCAACCCCTTTCTCCTTTCACATGTTCTCCTCATTCTGAGTGGTGAGGAGACAAGGCTTCCTGGTTTGCCTCCCATGGGCCAAGGTGGCACAGGCCCACTGCGTACCCCTTGTCTCAGTCCATTTGTGCTGCTACAACAAAATGCCTGAGACTGGGTAATTTATGAGGAACAGAAATATATTTCTCACCATTCTGGAGGCTGGGAAGTCCGAGATCAAGGCACTGGCCTTTGGTCTGGTGAGGGCCTTCTTGCTGCATCCTCACATGGAAGAAGACAGAAGGGCAAGCTAACTGAATGGCTGCATGACACCTCTTTTATTAGGGCCTTAATCCCATAAAGGCCTTATAAAGAGGAGTCTTAATCCCAAAAAGGTCCTTATAAAGAGGAGCCTTCATGGCTTAATCACCTCCTAAAGGCCTCACCTTTTAATACCATCACACTAGCAACATCTGAATTTTGGAGGGGACACATTCAAACCACAGCATCCCTCCTTCCACATAGTTTACCTCCCTCAGTTACTCTAATATTTCCTGTGCCTGTGATGCAACCTTAACCAAAGGAGACAGATCTCTCTGTAAAACCCCTCCATCCTCTCTTCTCTCAATACCTCCTCCTTTTCTCTGGCAGAGGCACCTCCAGTCTCTCTGGAAGGCGTCTCCCCAAGGTTCTGCACAATAGCCTCTTCTGTCTTGGTACCCTCTAGACCATACTGTGTTCCCATCCTTCCCATCCCTCTATTGGTCACAAGCCAGAGCAGGTAACAAATCTGCTTGGTCATGCGGTGATTTGGTTTGGCTGTGTTCCCACCCAAATCTCATCTTGAATTGTAGCTCCTAGAATTCCCACGTGTTGTGAGAGGGACCCAGTGGGAGGTAATTGAATCATGGAGGTAGGTCTTTCCCATGCCGTTCTCGTGATAGTGAATAAGTCTCGTGGTTCTATAAAGGGGAGTTCCCCTGCACACGCTCTCTTGCCTTCCACCATGTAAGACACGCCTTTCCTCCTCCTTCACCTTCCGCCATGATTGTGAGGCCTCCCCAGGCAAGTGGAACTGTGAGTCCATTAAACCCCTTTCCTTTACAGATTACCCAGTCTTGGGTATGTCTTCATTAGCAGTGTGAGAACAGACTGGTACATGTGGGATCACAGCCTTGCCAGAAAAGCAGATACACCCGGGTGCTTGTCTGCAAACTGATCTAAATGAGACAACTCAGCCTTCCACAGGTATAAGCCCCTGCATTCTAAAGCCATACAATTAGGGCCTACCCACAACAACTGGGAATTGCCAACTGACTTCAGATCAGCTGGAGGAACAAACCTTCAAAGGTTTGGGAGGGAAGAGAGAGGGGCATTATGAAACACCTATCAGGTATGCCTGGCCCCAGGCCCAAGTCCCACATATTCTGTCTCCATCTAACTCATCCAAGCCAAATCCTCAGTCTGACTGGCTCACAAATACCTGCTGATGAGCTTTGCTATTCTCTTAAAGGCATTGAGCACAAGCCCAGGTTACCTGGTGCTTAAATACCTTCCTCAAAGAGTGTCCATTAATTTTGAAACATTTTTCTTTCTTAAGGTTTTCTTGGTATTTGGAGAAGATTGAGTTACCCATTGTAACAGACATGTCAGTCTGCAAACTGGGGCAGACTGTGTATGGGCCACATCACAGATTAAATAAGAACTTTAGGCCAGGCGCGGTGGCTCACACCTGTGATCCCAGCACTTTGGGAGGCCGATGCAGGTGGATCCCTTGAGGTCAGGAGTTCAAGACCAGCCTGGCCAACATGGTAAAACCCTGTCTCTACTAAAAATACAAAAATTAGCCAGGCATGGTGGCAGGTGCCTGTAATCCCAGCTACTTGGGAGGCTGAAGCACGAGAATCGCTTTTAACCTGGGAGGCAGAGGTTGCAGTGAGCTGAGATTGTGCCACTGCACTCCAGCCTGGGCAACAGAGCAAGATTCCTTCTCAAAAAATAAATAAATAAAATGACTACTGGAGAGTTTTGTGCATTATAATGATTTAAGATATCAGGTACTCCCCTACTGAGAATTACACACAATCCCTGGTGGAAGATGGACATTAGGACAGTGACCTGGCTAATGGTGTTCATCAGTGACAGGTTTCTGGCCCTGTGGTCCTCAAGGACCAGAAGGCCTGGGAACAGCAAAGTTGGGGGAGACAAGGGCGGGGGAAGAAGGGTAGCAAAATGCCAACTGTGATCCTGAGTTACTCTAGGATTCTGGAAACTGAGTGGTTGATAGACTGAACATCAAGAATGGAAGGGCATAAGGGATGATGAAGGGTATCATGAGAGTTCATTCTGTGTCAACTAATCAAGGACAGAATCAAGGCAAGTCACAGTACTAAATGATCCTAAATTTCAATCATTCATCCCTTCTATTCATTAATTCAGTCAATAAATAGTTATTATATGCCCACTGTTCCAAGCACTGAAGATACAGTCATGAACAAGACAAGATCCTTGCCTTTAATGGAGCTTTCATTTTACCTGAAAAAGGGGGCATTTTTCAAGAAAAATCTTGAAAAGATGGGTGGAAAGGAGGTCTAGTGTATCATAGAAGCTTCTGGGAGGAGAAGGAAAGGCAGAGGCCCAAAGTTAAACTCTCTGATTTCAGGCTTGCCAGGACAGCACATACACAAGCAAATCAAAACCCTTGATCATCCCAGGGTCATTGCTTTCTATTTTTCCTGGAGGGGAGGGAGGTCACCTTGTGTCACTGAGCACTATGGTGAGGAGACCATACTATAAACACTCTTCTTTTAAGGAAGTTTGAACAGTGGGCTGTGCATCAGAGTTAGTGCTGAATCTTTCTTTTGTTGCTAAAAACCACAGAAATGTACTTTTTAAATCTCTAGCATGATTTCCTGTAATCACCACACGCCTTTCCTTTCAGAGCTGCTGCAATGATCCAAATAACAACCCAGGGGAAGCATGGCTTTCATGTGTGCTTATTTATACCCCAACTACTTATGAAAGGCCTTAAGCTTCTCACAGATTAAAACCCAGCACAAGATAAGCCGTTGACCTAAAAGATCAAGAGATACAGTGCCTCGAGAGACCAGCTAAGTGATGAGGTAGAAGGGGCTGGATTTCCTTGGCTGAGAAGAGCAAGGATCCTGCCCCCACTGTGCTCACCAGCAGGTGCCAAACACCAAACACAGTGGTCGCTGTATGTCCAAAGAGACGCAGTCAATGAAAGTCAGAGGAAGGCTCCATGATGAGCCTCAAAGACAGCTTGGCCTGGGGTCATCAGACAAGGCAGCCCACCCCAAATCCCTCCTTCGCTGGCTTAGCTGAGATGTGGGGAAGTCTCTGGGGCACTGTTTATGTTAAGCAAGGCAAAGCCCTCACTGAAACAGACTCCTTGGAGAAAGACCCAAGACGGATTCCTGAAGAAACAGTCTCTGAGTGGGATCAAAGTGTCCTTACAGGGTTTCCTTGGAGCCAGAATACTCCCCTGATGACTCAAGGTGCCTGTTCGCACACTACCACCACAAACCAGGGAGGCAGGTCACTGCTATCCAGCTGTCCCACTCCAGATGGCAGCCCTTTATCACCTGCACTGCCCAGACCTAGTAGTCCATGCCTCAGGCTGCCCTGGAGGGAAGCTGGGCAGGGGCAGGGCCCTGCTGAAGGTGCCTCCCTTGGAGTGAACCTTTGGTCAGGCCATGGGTAGCCATCTGTGGAGCTAGAGGAGGTAACTCCCTCTCCAGTGAGGAGCCAAGTCCAGGGCAGGGCGGTGCTCCAAGGGAAATCTCCATGGGCACCACAGGAGCAATGCACAACCCTAAACTCACTCCCATTCAAATGACTGAGGCCCAGATATAGCATCCTCATAAACTACTATGGCATCTCTGAAGGACCCCTCTCTGATAGAACTAATGACTGTCAGTCATCCTTACATAATTTACTCTCCTTGCTGTGCTTGGAGAAGTCTGAACCAGTCTAACAAATTTGGGGTTTCAGGATGTGGCTTGTGGATAAGAGAATTGCTCAGAAACTCCCACCAGTTAAGTTGACCCCAGGGCGTCTTCCAGGAGGGCCATCCTGAATGGGGCATTGTCACTGATTAAGTCACCTCACATGAATCAGCTGAACACACCTGGGGTACAAGGACTGTTGTTCCTGGAGATCCAAAAAGGCCAGGTGCCATGAGCAGTATGCTCAGCCAGGAGCTGGGGACAGTGGCCAGGAGGGGAGAAAGGCAAAGGAGCAGGCACAAGGGTCCTGGATGGATCCACCCGGCCAGTGCTCACTGCCTCCCACTGTGCCTCCCTTTCTCCATTCAAATCCTTCCTTTACAGTTTCTGTTAACGTTTTTCATGTGTTGTGTTAGGCTCCTAGGGCTGCCATAACAAAATACCACAAATTGAGTAGCTTAAACAACAGAATTGTATTGCCTCACCATTCTGGATGCTAGAAGTGTGCA
This sequence comes from Homo sapiens, assembly GCF_000001405.40. Lineage (NCBI taxonomy): Eukaryota > Metazoa > Chordata > Mammalia > Primates > Hominidae > Homo > Homo sapiens. The sequence goes on from NC_000002.12 coordinate 84,847,836, forward strand.
ACCAAAGTGTTGACGAGGTCATGCTCCCTCTGAAGAAGTTGGGAAAGCATCTATTCCAGGCCTCTCTCCTAGCTTCTGGTGGTTCCTTGGCTTGTGGCTACATAATTCCGATCTACATAGTGTTCTTCCCACATGTGTATCTATCTCTGTGTCTTAATTTCCCTTTTTTATAAGAACAGTCATTTTTGAGTAGGGCCAACCCTAATGACCTCATCTTAACTTCCTCACCTGCAAAGACCCTGTTTCCAAACATAGTCACAATCTGAGATACTTGGGATTGGGACTACAATGTAAGAATTTGGGGATGAAGACATAATTCAACCCATAACACATGTCGATCTCAGCGTTCCTTTTTTTCTAACAGTATGCATATGGTAAAAATTTTAAACAGTGTAAAGAAATAGATTGCCTTCCAATTCCCGTTCCCCAATCAGCAACCACTGCTGTCAACACATTGTATCTCTTTCCATGGATGCTGTCTGCACATAAAAATGATAGATAGATAGATAGATAGATAGATAGATAGATAGATAGATAGATAGACAGACAGACAGACAGACAGACAGACAGACAGACAGATAGATAGTCTCCACTTTCGTTTTGCTGCTTTGGCCAATAAAACTCAAACAAAGGCTTTAGTCAATAAAAGCCTTTCCATGAACAAATACTGAAAATATATTTTATATATATAATTTATATTATATATTATATATTTTATATATATTACATATATAGAGAGAGAGACAGAGAGAGAGAAAGAGATGGAGTCTTGCTGTGTCACCTAGGCTGGAGTGCAATGGCATGGTCTCGGCTCACTGAAACCTCTGCCTCCCAGATTCAAGCGATTCTTGTGCCTCAGCCACCCGAGTAGCTGGGATTACAGGCACCCACCACCACGCCCAGCTATTTTTGTAATTCTGTAGAGACGGAGTTTCGCCATATTAGCCAGGCTGGTCTTGAACTCCTGGCCTCAAGTGATCCACCCAACTCGGCCTCCCAAAGTGCTGGGATTACAGGTGTAAGCCACTGCCTGGTCCTGAAACTATATATTATAATGTAAGATAAAACAAGCAGGAAATAAAAAGCCCAAGTCTGGTGAACGAGTAGCCTTCACTGTTTCTGAAGGAAATGCAGCCCGAGCTATCCTAGCCATAGGATAACATCAATGACTGAGGCAAATCACAGAAATGGAGAAGGAAAATTTCTGACTACAAAAAGGGACAAAATCAAGGTTCCCTGCAGTCTTTTAAGTGAAAAAGCAGTTTAGGAAACCCCTTGCTGCAGACCCCCAGATGTATCCCCTACTGTCCCAACCCAAAGCCGTCCTGAGACCTCTGCTCTGGGCTCAGGCTGCCCCTGGCTGACTCCAAGGAGAAACCCAAGCAGAATTCTACAGCTCAGTATTTCAGACAATCCTGTAAGGATTCAGGGCTCATTTCTCCCAGATCTCAGACCAGCCTCCTCTTCCAGACACCCAGATGATTTGATTTGCCCTGAGGCCTTCGAAGCCAATATTTCCCAAACCACAGATTGCAACTCATTCTCCACCACTTCATTGTTGACATAAACCTTGGCATGATCTACCCACCCATAAGCTTGCTTATTTCCCTTCATCTTAGGCACCAGCTCACATCGTGCATCCAGGGCTGCTCCATGCTGAGTAATTGCTGCATATAAACCAAGCCAAGCTTGTAAACCAGCTCTTTTGTACACCAGCTTGTACACCAGATGGGCATCTTCTGTAATCATAGCTATGCTCTCATGAATCTCCACCTACCTCCACCCCCAGGTGACTGCAATACACAGGCAAGGCTGGAAACCACAGACAGGACTTGTCAGAGTTAGAGCCTCAAGAACCTGAAGAAATGAATACCCGACATGTCCAACTCTTGCAAATAAAAAAATGCCTTAGAGAGGTGCTGGTCTTGCTGCACTGCAATCAATTGCTGGCTCAAGTCGCCAACAGGTGTCTGAATGCCAATTCCCTGCACCATAGCTTTTAGAGTCTGACTCACTCTCGCCAGAAGGGATGTGGGCTGTTGAGGTGTTGGCAGAATGGGCCAGCATGCTTCCGCCAGTCGTAGTGTTTTCTACGGTTTTTCCAAAGAAACATAAGCCTTTCTATGGACTAGCCTAGAAATCACCCTTTAAAACATTATTTCAAAAGAAATTCACATTTTAAGTTTCCAAGTCCAGTTGGTGGAATGTTCCAAGGAGATTTCCTCTCTAATGCCGTCTTGCCAAGCTACTAACACTGATGTACCTCCAACGGGTTCTCTTGAACAAAAAATTGCCAGGTAGCAAATGCCTTCACCTAGGTCCTTGTCACTCACTGTCAATCTTTCAACAGCACCTGGGGGAAAAGCACAATCCCCTGGGAAAAAAAGGACAAAAGGAAGTGTGGTGGAATATTAGAACTCTGAGCATCCAGGAGATGGACAGCAAAGTACTCAAAGCTGTTAGCAGGATGGGTTTACAATTATAATAATCATCACAATAATAATAATAGTATTCCTCACCCTTCCTCCACCCCCACAGAGTCCGCCTGTCCTCTAGGAGGTTGAACTGCACTTGGGGAAGAAGATGGTGGTGGTCCTACCCTGACAGAGTAGCTCTTGGGTTGGAGAGGGGGCAAGAACCAATGGGCGTGTGACAGCAACCAGTCACAGAGGGCAGTAGCGGGTAATGCAAACACTCAGTAGGAGTTTGGGGTCAAGGTGGAGGCCCCAGAGAGAGATGAGCTGTCTCAGTCACTCCCTTGCCCTAGAACTATAGTTTGCCCCTCCCCTCATCAAAAAACAGGTGGCGCCATGAACGGTGAATCTATGTTACTGTATTACCAGCTCCTGATGGCCAAGCAGTAGGCATGCTCAACCCCTCCATGGGGGGCCTTCAGCAACAATGATCCAAGGAAGGAGAGTGTTTGAGAGCAACATTATCCTGATTAGCAAAAGAGAAGTGATTGATGTGCAGAACTGCATCCAAATGGTAACAGTGGCCATGGCTTCCACCAGCCCCTTCCTCCACCACCTAACATCATGCTGCTGGCCTGACCAGCCACAGGCTGTGAAAAGCCTGCTGGATGTGGCCAGGCCATTAGGGGAAGAAGCCAGAGACCTCCAAGACCTTAGCACTAACCAGGCTGCTTCCCTAGAAGTCTATAAAGATTTCTGTCCTGTCCTGTCCTGTCCTGTGCTATAAGAAACAGTAGCTATGCTTAAAGCTTGCTACTTGCCATTCTTGCTACCTGCAAAAGTGTCTGCTTCAGATACACAGAAAGGCCTTATTTATTGAGAAAAACTCTTTATCATTGGAGGCCACTAGTGGAGGGTCCCAGCAAAATCCAGGCCATCCCAACTAGGGATACAATGGACGTCTGTATCTATGGCAGAGGACAAGCACAGCCCAGTCTAAGTCTCTGCAAACACTCAAGGAGATGGGCTCAGGGTCATACACAGCTGTTGTTCTCTGAGGCTTACCTGAAAGAGGCATTGCATTTGGAAGGACCCAGAAAAAAATGAGCCACCAGTGGGTGATGTCACCTTGGTGAGAGTCTCAGTGCTTTTTTAGAGTGTACCAGAAGGCTGAATTTAAGACCTTAGATGTCAGCTGTTCTAATCTCTTACCCAATGCTTAATCCCCCCATAGCATCCCAACCATCCAAGCTCTTCTTTTTGAACACTTACCTTCTCAAGTCACTCACTTGTAAAATGTCTTGTAAGACATTTTTAACTATTAGAAAGTCCTTTCTTTTTGAGTTCCCTGTCCATGACTGCCATGTACTCATTTGCATATATCAGTACATTGTGTGTTTGCACACATGCATAATTTGTTAGTAGTAGCTGTCAAAATGGAAAATGTGCATGTCCTACTTCTAGGAATGTCTCCCCCATAGAAATACCAGCACAAGTATGTAATATACACATGTTCAACGAGGTTCCCTGGGGAACTGTAATGGTGCTCTGCTGGTACTGGGGCTGTTCAGTCAAAATTGAATTGACCATAAATGGGATTCCTACATTGAATGGAAGATTGGATTTGATGACCTCAAATGTAATTACATTTATAAGCCGTTAATTTGCTCCATCTCAAGAAGCAATGGGAGCAGAGCTCTCTGGTCTCCATCCTGACCTCTCTGCCTTGCTTGATTCTCCTCCCCTTGGCACAGGCTGTGGAGCTCCATAGAGAAGGGGGTCAGGATCAGGTTGGCATCAGGAGGCTCCACGTGGTCCCTGAGATGTCTGAGTCATCTCCTCTGGTTATGTTGTGGGGAGGGACACCAACGTAACCTCCACACACAAACTCTATTCATGGAACAGCCAGTATAGCTACCCCAGCACATACTCTTCTACAGTCATAAACCTGTGAAGCCTGGCAAAGGACAACAGGGGTGGCAGCACAGGTAGACACAGGCACTGCAGCAGGCTCTCTTAGTGTAGCAGCAACCAAGTCTGCAGACCCAGGACAGACCAATGCAGCAAGGACAGGAGTAGCCACCAAGGGTCCAGGAAGAAGCACAACCAGCATGACCATGCGGTGGGGGATGGTTGCCAGAATGACCATGGGGTTACGGGAGGAATGCCAGCATGACCATGGGATTGGGGAAGGGGTTGCCAGAATGACCGCAGAGTTGAGGGAGGATGGCCAAAATGACCATGGGCTGGGGGGAGGGGTGGCCAGAATGACCATGAGGTGGCAGGAGTTGCTAGCTTGGCTATCAGCAGCAGGGCCAATATGTCCTCAGGGGCTGTTGGCAGGGTGGAGGAGGGTGTTGCAGCTTGTACCTGGAGGTGCTTCCAGCACCTCAGCAAGAGCCACCAGGCTTTCCCCAGAGGGCAGCAGGAATGTGACAACTGCAAAGATGACCCATATGCCCAATGTAGGAGCAGCCAAAGGCCCAGTGATGAGACCTTTATCTCCATTGTGCAGAGTGACAGCTCCCTGAGTGAATTAGATGGAAGCCAGAGCCTCCTGGGCCAATGGCAAGACCAGAAGGAAATAAGGAAAAAGAAGAATAGATCTCCCAATGGGAGAAGTTTCCATTAGCCCAGGAGGGTAAAGGTCACTGCAGGACACAGAAGACAGGTCAATCTGAAAATCATCTCCTTAACCAGCTGTGGAACCACTAGAGAGGGCAAAAGAGGGTGTTGTGGGTTAAATTTTTCCCCCCACCCAAAAGATATGTTCATCCTAACCCCCAGGACCTATGAATGTGAACTTATTTGGAAACAAGCTCTTGCAGATATATTTAAGTTAAGATCATTAGGGTGGGTTCTAATCCAATATGACTGCGTCCTTATAAGAAAGGGAAATTTAGATACAGAAAGACAGGCACCCACAGGGGGAAGACCATGCAGAAACACCCACCGAGAACACCATGTGATGCCAAAGGCAGTGTGTTAGTCCGTTCTCACGCTGCTAATAAAGACATACCCAAGACTGGGTAATTTATAAAGGAGGAAGGTTTAATTGACTCACGGTTTTGAAGGGCTGAGGAGGCCTCAGGAAACTTACAACCATGGCAGAAGAGGAAGCAAACATGTCCTTCGTCACATGGCAGCAGGAAGGAGAAGTGCTGAGCAAAAGGGGGAAAAGCCCCTTATGAAACTATCAGATCTCATGAGAACTCACTATCAGGAGAACAGCATGGAGGTAACCACCCCCATGATTCAATTACCTCCCACCTGGTCCCGCCCATGACACATGGGGATTATGGAAACTACAGTTCAGTGTAAGATTTGGGTGGGGACACAGCCAAACCATATCAGGCAGAGACTGGAGTGAGGCTCCTACAAGACAAGAAACACCAAGGATAGGTGTCAACCACCAGAAGCTGGAAGGGGGGATTCTCCTCTAGGTCCTTCAGAGAGAACACTGACTGGCCAATACCTCAATTTAAGATTTCCAGCCTTGATGGGTGCAGTGGCTTACGCCTATAATCCCAGCACTTTGGGAGGCCAAGGCACACAAGGTCAGGATTTCGAGACCAGCCTGGCCAATATGGTGAAACTCCATCTGTACTAAAAATACAAAAATTAGCTAGGCATGGTGGCGCACACCTGTGGTCCCAGCTTCTTGGGAGGCTGAGGCAGAAGAATCACTTGAACCTGGGAGGCAGAGGTTGCAGTGAGCAGAGATCGCCCCACTGCACTCCTGCCTGGGCACAGAGCGAGACTCCATCTCAAAAAATATTTATTTATTTATATTTCATATATTATATATAAATATATATTATTTATATTTGAAAAAATAAAAATAATACAATTTTTAAAAACAAAAATACAGTATAACAACTATTTACATTGCATTTACATTGTATTATGTATTGTAAGTAACGCAGAGATGACAAAGTATTTGGGAGGGTGTGCGTAGGTTATATCCAAATGCAACTTGCCATTTTATAGCAGGAACTTGAGCATCTTTGAATTTTGGTATCCAAGTGGGTCTTGGAACCAATCCCCCATGGATACTGAGGGACAACTGTACAGGCTAGATACGAGTAAGCCCAACCACTTACAGTGGATGGAGCAAAAGCAACAGCAAACTTACCAAAACATTATGCACTGGGCACTTTACAAAGGTTCTCTATTTATTCTTTACTACAAACTGACAATGTTTGTTTCATCATACCCCTTTTAGAAATAAGAAAACAGACTCAGAAAGGTTCAATATCTCACCCAAGGTCACAATACTAGGAAATGGGGGAGCCAGGATTCAAACCCAGATCCACGGTCTCCAAAGTTGATACTCTCCACTGAGAAACTGCACAGAATAACAGGGCAATAGGCAGGAAGACTGGCCTTGGTGCCTCCCAGGCCTCTAAAGCCAACCTCTCCTCAGGCAAGACCTGCCTGACTGCCCAGACCCATGCAACTCTAAGGCAAGGAGAGGCAATACACCTACTTCTCCTGAATGCCCTGTCCTGGTTATGACAGCACCACCAGGTAAGATGCACAGACAGCCTCAAATTCACCCTTCCTGTCCTGTTAACTAATGCCCCTTGCCCCCCCAGAGATCATGGTGTCAGGTCCACCTCTGGGGAAAAGCTCCACAAAACCATCCTTGGATTACAGACCTTTCTCTCCTACTGGGTGTACCAAAGGTGTCAAATCACTGTGCCCTTCCTCTACCAACCCCTACCCAAACCACAGCCTCTGAAGGGACAGCCCTATGTAGGACATGATTCCACGTGCCCCCTCCCTCCCCAAGCCATGCCAGTTACACCTGAGTGGACACCTGACTCGATGATATGGCACTGGCTGAATCATCAGCTTTACATTCAAAGAGTACATCTACCCCACAGAATGGACTTTAAAATCGTCCACAAGCAGAAAATGCTCATCTTTATAGGCCAAATACCAATTGCCTCATTTCAAATCTCTTTTAATTTGCATTCGTGTAGATTTCAAGAAGGGCAAGATACAGGAGACCACAAGAAAAGAACTATTGGAAATATTACAACTAAGATAAAACACCCCTGATATGGCATTTCCTACGGTGCAAAAACTAAAGGGACTTAATTTTCCCCTTGGAAAACACAGTAAGTAAGATACACAGATTGCTACTTTCACATTAGTGCTTGCCGAACATTATACTCCCTTTTTTTAAAAAAAAATGGTTATCAGTCTAACCATAATCATGGCTTATCATCAGCTGAATCCCCTTCTCCCTCCCTCCAATGACACATATTCACTCCACCTGCACTGCCTTCTGAACGTTGTGCTCACTGGAGAATACTTTACAGGCTTATCACCAGACAGTTTACTTCAGGGTTCAAATTCTACCCTTCCTTGCCCCCTAGCCCCCACGTCCCCCTTTCCACTCTCCCCTTGCCTCCCCACAGCCCTTCTTCTCTCTCCCTTTCTTTCTGGGCTGTGGAAAGAATCGATTAAGCTCCTGTCCACATTTGCAGCAGACCTTTTTCTCTTTCCTGAGACTTGTTCAGCTGTGGGGAGACCCAAGTCCCAGTTGGGGCATTGTTGCGTTAGCCCAGGGGTTGAGGGGGTGGGTGAGGGGGTTCGAGTCCGGCAGATGTCTTTTTTGTCAAAAACAAAGGCCCCCCAGCGAGTCTCTCCTCTTTCCAGCACTTTCATTCCCCTCAGATCAAAGACCTGCTCTGCATATGAAAGGCACCGCCCATTACGCGGCTCACAGTGGCCCGCACCACCCCACTAGCCTCCCCGCACTCAAACAAAGGGCCTCGCATCTGTTCAAGCGCAGGCCTCACCTTCTGGAGTGTGGAGTTGTTGTGTCTTCTTTTTATCTTAGTTCACTTTTGAGAGCCATTCAGTCCCTTGAAGTATAGTTAAGAAGAGTAGGGGAAGGGTCTCCCTTGCCCTCAGACCATTCACCCAGATAATTTTTTAAGACATCTTGAGGGTGTCTGGTCCTTGCCTCCCCACCTCACCTAGGTCTCCGTGCAGTGGGGAGGTCCTTCTCAGGCTCATTTTCTACCTTCGCAGCCACTCTTCCAAATACCTCCTCCCTTACCTGAAAAGGGACTATTCCCTTGGAAGAGTCTAGACTGGCCCCTCAAACCAAGGAGGTGATGAAAGTCCTGCTCCTTCTTGTCATGTGAATGGATGCTGCCAGACTCGGGAGCTAAAGCTTCCACACACTTCTTTGGATGTCTAGGTCTGCTTTTTGGCAGAGGCAGCAGGGAAGCGCTTCTCAAAACTTGAACCTGAGTTCTCAACAAAAGGACTCAAGCATAAGGACGAGATAAACTGATCTTCAGTGACATTTTAATCTGAAGAAGTGCTATGTTGTCAATGATGACGGTTCCTGAACACCAGGAGGGCACACAGCCTGGAAGAATGCACATGGCCAGCTGGACCTTCCCTCTCTTTTCTTCCCGCTGCCTCCTGGACACCCCCGAAGTCTTCTGCTCGCTTTGGTCACATCTCCTGACCATTTTTTCTCCTTTTCAATCAGTTCAGCTCCAGCCCTGACTTCCAAGGGCTAAATGAGCACATCCATCTTCTCCCGTTACACACTAAATTGTGTCCCCGCCAAAGGTCATGTTGAAGTTCTAACCTCCCATGTCACCATATTTGGAGAAAGGGCCTTTAAGAAGGTAATTAAAGTTGAATGAGGTCATAAGGGCGGGGCCCTGACCCAACAGGACTGTGACCTTGTAAAAAGAGGAAGAGTCGCCAGAGCTGTCTCTCCTGAGGCTCACACAGAGAAAAGGCTGTGTGAGGTCACAGCAAGAAGACACCGTCTGCAAGCCAAGGAGAGAGGATTCGCCCTGATCTTGAACTTGGAGCCTCCAGAACTGTGAGACATAAGTTTCTGTGGTTGAAGCCACCTAGGCTGTGGTATTCTGTTACAGCAGCCCAAGCAGGCTAATACACTTCCTTCCCCCAAATCCCACACAATGCTGGGGCAACAATAAGAATAAATACTAATTTCTCCATCTCCAAGGCCTAGTAAATGTCCAGCCTCTACCAAGCACTTCCTGACTGTCTCAGAAGGTCTCCATTCTTGTAACTTTTACTGCTTGGTAGGTAAGTTTCCTTTACATTTTATAAAGTTGTGACAAGACAACCCAGCTTCAAGACTATGTCAACAAACTATGAAGAATCATATGAAGAACCAAATCAAAAGCACAATAAAGCTAATAACCCACCCTTAACCGCATGTGAACTTGTGCCTGGGGCCAGTTAGGCATGAGTGCTAAGCAGTTCATCTGAATGATTATCAACTATATCAGTTCCACAGAGTCCCTGGCATTTCTCTTAATTTTCTGCAATATCCATGATCAGCATCCATGTCAGGTTTTCCCTTGTACAACAAACTACATGACAATCACTATCAAGTCCACACATGAAGCAACTCAATAAGTCAAATATCTCACTCCCCAGCTGTCTTAGTTCCCAGACTCCCGATGTCTTCCTTCTGACGGCCCGGGATCCCAGCAAAGAGGCAACCTCCAACACCACTGCCAGGTAGATGGGTGTCTCCCCCTACCCAGCCACACTCAGCGGTCAAATGCCTTGTCCTGCAGCACTGCTGTGTGCTATCCCTCCCTCCACTTTATTTTCTATTTTGTTAGAGAGACAGAGTCTTGCTCTGTCACCCGGGCCAGAATGCAATGGCACAATCATAGCTCATTGTAGCCTCAAACTTGTGGGCCCAAGTGATCTTCCTGCCTTAGCCTCCTGAGTAGCTAGGACTACAGGCGCTCACCACCATGCCCAGCTAATGTTTCACTTTTTGTAGAGACGGGGTCTTGTTATGTTACCCAGGCTGGTCTTGAACTCCCAGCCAGCCTCAAGCAATCCTCCTGCCTCAGCCTCCCAAAATGCTAGGATTAAAGGCTTGAGTCACCATGTCCAGCCTCTCCCTCCCCACTAAAAATAGCTTCTGTATAGCCGTTCTATGCATAGAACACACCTGAGTTTCCCAGCCCCACACTCTAGCTCCCTCCAACATCGTCTCCCACCAGACCCCTACACAAATGCTCATATAGCCAACCCAGCCTGCCACCCTGTGGCCAGCAGAGCACAAATTTTCCCAGATTTGCCTGCGCTTTTGGCCCATTCAGAATAGCTGTCTGTTTTTCCTACCTGACTAAATGCTAGCCTTCCCTTGAAAATCCAGCTCAAATTCCAGTATGTTCATTAATCTGGATAACATTTAGAAAATAAAGTTTGTATACCTTTTCCTCATCAATCACATTCTTAGGCAGTTATTCTACCATGACAGCCCCAGAGAAGGAGGAAGGGACTAAAACTGGGTTCATGAGGATAGGCTGTGCCCAAAATCCACCCCACCACAGGGATGTCTGTCACTTCTGCTCCCAGCAACCAAGGGCCTCGGGGCAGCCTTCATTTTCAGGCTCTTCAATCAATATGAGGCTCCCTGAAGTTCAGGACTGGTTTGGAGAGAAGCTACAAAGCTGCACCACACATGGTTCCATAGTGTAACAGTTATCATGTCTGCTTTACACACTGAAGGTCCTGGGTTCAAACTCCAGTGGAACCATGGGGTGGTTGATTCCCATTTGGCCATGCACAGTGGTCCACACCTGTAATCCCCATGCTTTGGGAGGCAGAGGTGGGAGGATCTTTAGATGCCAGGAGTTTGAGGCCAGCCAAGCAACATAGCAAGACCCCATCTCTACAGAAATAAAAAATTTTTTAAAAACCTGCATCACAGATTCAAAAACTACCCCTCACAAGGGAAGGAAGGTCTCTGCCCCCACAGCCCATGAGCCACACACCGACTACTGCCCTCGGGGTGTGTTTAACTTTCACTTTTTTATTGTTTAGAAGTTACTCCCCAGGAAAATGGCACACTAACATTATTGTGTAAGCAGCATCTCTGCCCTGGTGGCAGGAAGGAAATGATTCTGGGAAGATCAACAGAAGAGAAAAAGTCAGGGTAAAGATGGAAACAGCCAGCAAAGAGTAAATGCTGTAGTTTGGTCTTTTAATACAGTATGGCCGGATTGAGCTATCAGAAAACTACCTCCCTCCAATTGCACCCAGCAATTAGTAAACACCCACATGTGCAAGGCACTATGCTAGACCCATACCAAAAAAAAGTGGGGGTAAATCAAGATCCTTGCTCTCTAGAAGTTTATGTGCCAGGCCAGAAGACAAAATAAACATCTGGAAAGTTAATCACCAACAAAAGAATTAAATAACCATAAGCGTGATAATTCAACAGCCACCGCATGGAAGCAAATGAATAACTTCTCATTGGTGGTATGGACAGCAGACGCTATGAGTTCAGGAGAAAAGAGGGTCTTCTGAGCCCTGCAACTTGAGGTAACGCACTGTGGCAATACAAGAACAGGACTGGAGCAGGGACCAAGAATAGGACCCAATGGTTCTCCAACTTGCTTGTGCATCAGAAACACCCAGAGGGCCGGTTAGATCAAAGATGGCTGGCCCCACCCCAGAGTTTCCAGTTCAGGAGGTCTGGGATGGGGGTTCCAAATTTTGCATTACTAATAAGTTGCAGATGATGCTGATGCTGCCAGTCCAGGGACACACTTTGAGAACCACTGGTTTAGCCTGAACATTCTACATCACAGGTAGGAAACTGGCAGTCCAAATGGCCTATCTGGCTCATGGCTCGGTCTCATTTATTTTTTGGAGAGATGGGGGGGGGTCTCACTATGTTGTCCAGGCTGGTCTCGAACTCCTGGGCTCAAGTGAACTTTGCTATAAGAGAATTAGCCACAATGCAAGCACCTGCCATGAACTTGGCACAGCTGGACACTCTCCTCCCCACCACACACGCATCAAGGTGAAAAACCTTCTACAGAATGTTTTCACTTTGATTGGACACCTAAAGACAGCTTTGAAATGATGCAAAATCTCCTTCCTGTCAAAGTTGCTCAAACTTTGCAACTTTACCCTGGGTCTGTGTTATGGGCTGAACTGTGTACCCCTTAAGTTCATATGCCCAAGTCCTAACCATCCATCCCCCCATACCTCTGGAAATGACTATTTGGAGATAGAGCCTTTAAGTGAAAAGGGCGGGCCATAATCCAGTATGACTGGTGTCCATATAAGAAGAGGAGACTAGGTCACAGACAGACAGAGGGACGAAGACGTGAAGACAGAAGGAGAAGACAGCCATGTGCAAGTCAAGGAGAGAGGCCTTGGAAGAAACCAGCCTTGCCGACACTAGAAATTCTCAGACTTCTAGCCTCTAGAATCATGAGGCCGACACTTTCTGTTGTTTAAGCCACCCGGTTGGTGGTACTTGGTTTATGGCAGCCCTAGCAAACTAATACAAACCCTCATGTCCACTGCAGTTATTTAACAGTGATTTCTACATCATCTCCTAGGGAGAGGACCAGAAAAGCAAGAAGAAAGCTCCAGTCTTGTGCTGTTAGAATCCATTTCCTAAGCCTCCTTTTCTCTGCTTATTTCCTTCTCTCTTTCATCCTCCACAGTTTCTCCTCTCTGCCTTGTAGGCAATGGCGCCTGCTTTCTGAAATGTCACAGCAACAGCAGAGTCAGGGTTGGGGGTTGTTGGTGAGGTGGAGAAGGTGTGTGGGGTCATCCCCAGATCACCCACTGGCAGAAGCCAGATGTAGGCCACATTTGAGAAGCAGAGCCAGGGCTGGGTAGGAATGTGAAGGGTTGACAGGATCTTGAAAGTCTTGGATCCAGAAAGGGAGGTGGGAGCAGTGGGGAGGTGCTCAGGCAGGTATCAGGCCCTCGAGCTTGGATTCAGTCACAAGATGCCTCAGACATCTGCAAACACTTTCCATCAGCCTGGCGATCGATTTACAGGGCCGTAGATCGATTTACAGGGAGGTGAGGCCAATAGGGCTTTACCTTTGGCACCAGGTACAGTTTGGTGGAAGACAATTTTTCCACAGAGCAGGTGAGGGGTGCTGTTGGGGGAGTGTTTTGGGATGATTCAAGCACATGACATTTATTGTGCACTTTATTTCTATTATTATTACTTTGTAATATCTAATAAAAGAATTCTACAACTCTCCATAGAGTAGAATCCGTAGGAGCCCTGAGCTTGTTTTCCTACAACTAGACAGTCCCATCTGGGAGTGTTGGGGCACAGTGACAGATCATCAGGCATCAGATTTTCATAAGGAGCACACAACCTAGATCTCGCATGCACAGTTCACAATAGGCTTCATGCTCCTATAAGAATCTAATGCTGCCACTGATCTGACAGGAGGAGGAGATCAGGCAGTAATGCGAGTGATAGGGAATGGCCGGGGAGCAGCTGTAAATACAGATGAAGCTTCAGTACCCATCTGTGGCGTGGTGATTGGGGACCCCTGCTCTACAGCATTTCAAAGTCACTTCTGGGCCTGGGTTGTGTCAACAACCATCGGCAGCCTCTTCAGACAGCACTGAAGCCCCAGAGAGCACAGAGCATCCCAGAGCTGTCCTTTCCCCGAAAGTCAGGCAGCAGCAACCTACCTGCCTGTATTCTGCTCAGCGATAAACAACCTCACCTGCCCAAAGCACCCGCAAGAGCAGAAGCTCAGTGTGAGCTGCAGTTCTCACCTGAGCATTGAGAGGCTAATGAGGTCTCTCCTGTTAGGATTCCTCATTTTATGATTCTGAAGCTCTTGCTGAAGCTCCCTTTTAAGCTCTAAATGACTGTGAATGCAAAGGGAAGAGCCTCGTGGAAGAGTTCAGGGAGGTACACAAAAAGTGTCAGGAGGGACAGAGAAAAAGAATACAGAGAAGAAGCGCCCTAATGCCCGTGGCATGACGTGATGCTACACCACCAGTAACCACCTCAGGGTCCAGGGCAGCCCCCACTTCCTCTGTCCCTGGGCCATGGAGCACCTTGACCCCAACACCTTAACCAGCTCCTTGGAGGATCCCAGTACAACTTGGCCCCAGTCCCACCTGGCTCCTTGCCCTTCTTCCTCTCCCCCAAGTGGGGTAGACTCTGCCTCAACTACCCCTACCTGGCAGGGGGACTCTTTGGAGGAGGGATGAAGAATTCGTGTTCTCACTTTTTCTCGCATGGAGACATGCTGGGAGTTATTCCTGAAGTCTAGACGTGTCATTGGGCTGATCCACCAAGCAGGTGTCAAGGAAGAGCTGGCTGCTAGGGTTTCAAAGGAGCTCTCTACTGCCAGCCTAGTTCACCAGGGCAGGAGGCAGGGATATGAGGCAGAAACTAGGCTGCACTTCCCTTGAAGGGCCTCTCTTAGGACCCCAAAAGCAGCTGGGCAGGGTCAGACACAGCCACAACATGGTCAGAACCCCAGCAGCATGTGTGGCATCCAGGTACCTGTACAAAAATAGGTACAAAAATACCTATTCTTGGTTTTTTTTAAGTTCGCTTTGGACTTTAGAGGGGCAGCCCAGAGCCAGGGGAAGGGAGAATCAACACTTGCTTTGTCTTTGAATCCCCAAAATTAGAAACAGAGTGCATCACCTATGCTGAGTGCTTAAGAAATGTGTCCCAAATAAAAAGGGGCCATAAAATGAAAGACAGCTCAAGTCCTGAGCAGGCCTGTGCCCAGGGGGAAGCAGAGCTAAAGTCTGCACCTGCGAGCCCAGGAGCTTCACAGCCAGCCATTCAGGTACAACGTTGGTTTGATTTTCTGCTCTGCTCAAAAAAATCAGAAACTAAAGGGATGTCCAACATGAAAAAAATAACTGCAAAAGACACTCCCGAGAGAGCTAAGAACCCACCCAGACTTCTAATTTGTGAAGACACGGTCCACGTACAACATCTGTATTGACGCCTATGTGAAAGCCGGGACATGGTTTATCCAAGGAATAGACGTGTCAGACTCCCAGGGTACCGACAGTAACTGCAGCACTTCAGCCCAACCATGCCTAAGAACAGGAAATAATACATAGCAGTGTTGGGAAATTATGTAAAAAAGCAAAAGACTGAGATAAAAGCAAATTGCTCCCAAAAGGTTAGACTTCATGTGAATCTTTTTTTTTTTTTTTTTTTTTTTGAGACGGAGTCTCGCTCTGTCGCCCAGGCTGGAGTGCAGTGGCGCAATCTCGGCTCACTGCAAGCTCCGCCTCCTGGGTTCACACCATTCTCCTGCCTCAGCCTCCCAAGTAGCTGGGACTACAGGCGCCAGCCATCACGCCCGGCTAATTTTTTGTATTTTTAGTAGACACGGGGTTTCACCATGGTCTCGATTTCCTGACCTCGTGATCCGCCCGCCTCGGCCTCCCAAAGTGCTGGGATTACAGGTGTGAGCCACCGCGCCTGGCCCCATGTGAATCTTAAGATGCCAGTCTATATCTACATAGCTCTTAGAAAGGCTCTATTCAAATTTTCTTTTTTTTTTTTTTTTTTTTTTTTGTCTTTTTGAGACAGAGTCTCGCTCTGATGCCCAGGCTGGAGTGCAGTGGCGCAATCTCGGCTCACTGCAACCTCTGCCCTCCGAGTTCAAGTGATTATCCTGCCTCAGCCTCCTGAGTAGCTGGGACAACAGGCGCCCGCCACCACACCTGGCTAATTTTTTGTATTTTTAGTAGAGACGGGGTTTCACCGTGTTAGCCAGGATGGTCTCGATCTCCTGACGAGAAAGGGAAGAGTTCTCTTTCAGAAAGTTCACATATTTTTCCTAGGCCTTTATTTTAAACCAAGACTATCGAGGAAAAATAGAATGTCAGGATCTCCATCTTCAACCAACTTCCAAATCGATCATGGAAAATGTGGAAAAGTCATCTATGAGCATCATAGTCAATTTTTTTTTTTTAATGAGATCTCCTGCTTTTTTTGGAATTTATGATGGGGAAGCCAGAATCCCTCAGCCAATTACTCCTCTAAGTCTGGCAGTTGGCAGCATTCAGTGTAGGTGCACCTGACAGCAATAACTTCAGAAGAAGAATGTGTGTTCAGAATTCCGAGCTAAGGAATCCAGAGATTCATTCCTTGTCTATAAGGAACATGTGAACCCCTGGCCCATCCTGTGGAACATGGACCACACAAGGGATTGAGGCCCTTTGCTTTGAGTTAAATGAGGATTGCCATGTAGGAGCAGGTGCTAAGTGAAGGTGATTTATCAACTGCAGGCTTTTTGCAAGCGATTGGGATTCTCCTGTCCAGCCCACTGCCACTGGATCACCCTGTAAGTCAGTCCTCTCAATAAACCCTGTGTCTCATTTGCTGGCTCTGGGTCTCTTCTTCCGCCTTTTGAACCTAGTGCCATCCCCACTGAAGTCAATAGGGGTCCCGCATGACACTCAGAGGCAGAGTTGGATTAGAAACAGGAGATCTGAGAACCTAGGCCTGTCCTGCACTAACTCTTGCTGTGACCCCAGGCCAGCCCACCCTCTGCTTCCAGATGGGCCTCTCTCGGGTTAGTCCAGCAGGAAACCATCCCCAGTGACCTCTGCTGGCTGACCCCCCACAATCTTGCCTTGGCCTCTAGGAACAGAGACCTCCTAGCCCCAGGGGTTGTTCTTAAGACCCATGGCACTGATGTGAGAATATGCAGAAACCTGCAAAGTACAAAACAAGGCACCACATGGTATCCCCGGGATCCTCTCCTTAGGCCTGGCAGGCCACCCCATCCTCAAAGAATCTGACCCCTTCCTCCACAGGAGTCTTCCTCAGGCCATCTAGCACCTCCCCAGCTCCCACTCCTCCAGCATCCACCTAGCCCTTAATAACCACAGGCTGAGAGAGGTGGCATCCTTCTAGGAATTTCCCCTTCCTCCTCAGTCAGACCACAGGGCTCCTGGGGAGTGGGCTGCCTCAACCACTCCACTCTGCCCTGGACCTTTCCAGAGAATCATCCTGGAGCCATCTGTTTCTTCTATTAGGTGACCGACCAAACTAAAGACAACTTGCTCCCCATCTTCTCCAACACCCCAAAACTATAGCTCAAGAATTGCAGTTTCATACAATCTGGAAGTATGTCCACTGAGCCCAAACCACTATTGAATGTTGCATTGTGGGGAAAAAAAAAGAGAAAGTGAGTTGTTAGGGTCCTGAAGAACAAGAACTGGCAGTGACCATCCTCCTGGAAAGTACAAAAGAATGACAGCCAAAAAGGCAAATATGAAATATGTTAGTGCCATCTATTGGCAAGAGTAAACAATAACAAAGAAGTGATGCTTTGCACAGTAGCAATTCAAATAAGAGCACCTCAGCGTCAACTCTGGGGTTTGCAAAAGGAGTTTTACATCCAACTAACTGCCTCTTAGGATGTTGAAAGCCCAAAGATGCAGGCTTTGCATGTGGAAAGCAGAGGGAAACTCCAGAACTGTTGGCTACATTCATGTTCACTTAGGGATATGACAAGAAAGAGCCCAAGCCAAGATGTGACTGGGTCCCAAAGGACAGATTCCATGCTGAGGAGACCGGAGCTTTCCCAGATTCCTGCCCCACCCCACCACGACGTCCGATCACTTGGTGGGGAAGTGGACAGGAGAGTCCTATGCTTAGATGGGCAGAGCAGGCATTGCAATTCCCTATGCCCGGAGCCTGTCCATAGATGCCTGGTGATGTGTGAACATGGAGATGGGATTTAGCAAGACCATTTCTCTAGGGGAACCTACCTGTGCAGACAGAGAAGAAGTGAGACACCACCCTGCTGAGCCCACTCCGCTGAGCCTCCAGGTCCAAGCTATGTGCTTCCTTCACATAGGGAATGCCAATGCAGCTGGCAGTACCAAGCAGGCATGAACTTCAGGTGAAGGAGAACAGGAGTCATAACTTGATTCGATACCGAGGGGCAAGGATGATGTCTGCCCTGAGATGACAAGATCAAATCCAGGCATCCGTGTCAGGGTCCTAACCTGTTGCCAGACTTCAGTTAGATTCAGGGACTACACCCCACAAACCAAGAGCCACAAGGCCTACAGGGGCCAGGCAGATGAGTTAAAAGAAGTCAAGATGTCTAGGTGAAAGGTAACAGGGAGGAGTGGGGACTGCGGCCAAACTGGAAAGACAATATTGGCCACATCTAAAGGGGGCGGCCAGTGCTCAGTCCAGCCAACTGCTGCTATGTGGGAGCATGGCCCAAGAGAATCCAGGCTGTTCTCCATATGGTATTTCTCAATTTTTAAATATTGTCAACTTAGTCATTAAAAAAGAAAAAAAATCATGCTAACCACATAAAACAGAACTGCAAGTCGGATTCAGCCCATATGCCTCTTATTTGCAACCTCTGCTAGCCCTTCTGTTTTATGCTTCTGTCCTCTTTTCCTTTAACTTCTTTGAAAAAAAATCTTTGTCTATAGGAAACCAAGAAGAAAAACAATTTCCCTTTGCAAAATCAATGATACCACTCATCTTGAGAAGTTTGAGAGTTAAATATAAAATTATCAGTGAGGACTGTCTCATGGTAGGCACTGTATGTTCACTCCCTTCTGCTTATATCTTATTTATGAAGTGCTTTCCAATTTCCTGCTTTTTTTTTTTTTTTTGCTTCTGACAACAGGATGGTAGGGCAAGTATTATTATCCCCATTGGAAAGATGAGAAAACTAAAGTTTAGAGAAGTTAAGTGATGGTTGAAAGTCATACACTGAGGCCAGGTGTGGCGGCTCACGCCTGTAATCGCAGCACTTTGGGAGACTGAGGCAGGAAGATCGCTTGAGGCCAGAAGTTCAAGACTAGCCTGGCCAACATGGTGAAACTCCATCTCTACTAAAAATATAAAAATTAGCCAGGCGTGGTGGCGGGTGCCTGTAATCCCAGACAGGAGGATGACTTCAACCTGGGAGGCAGAGGCTGCAGTGAGCTGAGATCGTGCCATTACACTTCAGCCTGGGCAACAGAGTGAGACTCTGTCTCAAAAAAAAAAAGTCATTGGGCTGTATACTCAGGTTGTGAGTATTTTACTGTTTATCTCTAGAAATGAAACATGGGGAAGTTACATGAAAAAAAGACTTTTAAGAACAAGTCGTTTTCCTCCTGAATTTAAACAACTCTACCTTGCTAGCTTAACCTCAAGGTCTTATAAGAAATTTAGTTTATACATCTTAAACACCTACACAAACCCTAAGAATGTGTTATAAAATCAACATGACACTGTAGTCTATAATTATAGTGCTCTAAAATATCTCTGAAATATGTTATCTTAAGAGACAGTGTTGCTGGCTAGCCATATGTAGAAAGCTGAAACTGGATCCCTTACTTACACCTTATACAAAAATTAATTCAAGATGGATTAAAGACTTAAATGTTAGACCTAAAACCATAAAAACCCTACAAGCAAACCTAGGCAATACCATTCAGGACATAGGCATGGGCAAGGACTTCATGACTAAAACACCAAAAGCAATGGCAACAAAAGCCAAAATTGACAAATGGGATCTAATTAAACTAAAGAGCTTCTGCACAGCAAAAGAAACTACCATCAGAGTGAACAGGCAGCCTACAGAATGGGAGAAAATTTTTGCAATCTACTTATCTGACAAAGGGCTAATATCCAGAATCTACAAAGAACTCAAACAAATTTACAAGAAAAAAACAAACAACCCCATCACAAAGTGGGCAAAGGATATGAACAGACACTTCTCAAAGAAGACATTTTGGCAGCCAACAGACACATGAACAAATGCTCATCATCACTGGCCATCAGAGAAATGCAAATCAAAACCACAATGAGATATCATCTCACACCAGTTAGAATGGCAATCATTAAAAAGTCAGGAAACAACAGGTACTGGAGAGGATGTGGAGAAATAGGAACGCTTTTACACTGTTGGTGGGACTGTAAACTAGTTCAACCATTGTGGAAGACAGTGTGGCAATTCCTCAAGGATCTAGAACTAGAAATACCATTTGGCCCAGCCATGCCATTACTGGTTATATACCCAAAGGATTATAAATCATGCTGCTATAAAGGCACATGCATACACATGTTTATTGTGGCACTATCCACAATAGCAAAGACTTGGAACCAACCGAAATTGTCCATCAATGATAGACTGGATTAAGAAAATGGGGCACATATACGCCTTGGAATACTATGCAGCCATAAAAAAGGATGAGTTCATGTCCTTTGTAGGGACATGGATGAAGCTGGAAACCATCATTCTCAGCAAACTATCGCAAGGACAAAAAACCAAACACCGCATGTTCTCATTCACAGGTGGGAATTGAACAATGAGAACACTTGGACACAGGAAGGGGAACATCACACACCAGGGCCTGTCATGGGGTAGGGGGAGGGGGGAGGGATAGCATTATCCTCCCCCATTAACTAATGGTGCAGCTATTAACTAATTAACTAATTAGTTAATTAGTTAACTAGTTAATTAGTTAATTAACTAGTTAACTAATTAACATTAACTAATTAACTAATGGGTGCAGCACACCAATATGGCGCATGTATATATATGTAACAAACCTGCACGTTGTGCACATGTACCCTAGAACTTAAAGTATAAGAAAAAAAGAAAGAAAGGAAAAAAGAGACAGTGTTGCACACCTTCCTTCAAAGATACCTTGCTTGAGCTAATATTTTACTTCCAAGCTTTTTTTCCCCAATTGGGAGTATGAAAGAAGGCTTTGGCTCAGGTTAAAATGCTCACCAATTTCAAATTCATTCCGTCAAAATCAATAAGCCTTCAAATCAAAGCACCTTTCTTTTTCAAAATATTATATTAAATGCAGACATTGAAAAGGTTATAACATTGGCTCTTTGGGTTTCCATAATAATGCAAGAAAATCTTTCCCAGGAGATCAATGCAGACAATTAATGATCCCTTATCTTATCTATAAATCTTAGTGTGCCAAACAAATACTATAGCATATAGAATAGCATCGGATTACTTATTAATATTATAGAATTTTAGCAAGATAAATTCCCTAAAGATATCATTATCAACTCAGGAACATTATTTTTAGATTGTTACATGTCCTTACACCTTTTAAATAACAACCTTAGTTCAGTATGTCAAGATCTGCTAAGGCTGAGCTATTTGGATTAACAGTAATCTCAAATTCTGAGGAACAAAACCTCAACGTGACCCAATGAGAACATTTACAAAACAAGAACACTTTATTTCATATTGCAAGACTCCCATTGGTCTCCAGAAGTGTCTAATGCACTTTAAACAACTTTTATGGAAACAACTAAACCATGGCACTTTAATCAAGTATTACTTATGAGAATTGAAGAACCAACTTCTTGAACATCAAATTAAATTCCAATGCCCTGGGGTAGGATCCTTAAACCAGGGGTAAGAAGAGCATAACTCTGCCTAGGAAAGGAACTGTCCTGGGGCAGTGTCCTAAAGAGGGACAGTAGTGACCTCAAAGAGACTGCTGTCTCCTAAAGTAGCAATGGCCAGTATATTTTCAAACCAGGCCATGCCCTGTGACAACCAGTGTGGCATCCACATGTCCACAACGTCTCAAAGCAGCTTTTTAATGAAGGATCTGAACTAAGATGCATTTTAAAAGCACACAGTATGGGCCAGGCACAGTGGCTCACACCTGTAATCCCAGCACTTTGGGAGGCCGAGGCAGGCAGATCACTTGAGGTCAGGAGTTCGAGACCAGCCTGGCAACATGGCAAAACCTCGTCTCTACTAAAAATACAAAAAGTAGTCGGGCGTGGTAGCACACACCTGTAATCCCAGCTACTAGGGAGGCTGAGACAGGAGAAATGCTTGAACCCAGAGGGCAGAGGTTGCAGTGAACTGAGATCGCACCACTGCACTCCAGCCTGGGTGGAATGACTCTGTCCCAAAAAAAAAAAAAAAAAAGTACACAGTATTTGTTGGAATGATAAGAAAAAAACAAGTTTTTTTTCTTGGCAATACTCAAATAAGTGATATAACTGACCACTTGGCTTTTTTTTTAACCCCCGGAAAAGCATTTTTAAGCAAAGACAATTTCTAGACAAGCTGTGCCCGTGATCCATCACCTGCCCTGAAACTCAACAGATTCACCCATACAACCAAATGCCACTAAGTCTTTTATGCAAAGAGAGTCTTACCTGTGAAAAGTTCAACCCATTCAATGGATGGCACTGCTCTTCCACCTTTTCCACTGCCCCAGTCTGTTTCCTCAGCCGCTCAGCCTCCTGGGCAAGGAACAGGTCTAAGACAGGCACTCCACGGGACTTAATGTCCACTTCAGTCAGGGAGTTGACCATGAGCATCACCCAGACAGGCCTCTTGCGCTCCCAGTTTCCGGCAATAGCATTGAAGAGGTAGTCTGCGTAGAGCCCCTTGCCGCGCTGGTCTGGGGTCATCCACAAGGGCATCATGAGCTTGACATACTCCAGGTGGCGCTTGAGGCGGCAGTAGATGTCCCTGGGGAGCACATCTTGGAGGTTCTCGCCCTGTGGCAGCATCTGACAGCTGGTGAGAGCTGAGATGGTATAGGGGTCTGTGAGATCCAACTCAAAGTACACAATGCTGCTCTGCAGGAAAGCCTCCTTAGAGTTGTCGGGGATGAAGTCCCAAACTCGGGTGTACGGGACATGGATTGTGCCAAAGAAGTAAGATGGTGGGTCTCGCTTAATGGTCCACAAGAAGGAATTCAGCTCGCTTTGCTGAAAAGAAAAGAGGTAACATCAAGGTATAATATGGGGGAGAGGCATGGTCAGGAACCTGTGAGAGGAAATGAATCAGTCACATTTCAAGAGAAAAGATATCAAAGTAGAATTTAGACTTTTGAGTCCGTGTAGATTCACCTGCCAGGACAATCCATTGCCCTAAATAGACAGGAGCAAATTATGAAATCAGGGGCTCATTAGGACTCTAGTTTCAACCTTGGCTGTATGTTGGGATCACCAGCGGAGCTTTAAAAGAAGCATCTCTGAGTCCTACCTCCAGACATTCTGATCTGATTGGTCTGGGATGAGACTCAGCTTTTCAATCAAAAGGGGATGGGACCCCCTTTTCAATCAAAATGTTGATTCCAAGATGAGAAAGCAATAGCAGTCACCAGTTTTGAGATTGTGCCATGCCTGCCCTAGCAATGAACTGGGCAAGAGTTAAAGAAGTGAGTCTCAGGGGCCTCCAAGGATATACCTGATACCATCTAAGAGACACCTGAGAAGCCCACTGTCTCCCAGGCAGACCTGATGATCCCTGCTCTTTCAGATCTCAAAACCAACATCCCCAAAGGCAGAGGCTTCAACTCTAGCTATGCACTGGAATCACCCCCAAAGCTTTTGAAAGTCCAATGCCTGGGTCCCACCCCAGACCAATCACATCAGAATCTCTGGAGGTGGAACTCAGAAATGCTACTTTTTTTTTTTTTTGAGAAGGAGTCTCACTCTGTTGCCCAGGCTGGAGTGCAATGGCGCAATCCTGGCTCACTTCACTGCAACCTCAGCCTCCCGGATTCAAGCAATTCTCCTGCCTCAGCCTCCTGAGTAGCTGGGACTACTGGCACTCGCCACCACGCCCAGCTAATTTTTGTATTTTTAGTAGAGACGGGGTTTCACCATATTGGCCAGGCTGGTCTCAAACTCCTGACCTTGTGATCCGCCCACCTCAGCCTCCCAAAGTGCTGGAATTACAGGCGTGAGCCATTGCTCCGGCCACAGAGATGCTACTTTTAAAGCTCCCCTGGTGACCCCAATGTACCGCCAAGGTTGAAACTAGGGTCCTAATGAGCCTATGATTTTACAGTTTGCTCTTGTCCCTTTAGGACGTGGATCACACTTATTTCTCTCACAAAGCCTTCAGTTTCAATCACAGAGATCTGGATGATCTCTGCTGGATGGATTCTCTCCAAGCAGTTGCACATGCTGAGCAGCGGTGCATGTTCGTCTGAAGCCAGGCCATTTCACTCCTGGCCCCTGAGTGTCTCTCATCCTCAACAACTGGCATTTATAACATATCTGCTTATTAAGAGGCACTGTACAAAGAAGTGCAGTGCTCAAGGAATTAGGTGTAAATGGCAGACATACCAGTGACAAGAACAATGTATTAAGAAAGCCGGAAATGTGAAAATCTAGGGTTATAGAAAGACTATATATATTTCGGCCAGGCATGGTGACTCACACCTGTAATCCCAGTACTTTAGAGGCTGAGGCAGGCAGATCACTTGAGCTCAGGAGTTTGAGACCAGCCTGGGCAACACAGCAAAGCCCCATCTCTACAAAAAATACCAAAATTAGTCGGGCATGGTGGTGCATGCCTGTAGTCCCAGCTACTCAAGAGGCTGAGGTGGGAGGATTGCTTGAGCCCATCAGGTTGAGTCTGCAGATTGCACCACTGTGCTTCAGCCTGGGCAACAGAATGAGACTTTGTCTCAGAAAAAGAAAGAAAGAGAGAGAGAAGGAAGGACTAGAGGGAGGGAGGGAAGAAGGGAGGGAGAAAGAAATATTTGGAACATATTCCCTTTACTAAAGTATTTGACTTCAGCCTTTTAAGTAACATGCTTCCCTTGGATCATGAAGTTTCTATCTACAGGCAATTCTTATTATTCATGGTAGTTATATTTTATAAAGTTGCCACAAAATTAGCAAATACTAAACTGTTGTTCCTAGGGGAAACATAGGGTTAAGTTCTTGTTCATAACATTTTCATCAATTGATCAATACATAGCCTTGTTTTATGTGTGCTTCTACTGAAAGGCACCTTATTGGCCAGGCATAGTAGCTCACGCCTGTAATTCCAGCACTTCGGGAGGCCGAGGCGGGGGGATTGCCTGAGCTCAGGAGTTCGCGATCAGCCTGGGCAACATGGTGAAACCGTGTCTCTACTAAAATACAAAAAATTAGCCAGGTGTGGTGGCCTGCGCCTGTAGTCCCAGCTATTTGGGAGGCTGAGGCAGGAGAATTGCTTGAACCTAGGAGGTGGAGGTTGCAGTGAGCAGAGATAGCGCCACTGCACTCCAGCCTAGGGGACAGAGCGAGACTTCATCTCAAAAAAAAAAAAAAAAAAAATTTAGGCCGAGCGCAGTTGCTGACGCCTATAATCCCAGCACTTTGGGAGGCCGAGGAGGGTGGATCACTTGAGGTCAGGAGTTCAAGCCTGTCCAACATGATGAAACTCCACCTCTACTAAAAAGACAAAAATTAGCCGGACATGGTGGCAAGCGCCTGTAGTCCCAGCTACTCTACTTAGGAGGCTGAGGCAGGAGAATCGCTTGAACCGGGAGGCAGAGGTTTCAGTGAGCCAAGATCCCGCCACTGCACTCCAGCCTGGGCAACAGAGCAAGATGCTGTCTCAAAAAAGAAAAAAAAAAATTAAAAACCATTGATTGTTGAAGTAATATTAACAGATGAATCACGTACAGGGTCCCCATCCCCTAGGCATCCTCTTATGCAGTAATAAGGGCCCCTGAGGTTATTTAAATACTTCAAAAACGAAATGGAAACTGTACATCTACCAAGAACGCCTGCTAAGGCGAATTAAGCAATCAAATGTCTCACTGTTGGTTAGAATTAGATCAAAAGGGTAGAAGACACTGGGTAACTAAAATAGATGCTAATCAAAAGTTGAGATTGACAGTTATGTCTTTGGTTAATTGTAAACAGGTAAGAATTATTACCTACAAATAGGTAGAGGCAGCCTTCGAAGAGTAATTTTAGTTTATTTGTTCATTTAGAGGTCTGGTTCATGAAATGTCTGGGGACCACTGACCTATATAAGAGATCTAATTGCACAATGTCCAGGCAGTCTACCCAAGAACTTCTACATAGTTTCCAACTGGGAGACACAGCAAACAAGCTGAAATGTTATTATTAAACCCATGGACACCTGATTCATTGTCATCTATCAGGACACCATCATGTTAAACAAATATATTCCCAGGAAAATCAAACCCATACTGCAGGATAATGGAGGGGTGGGGTTCGTTTTGGTTTGGTTTTGGTTTGTTTTTATCCAATACACTTAATCTGCCTAAGGTCCCCATCCTACCTCAAAATACCTGCATTTCTCTTCAGAAGCAGTCTGTTCAGTATGCATCCATTTTCATTTTATTATTTATTTATTGTTGCCTTTTCAACTATTACTGGTCTAGAAATAAGGTCACTGTATGATCTTTTCACTGAAAACTGATTAAATTTAAAAACACACACACACGCACATACACGTCTGGCCTCTAGCCATGTAATGGCAGTACCGATGCTAACAGCAGCTGTTCACTGTGTGCCAGCCTCCACCCAAGCATTTCGCCTGGACTGTCCCACTGCCTGCATTCAACACAATTATTTCTGCTGAGCCTACCATGTGCCAGACACTGTTCTAGGCACAGAGAATACAACAGTGAGTGACACACAGTTCCCTGTTGGTGCCAATTGCTGTGGAGAACATGTAAGCTGGCTTTAAGTCTTTCAGCCTGGAGGAGGCCAAGATGTAACTTTCTTCCAGTGTCCCAAATCTGGGTTCATCTGACACCAGCCGACTTGACCATGCCACCTAAGTTGGACCCTAACAAGATCAAAGTCGTATACCTGAGTTGCACCGGGAGTGAAGTCAATGCCTCATCTGTGCTGGCCACCAAGATCAGCCCCCCTGCGTCTGTCTCCAAAAAAGGTTGGTGATGACATTGCCAAGCCAACCAGTGACTGGAGGGGTCTGAGGACTACAGTGAAACTGACCATTCAGAACAGAGAGGCCCAGATTGAGGTGGTACCTTCTGCTTCTGCCCTCGAAGCCTTCAAGGAACCACCAAGAAATAGAAAGAAACAGGAAAACATTAAACACAGTGGAAATATCACTTTTGATGAGGTCGTCAACGTTGCTCAACAGATGCATCACCAATCTTTAGCCAGAGAACTTTCTGGAACCATTAAAGAGATCCTGGGGACTTCCCAGTCTGTGGGCTGAATCTTGATGGCTGCCACACTCATGACATCAACAATGGTGCAGTGGAATGCCCAGCTAGTTAAGAAGCACAAAGGAAAACATTTCAATAAGGGATCATTTGACAGCAAAAACCACAAAAAGAACATGTAAGCCAGAAAAGGGACAGTGAGTACTGTGGCACAGGGTTGCAGGGGTGACTTTAAGTAGGGGGACCAGAAAAGTCACTGAATGTCTATAAAGACATCTAAGCCTTGCCGTGAAGGAGACGAGGGGCCCACTATGGGGATATCTAAGAGAAGAGCATTCCCTCCAGGAGGCAGAAACAGCATGCAAAGGCCCTGAGGCAGGGAGGGCCTCCATGTACTGGAAGACCAGCAAGGAGGCCAGCACGACAGAGAGGGATAGCTGAACAGAAAAGCAGGAGGCAGAGGTCAGAGAGGTGAGTGAGGTCAAGCCATGCAGGGTCGGTGGGCCTCTGGAAAGGCCCCAGGAAGGGCTCAGGCTTTCAACTGATTCAGATGGGAGCTAGCCCAGGTTTTTGAGAGAGGAGTGACATCAGCTGACAGTGTGTTCAAAGGCTCGCCCTGGAGGCTGGGATGAATAGAGGGATGAGGGCAGACACAAGTAGGTCAGTTAGGACATTACCAAAATAATCTGAGTGGGAGTGACAGGATTGATGGGAAGTGATCAAATTCCAGATGTAGTCTAGAAAACAGGATTTGCTGGCCAGCACGGTGCCTCATGCCTGTAATCCCAACACTTTGGGAAGCTTGAGCCCAAAAGTTTGAGATCAGCCTGGACAACATAGCAAGACCCTGTCTCTACAAAATATTTAAAAATTAGCCAGGCATGGTGGCAGGCACCTCCAGTCCCAGCTACTTAGGAGGTTGAGGTAGGAAGATGGTTTGAGCCTGGGAGGATGAGGCTGCAGTGAGCTATGATTGCACCACTGCACTCCTGCCTGGGCAACAGAGTGAGACCCTATCTCAAAATTAAAAAAAAAAAAAAAGGAAAGAAAACAGGACTTCCTGATGAAAGGATGAGGTTATCATTAACAGATATGGAGAAGGACGGGGGTGAAACAGGATTAGAGGGGAAGGTCAGAAATTTGGTTTTGGATCTGTCCAATTGACATGTCAAGCATACAACTTGTGCCAAGGTCCAGGTGGTAGGTGAATATGTAAGTCTGGAGCTTGGGAGAGGCCTGGGTCAGAGATGAAGATGAGGGCATCATCACCATGTAGATGTTCTTTAAAGCCATGGGACTAGACAAGGTCTCCAACAGGATGTCCACAGGAGAAAAGTTCTAGGAATAGACTCAGGGCCCTCTCACCCTAAGAAGTCTGGGGAAAGAAGAGCAGCTAGCAAGGGAGAATGAGAAGTGGCCAGCAAGGTTGCTGGGAAAATCAGAAGAGTAGGAGGCCGATTGAAGAAAGTACTTCAAGGAGCAGAAAGTAAGCAAGCGGGTTAAATGTGGATGGTAGGCCAAATAAATCAAGAATTTGAGAACTGACCTCTGGATTGAGCAACACTGAAGTCACTAGGGACTCAGACAAGAACAGTTTTAGTGGTGTGGTGGGAGCAAAAATATGCCCCATGCTAAGTGGTGGACAGGTAGGCTGACTCCTGAGTCCAAGCTTTTAAACGCCATATTTATGCAGCCTTAACATGCAATAGACTTTACCTCTGATTCAGAGTCATATCTTTTTTCAGTTAATACCCTGCTAGTTGTATTGTTGCTGAGGAGCACCACCTGATTCCAAATCTAGAAAGGCTCTGTCCAGCTCATCTTCCCGATCCCAGATGATTGCCCAGATAAACCACACTGACCTTGTTACATCCTCAGGTGCCACCTTTCCCATTTTCTCTTTTCAAGTTAACACAGCTCAGGGGCTTTTCTGCTTTTTTATGCCAAGGGCTGTATCTTATTCACCTTCATATCCCCAAATACTGAAATACTTGCCATATACTACTACATAGGAGCTCAAAAAGAGTTTTTTAAAGAAATGAATCTTATCTTGTACAATTTCTTCAATACCTACAGATCTGTTCTGACCAAAGGGCACCCGGATTCCCACTGTGTGCACCAATAACCATTCCTGTGGAACACTGATCCTGCCCTACCAGACATGTCTTCAGCAGGGCACAGGCTGAAAGAAGAGTCTTCAGGACTCTTCTTTACCTTACTTTGCCCACTGGCGAGCCCCCGGACCCTTGCACTTACTGTACTGGTGCAACTGCCTCTGCCTCTCTCATACTGATATCCTCAGGGTAGGGCTATTTATCTCTACAAAAAAAAAAAATCCTTCACTACCCCATTTCACTGTTAAAATATATGGCAATTAGAAGAAGCCATAGATTTTAACATTAGGGTGGTTTAAAAGAAAAAAAAACTGAACCACGATTAACATGTCCCTTCTAACTTGTTGCAACTGTTCCCAGAAGGAAAAGACAACCGGGCATGGTGGCTCATGCCTGTAATCCCAAGACTTTGGGAAGCTGAGGCAGGAGGACCATTTGAGGCCTGGAGTTGAAGGTTACAATGAGCTATGATCACGACACTGCCCTCCATCCTGGGTGACAGAGCAGGACTGTGTCTCAAAAAAGAAAAAAGAGAGAGAGAAAACATGGCCATGGGTGACTGAGACACAGAAGCTACAAGCTTCTGAATCAAACTGAGATTTTAACAGACACCTGTGTAGTCCATCCAGTGAAAAAGAACAAGGCACAATGACAACTGCATATTGCAAGCTAACTCCGTAACACCCAGCACACCCTCAGCTCCTCCCATCCTAGCATCCCTGGACCTGCAATAACTGCACTTTTCCAAGATTACTCTTCAGCAGACCAGCCACAATGAAGCTGGCTTTACATTATCCTTTTCATTCAACAAATATTTTTTGAGCATCTGCTATGGCAAGGCACTCTTCTGGATACTGGGGATGCAGAAGCAAACAAAACAGACAAAAATCCCTACCCTTATGAAGATGACATAGGGGAAGGGGCAGCAATAAACAAAAATTTTTATCAGATGGTGATTAAGTGCTATAAATAAAAATAAAGCAGGGAAGGCAGATGGTAGTGGTGGCAGCAGTTGATGTCACCTTTACGAGAGTAATCAGGAAGAAACTCATTGAGAGACGCTTGAGCCAAAGCCAGATGGAGGTAAGGGAGCAAGCCTGTGGATAAATGAGGGGAGAATTTCCCAGGGGGAAGAAAGAGCAAGTATAAAAGGCATCAGGCTGGACACGGTGGCTCACGCCTATAATCCCAGCACTTTGGGAGGCTGAGGCGGGTGGATCATGAGGTCAGGAGTTCGAGACCAGCCTGCTCAAGATAGTGGAACCCCATCTCTACTAAAAATACAAAAATTAGCCGGGCTTGGTGGTGGGCGCCTGTAATCCCAGCTGCTCAGGAGGCTGAGGCAGGAGAATCACTTGAACCCTGGAGGCAGAGGTTGCAGTGAGCCAATGTAGCATCACTGCACTCTAGCCTGGGTGACAGATAGAGCAAGACTCTGTCTCAAAAAAAAAAAAAAGGCAGCAGGCAGGAATAGGAAAGAACACTAAGAGTTCTGTTTGACAAGAAAGAGACTCAACCTGCGTGGTGCTCAGGGTAAACCCTGCAGTGTCTAGGGGCCAATTTGGGCTCAGAAGACCTCTCTAATGATTAACCAACCATGAAAACCAAACCAGCTCTCAAGGCTACAGTCCTGCAGAATCCTATAGGGGCTGCTGCACTGGATTGGAGGCTGGATCCCAGGACTTCCACTCTAGAATCTCAAGACCCCAACCCACTGAGGAACCCAACCACAATGCCCTTACAGCATGTGGGTCAGACATACAGCATGTGTGCCGCTGATTGGCCTTCCCAATTCCGCAGGGGGTAAGACAGAGTTTGCCCACAGAATAGAACAGCAATTCTCAAAGTATGGTCCAGGGACCTGTGGGTGTCCCCAAGAGCCTTTCAGGGAGTCTATAAGGTCAAAACTGTTTTTATAAAACTAAGATATTTTCCTTTCACCCTCATTTTCTCACAAGGTACTGTAGAATTTTCTGGAGGCTACATGTGTGTGATGAGGTCACTGCTCTGATGGCTAATGGAATGTGTGCTATGTTGTGTTTTACTACTATCTCCATTAATTCACATAAAGTAAAAGTCTTTGAGGTTTTCAATACTTTTTTTTTTTTTTTTTTGGATATAGGGTCTCGCTCTTTCACCCAAGCTGGAGTGCAGTGGCACAATCACACCTCACTGGCCTCCACTCCCAGGCTCAAGGTTTCCTTCCACCTCAGTCTCTGGAGTAGCTGGGACTGCAGGCACATGTCCCCACGCTGGTAATTTTTTTTATTTTTTTGTAGAGACAAGGGTCTCGCCATGTTGGCCAGGCTGGTCTGCAACTCCTGGGCTCAAGTGATCCACCGCCTTGGCCTCCCAAAGTGCTGGGATTACAGGAGTGAGCTACCATGCCGGGCTTCTTTGATAATTTTTTGTAACGTAAAGGAGTCCTGAGACCAAAAGGTAGGACGATGGAATAAAGGACTCATAAAGACAGATTCTAAAGGAGAGAGATCTTATCCAGACTCACTCGTCATAATTACCAGTCGGTAATAGGTTTTGCAGAAGTGAAAGGCAATGTGCTTTCTTGTGAGGAGATGGACTCCTGCCTTGTCTAACAAGCATGAAGCGGCCACACCGCAACAGAGTTTGAAACCATGCCTGGTGCAGACTCCCCTCTCCAGCTGCCGCGCCTCCTGCCTTGGTAGAGGGCCGTCCGCAGCCCCGCGACGCCTTACAGAGGCGAACACCGTGCGTCTTCCCAGCCCGGAGCTCCAGGATCGGCTCTATTTGGCCGTCCTCTGCTTTGCTGCAGTTGGGATGAGGAATAAAATTGCGAATGGCCAGGGGTGGAGGCAGACCGGGGAGCTGCGCAGGTGTCATCAAAGGTGGGCCTCTAAATTCCAGCCCCCACTCCCTCAACCCACCCCCAACCCCCCCCACCCCCGCGTCGCGGGCGCACCAGAAGGATAAGCCTGGCATGGCCCTCTCCAGAGCCAGGGACGCACAGATATCAAACCCACCGGAACAAATGCGCGAAATTCAACCTATGCCGCACTCAGAAGAGAGGGACTCGAGAACCACAGAAAATTCTGAGTGTAGGAAAACTGATCAGAGAAGGAAATATTCATCTCGAAAGAGGTCCAGCCTCGGAGACGCAAGACCTGTCCGCTATAGAGCTGTGTTGACTCGGGCAGGTCACTGAGCCTCCCTTGCCTGGGTTTCCCTCACCCACAAAACGTTGATGCGAACATCTAAAGCGCCCGGCTGGACACGCAAGGCTCGGACAGTGGTCACTCCGCGAACGCACTCTGTGACCTGGAGCACACAGGTCCCCCGCTGAGTGTCAGTTTCCCAGATCGGTAAAAACAAGGGAAATGGCTTCAACTCCCTAAAGTCCCTTCTAACTCAGGCACTGAACATATGAAGGTTAAGCCAAGCAGCTTCAGGGCGCTGTTAATATTTTGATAAGAGCAGGTGAAATTAAACTCTTAAGGAAGAGAGGGAAGAAGAAACTTCAAATAAATGTGCCCAAGTTCCTGGTCCGGTACTCCCTGGCGGATCCGTCCCCCGAAAGCTCGCGAAAATGGCTGGCGAGACCCCAGAGGCTCTCTCGGACGCCCTTGGGCTGGCGGAGGGCAAAGGCCAGGGCACTGAGTCGCTTGGAGCCTGCGGGCTGCGCCCCCGCGGGAAAGGGGAACCCGAGGGCACGGAGAGGAGAGCGAGCAAGGAGCGCCGCGGTGCTAGGTGAAAGCCCAGCCGCGGAAGTCGGCTCGGGGTCCGAAAGCGCTGCTTCGCGGGGTTCGGAGGGAAACCATCCCAAGGAGGTGCAGAGAGGCCGGCTCTCCAGCACCCGACGCGCGCCTTACTTGGGGCTTGAGCTCGCAGTTGGCGGTGCCGGGCGCCCCGCGCCGCGAAGCTGCGCCCGTGGGCAGGAGGCAGAGGGTCTGCAGCAGGAACCAGCTCCAGGGACTCATCCTCCTCAAGGCGGCTCCGAGGCCCGGAACGCGGAGGGAAGGAGTAGGGCAGAGGTGGCCGCCCGCCCTGGCTAGCCGGGGCCGCGGGGCGCCTCCGGGCGGGGCTGGGGTGAGCCCGGCAGCAGCGGCCACGTGGGGCCGGGCCTCGACCTCCCTCCCCCCACCCCACCCCCGCAGGTCAGCCCCGCGCCTAGGCGGCAGCGGAGTCCCGAACCGCGTTTCTCCCGCCCAAACCCTGCCGGGGCCGCCGCCCACCTCGTGTGACCGCAAGAGGGGTAAAGTGAAGTTCCAGCGCTGTCCTAAATTCAACCTAAAATCGCATTGGTTCCTGCGTTTACGTCTGTGCTTATGCTGCCGATTGTGAGGGGAGGGTGCCTCTTGATTGAAAGAGGCAGACAAAATAAACAAATGAAAGGCTATCTATAAAGGAAAGTTCATTTAAACAAAGGAAATCTCACGGAAGTTTTGAATGTAAAAGAGAGAGGGGAATGGTCAGTGTGTGCATCCACTGAAAATCCAGGACCACAAAAGCTGGCACTCCATTAAGAGCCCTCTTAATGGATTTTTAGGAATAATATTAAGGATGTTAACACCGAACTCAGAGGATTGCCGCAAGGATTAAAAGAGGAAATTTATGAGAAACACCTTGATTGGCACACATAGCAAGCCTGCAAACTGCAGTCGCTCCCTTTCGGCTCCAAAACCCCACTGAGGATTTTTCACAGCATTGGTCCATCAGGAAGAAAAAAAAATTATGAAAGCAAGTAGCTGTGCCCCGCCTGCCGCACCTCCTACCCATGCCTGAGCGCACTTTACCACCACCTTTTAAAGTCCAGACGTCTGCGCCATTAACTTCGGAGTGGTGTTCGCAGGAGCATTTGTCGCAGTGGTCTTTAATTGCTTTAAGTCGCTGTCCATTTTGAGAATCTGATAACTGGACGATCTCCCAGGGAAAAAGAAAAGGGGGGGGGCAGATTTGCATACAATGCGGGGAGAGGTTTTCTGAAGCCCATTTCCAACTTTCCCGTAAAGAACCCCTGGCTTTGAAGAGCCAAGTCTTTCGAGATTTAACTCCACCAACATTTAGAGTTCAGATGTTTTTGTAAAATCGCTTTTTTCTAAGTTTGAGTGGGGATTTGCTTTCTGGAATTGACTGTCTCCTGTCTTCAGATGACTGCCCCGTGTCAGCCCGGCGGCAATCGTTAGTCTCCGGGCCAACCCAGGACGATGCTTTTTGGCGTTTTCAGGCACCAGCGCTGCCACCTGCTGGCAAAAACTTTCTCTTTCGGTTGTGAGGGGGAAAAGCAAAAAGCATCAAGAACGTAAGTTGCCCTGAGCTAAGATCGAACCACTGCACTCCAGCCTGGGCCACAAAGTGAGACCCTGTCTCTTATTTAAAATAAAACAAAACAAAACAAAACAAAAAACTCAAAAGGATGTAATTACCTATTATTTCATGTTATCTCTCCCACTCCAAATGAATCAATCCGTGTGGCCACAGAGAAGCCCGCCCAGCTTCTCTCTGAGCTGGGCTTCTCTCTGGCCACACAAAACATGGCTGAATTTGTTTATTTTCTCCTGTTGTTTGTCTCTCTTTTATTTCGTTGGTTTCTGCTCTTATCTTTGTTATTTCCTTCTGTTTGTTTACTTTTGGGTTTACTTTGCTTTTTTTCTGGATTCTTAAGGTGGTACCTTAAGTCATTGACTTTAAGTCTTCTTGCTTTTGTAATATAAGCATTTAAAGTTATAAATTTCCCTATAAGCACTGCTTTAGCTACATCACCCAAATTTTGAAAAACTGTATTTCATTATCTTTCATTATCTACTTTCCCTGGTGATTTTCTTCTTTGCCCGTGGATTATTTAGAAGTAGGTTGATTGATTTCCAAACTATGGAATTGTCCTAAATATTAGGTTGGTGCAAAAGTAATTGTGGTTTTTGCAATATCAACAGATTTATAATCCAATTCTGTTGTAAACAGAAAACATACTCTGTATGATTTTGATTATTTTGAATTTATTGGGACTTGTTTTATGGCTCAGCATATGGTCAGATACTGAGTATGAAATATCATATCCATATCCAAAGTACCTAGATAATTTTGTTTGATTCTGACAGTTTTTAAATGAAGTGTTTTTTTTGTTGCTGTTGTTGCTTTGTTTCGTTTTGTTTTTTCTCTTAGCCAGACCCATCATCAAGTAGGATTTATTCTGTAAGACACTCAGTGTCCGAATATTCTATAGAATCACATCTACTCTACTTACATGTTTCCACAGACATTCCTAAGTTCACTATCATCCCACAGTGCTGACCCAGACCTGGTGACAGGCTGACATGGCCTGGTCCTCACTTGCCTTATACAGACATCTGGGTTGCAGGCCTTTCTGCCTTTCCCTTCCTGGTTAGGAAGGAGATGTTAAATGTACCCATGTCCTCCTCTCTGCTTATCTGCCGAGTTTCTGTATCAAGTTTAGCTCCTTAACTTCAGCTTTGTTACTGGATCATACCTCTGGCTGCCCATTGCCAGAGCCCTGAATTGCTTCTGAACCTTCCCTGGTCCTTTCTCTTTCCCCTTTCATGTATGGTTGATATCCTTGGCAACCCTCCCATATTAGTCCATTTTGTGCTGCTATAGAAGAATACCACAGACTGGGTCATTTATAAAGAACAGAAATGTATTTCCTTACAGTTCTGGAGGCTGGAAAATCTGAGATCAAGGTGCCTAGCATCTGGCAAGGGCCTCCTTACTGCATCATCCCACTGTGGAAGGTGAGAGCACAAGAGAGTGAGAAAGAGAGAAAAATCGAGATTGAGAGCTAAAGTCATCCTCAAGCCATTCATGAGGTCATGAGGGTAAAGCCCTCCCATGATGTCCCAGCTCCCAACACTGTTGCATTAGGGATTAAGTTTCCAACATATGCTTTTGGAGGACACCTTCAAAGTATAGCATCCGCTTAGGTCCATCTACTCTTAAGTGCTTCTTTTGTGCCCCTAGTAATGACTTTCTGAATTTACACAAACCTGTGAGGCTTGTCCCCTTCATAGCAGTACCTGAGAAAATTATACTGCTGATACCTTTTTGCTCTTTCCCCAAAATCAGATTTACCCTCAAAAATAAAGTTTTCAGAGTATGCAGAGGATTTGCTATGGCTTCAGCAACACTCTGTGCCTTCACCCTGCCTTTTTCTACCTGGCTTGGCTGACCTGCAGTCATCCACAGATTTCCAGAGGTGATCGGGACATCAGAGGTGTGGTGGCAGTTCCCCTTGATTCTGCCTCCTGATATTCACACTTATGTTTCATACCCTGTCCTTTATTGTAACCAGAACCTGAGACTTGCTTCTAACAATGAAATACGGCAAAGGTCATGGGCA
The DNA here is from genome assembly GCF_000001405.40 of Homo sapiens. Taxonomy (NCBI): domain Eukaryota; kingdom Metazoa; phylum Chordata; class Mammalia; order Primates; family Hominidae; genus Homo; species Homo sapiens. Next base: position 84,884,414 of record NC_000002.12, read on the forward strand.
GTGCTGTGATTACTTGTACATGACTACATAAACATGTACTGCTAGTCTTGCTAAAGTCTCTCTCTCCATTGCTATCTTTCCCAGCCTCCAGAACTGTAAGGAAATGCATTCTGTTACTTATAAATGACCCAGTCTGTGCTATTCTTCTATAGCAGCACAAAATGGACTAATATGGGAGAGTTGCCAAGAATATCAACCATACATGAAAGGGGAAAGAGAAAGGACTAGGGGAAGGTTCAGAAGCAGTGAAAATCTCTCTCTCCATTGCTAAGCAAGTTGCCATGAGACCTACAGAATTCATGAAGACATGAATTCTGCCAACAACCTAAGAGAGCTCAGGAGCAGATCCCTCTCCAGTTGAGCCTCCAATGAAAATCCAGTCCTAGCCAACAACACCCTGACTGTAGCCTTGTGAGACCCTAAGCAGAGGACTCAATTAAGCTCTGTCTACACTCCTGATCCAAAGCAACTGGGAAAATAAATGTGTGCTGTTTTAAGCCACCAGGTTTGTGGTAATTTGTTGCAGCAGCAATAGATAACTAATACACCAGGGGAAGTGGGATGCTAAGCACATTCCCAGGAGTTCCAGCATGGTGCTCGGCCAGCAGGCTGTGTCCGTCCTCAAGGTGAGCAGTTGAAGACCTAAGTTGATGGAGGTGTGGAAACACCTACTCCCTCCACTGCCAGGTGTGCAGGCTCCGTGCATTCTTGGAAAGGGGCTGAATGTTGCCACACTCCCTCGCCCACCCAGTGTTGGCACAAGAATTTCTAAGTAGGAAAGAGTGGCAAGTATGCCAAAGCTGCATTTGCTTTGCAGCACACTGCTTGTACCAGATTGTGAAAAAGAGAAAACATCCCTGGACAGCTGGGAACTGGTCTGGTTTTATCAGTCAGGCCTTGGTGTTGCTACAAGCTGGCCTGGCACTCACAGCTAAGCCATGGTGTTCTCCTGTTGAACATAAACAACTTCACAGAGCATCAACATCAGACAAGGCCACTCTGTGATGAATGAAGATGAAAGCAAAACCCCTCCATAATCACATCTCAACACAGACAAAACATGAACATTGGCCAAGTCACAAGAAAGGGTGTCCAGTCATCCGCCTCTTCTGACTAAGGAGTGATGGCTGCTCCTTTACCAAGGCCAGTTTTCACCTCCATTCATTTCTCCCACCTCATAGATGAGATACGTTAAGATTCTATTTGGGGATAAATTAAGATCCCCCAAAATTCATACATTAATCCCCTAACCCCTAGTGCTTCAGAATGTGACTGTATTTGAAGATAAAGTCTTTAAATCGATGATTAAGTTAAAATTAGGCTGTAAGGATGGGCCCTAATCCAATCTGACTGGTGTCCTTATAAAAAGAGGAAATTTGTGCCAAGTATGGTGGCTCATACCTGTAATCATAGCACTCTGGGAGGCCAAGGCAGAAAGATGGCTTGAGCCCAGGAGTTCGAGATCAGCTTGGGCAACAAAGGGAGACACTGTCTCTACAAAAAAAAAAAAAAAAAAAATTAGCCTGGCATGGTAGTGCATGAATGAGGTCCCAGCTACTCAGGAGGCTGAGGCTGGAGGATCCCTTGTGCCTGGGAGATCAAGACTGGAGTGAACCATGGTCTCCACTGTACTTCAGCCTGTGCAGCAGAGTGAGGCCCTGTCTCAAAAAAAAAAGAAGAGAACAGCACGGACTGCATACACAGAGGGGCAACCATGTGAGTAACACAGAAAGAAGGCAGTCATCTGCAAGCCAAGGAGCGAGGCCTCGGAGAAGAGACCTGCCAACACTTTGATCTCAGACTTGCAGCATCCAGAACTGTAAGAAAATAAACTTCTGGGCTGGGCACGGTGGCTCACACCTGTAATCCCAGCACTTTAGGAGCCCAAGGCAGGCAGATCACCTGAGGTCAGGAGTTGGAGACCAGCCTGGCCAAAATGGTGAAACCCCGTCTCTACTAAAAATACAAAAATTAGCCAGGTGTGGTGGCATGCACCTGTAATCTCAGCTACTCAGGAGGCTGAGGCAGGAGAATCACTTGAACCCAGCAGGCAGAGGTTATAGTGAGCCGAGATTGCACCACTGCACTCCAGCCTGGGCAACAGAGCAAGGCTCTGTCTCAAAAAAAGAAAAGAAATGTCTGTGTTTAAGCCACCCAGTCTGGGGTATTTTTTATGGCATCCCAAGCTGACTAATACTTGATAGCACCCAACCCAGAGCAAAGCCCCACTTCCTTGAACTCTCCCCCAAATCACCTGACAAGTCCAAATCCTATAACAAGCCCTCCTAACACCTTCTTCCTGATATGCCCTACAATTCCCCAAAATATGAGAAAATTTGGACACACAAAAGACACACATCAAGAGAATTCTCCCTCATCGCAAAGAGCAATAAATCCAACTAATGCAATTTCAAGTGTGTCCCTGGTGGTCTATGGCTGAAGGGCATTGATCATTGTATGTCTACTTAGAGTGACGTTGGCCAGCCCCCATGCCATCCTTGTGCTTCCACTGGTCTCCTGCCCCTCCCCGCCCTGCATATGTGTCACATGGTGACACTATGCTAGGTGAATGCTCACTTGCTCCTAGAAGCCGGGTGCAATGCTGGTGCCTGTACAAAGGAGTCCTGACAGAAAGAGCTTCATAATATGTCGAGATGAACTGGGGCCTCCCAGGAGGGCACAGGAAAAACAATGGGTGGTCACTGTTCAGCTAGCTTCAGGTTTTTGCCTCGCTATTTGGGAGACACCAGCAGAAGGAAAGAGCTGAATTGCTGGACATTGGAAGAAAAAGGGTTTTTTTTACCAGAGAGGGGCAGAAGGGTGAAGAAGCTAGAGGCAAGGAGACTGGAGACACCCATTAAGGGGAAAGACAGCAGAGATGTTGACAAGGGGGTTTTGTGATGGCTTACTGTTGAAAATTTTCAAGAAATTTCCAGTGATATTTAAATTACACACCATTCCTTTAGAGGTGGGTTTTAGATCTCTGACAGTTGGCATAAGGTTTCACTGTGGGCACAGAGAAGAGAGAAGGCCTTCCACAGGGGGCCCAGCAACACACGAGTGACAATGAGCTAAACATTTAGTTTTCACTATGAGTAAACAAGTAAACAAAACTAGGAATTTTTTCTAAAAGTGGCCTGAATGATCGGTGAGTTCTTACAAGGCAGGGGAGTGATTGTTCTATAAAACCTTTAAAAGCTCTAACTTGCAGCCAGGCACGGTGGCTCACGCCTGTAATCCCAGCACTTTGGGAGGCCGAGGTGGGTGGATCACCTGAGGTCAGGAGTTTGAGACAAGCCTGGCCAACATGGTGAAACCACATCTCTACTAAAAATACAAAAATTAGCCGGGCATATTGGCTCATGCCGGGTAGTCCCAGCTACCCGGGAGGCTGAGGCGGGAGAATTGCTTGAACCCAGGAGGCAGAGGTTGTGGTAAGCCAAGATCATGCCATTGCACTCCAGCCTGGGTGATGGAGTGAGACTCTGTCCCAAAAAAAAAAAAGCTCTAACTTGCTATCCAATGCATACCCTGCATCTTTTCTAGAAACTGCTTCATTCATTTATGCAACACCCTTATCGAATACCTGAACAGTTCAGTGCCAAGTGAGGGTTTATACAGATGACTGTGGCTGGGTGCAGTGGCTCCCGCCTATAATTCCAATGCTTTGGGAGGCCGAGGCGGGCAGATCCCCTGAGGTCAGTAGTTCGAGACCAGCCTGGCCAACATGGTGAAACCCCGTCTCCACTAAAATTACAAAAATTGGCAGGGCGTGGTGGCATATGCCTGCAGTCCCAGCTACTCAGGAGGCTGAGGCAGGAGAATCGCTTGAACCCAGGAGGCAGAGGTTTCAGTGAGCCGAGATCACGCCACTGTACTCCAGCCTGGGCAACAGAGTGAGACTCTATCTCAAAAAAAAAAAAAAAAAAAAGTGACTGTGACAGGCATGACTCCTGGCCCCACGGAGCTTTCTATCAAGAGCTGTTATTGCTGGTTGCACATTAGAATCATCTGGAGAGCTTTTACAATGACCAAAACCTGGGCCTCACCCTGATTAACTAACTCAGCATTTCTGGGGGGGTGTGGCCCCAGCATCAGCATCCTTAAAGCTGCCCTGGCATTTCTAATATGCAGCCAAGATTGAGAGACAGAAATTTCACAAAAAGGAAATTACAGGATGGTAGTGTGGGTGGTGTGATGAGGGTCCATGACAGCCCATGACCCCACCGTCATTCTAGGGAGAGTTTCTACAGGAATGTCAACTAAACAGAAACCTCAGATCTGAGTAAGAGTTAACCAGAAAGCAGCATTCCAGTGAGAAAGAACAGCAGAGACAAAGGCCTTGAGGCATGAGAGAGAGTTGGCTGTGTTCATGGAATTCAGTCTTGTTGCACATAGATCAAGGCAGGTAAGGGTAAGCCAGAGAGATAGCAGGAGCTGGAAGTGAAGGGCCCCAGAGCTGAGATGAGGAGTTTGGCCCATATCTTGAAGACGTGGCAGAGCCATCAAAGTGTTTTAAGCAGGGGAATTGTGTAATCATACATACACTTTAGAGAGATCACTCAGACAGCAGCACGGAAGGGAAGCTGGAGAAAGTGAAAGCAGAAGTGGTAAGACAGTGAGGGGACATGAGAGGGACCTGCACCAGGCTCTGGCAGGGGTCAAAGAGAAGTGCTATCATAAAAGTAAAATCCACCGCACTTGGAGGTTAATTGGATGTAGGCAAGAGGGAGAACAAGAAACTTCCCGGAATTAGCACCCAGAAAGGGCCTCTAGACCACACCCTCTGGCCTCAACTCCACAGCCACAGTGCTGGTGGTGATGGAGGGTGAATACTCATAAGACCCCCAGTTTCATCAGCGTTTCAGTGGTCCTTCAGGCAACAAGAGAAGCAGGGGGAAAGGGAGTCTATCTCTCACTTCCTCCAAGATTAGGAACATCAGCTTCTTCTAGATCCCCCAGACTCTTTTACCCCAGCCTCCCCCTGAAGTCTCTTGAACTCCCACTGTCCTCTAGTCTTGCCTGCCTTTAGTAGAGTATCACCATCTCACGCAGTTTCCTTTTGTCCTGAGCACTGTGAAAAGGACTTGGGCCCCGGAAGCAGACAGAACTGGAGTCACATCTTGTCTGTGCCACTTACTAGCTGTGTGATCTTAGGTAAGTCACATAACATCTCTGAACTTTATCTTCTTCATCTGCAAAATGGGAATCAGAATATTTGTCTTGCAGGGATGTTGTAAAGACAATAACTAATGTAATATATAAAGAGCCAAGCAGAATATATGAAAACTGACAAAACATAATACACATAATGTAGAAAGCTCCTAATTTTTAAAAAAGAGAAAGAAAAAGGGTTATCAGGCTATTTGGGAAATCGGCAGAGATCATAAAAAGACAAAAAAAAAAAAGAGAGAGAGGAGTAAGAGGAGAAAGAAAAGGAGGGAAAGAAGAAAATGAGAGAGGGAAAGGAGAAATATAATAGTGCATGAAGAAATGAAAAAATACTCACTAGCTAATGAAATAAAAGCAAATTAATGTGGGAGATGGATAACGATGATAGCCTGACAATGTGAATGTACTTAATAGCACTGAACTGAACACTTAAAAATGATTAAAATGGTAAATTTTATGTTATGTATATTTTACCACAATTTTTTTAAATAAAATAATGTTTAAAAGCAAATTAAAACAGGTACATTTCCACCTCTCAAACTGGCAAAAATAGAAGCATGGCAATATGCAATAGGAAAGTAAAAGCATTTTGTTTTGTTTCAGTTTTATTTTGTTGTTGTTGTTGTTGTTGTTTGAGATCAAGTCTCACTCTGTTGCCCAGACTGGAGTTCAGTGGCGCGATCTCGGCTCACTGCAACCTCCCCCTCCCAGGTTCAAGTGATCTTGTGCCTCAGCCTCCAGGGTAGCTGGGACTACAGGCATGAGCCAATATGCCCGGCTAATTTTTGTATTTTTAGTAGAGATGTGGTTTCACCATGTTGGCCAGGCTTGTCTCAAACTCCTGACCTCAGGTGATCCACCCACCTCGGCCTCCCAAAGTGCTGGGATTACAGGCGTGAGCCACCGCACCCAGCTGTGAAAGCTTTTTGTAAGGCAGTTAGCACCTAGAAATTCCAGGAAAGGAATCTGTTCTTGGGAAATATTGACTCAATACACACGCGCATACAGACCGCAGTTAGGGAATCAGTGAGCTGGTCACTGAAACATTAAAACAATGAAACAATCCTTAGAATTTGAAAGTTACAAATGCGGTAGATCTGCAGACTCTAGAATGAGAAGACAGCAAATTAATGACTTATCTGGGGAGGGAGTGAGATGGGTGTGGGGTGGGGGAGGGAAGGAAAGAGGGTCTTTCTGCTTCTACTCTGTACGCTTCTGTATTTCTGATTTTTTTTTTTTTTTTTTTAAATAACAAGTACAAGCCAGGCACAGTGGCTTACGCCTGTAATCCCAGCTCTTTGGGAGGCCGAGGTGGGCAGATCACCTGAGGTCAGGACTTGGAGACCAGGCTGGCCAATATGGCAAAACCCCGTCTCTACTAAAAATACAAAAATTAGCCAGACATGGTTTCAGGCGCCTGTAATCCCAGCTACTCGGAAGGCTAGTCAGGAGAATCGCTGGAACCCAGGAGGCAGAGGCTGCAGTGAGCCGAGATCTCGCCACTGCACTCCAGCCGGGGCCACAGAGCAAGACTCTGCCATCTCAAAAATACATACATACATATGTACATACATACATACATAAAATAACAAGCACATCTTTGATAATCTCTTAAATTTTAATGATTTTTTTAAAACTGGCTACTTCTTGAGCATGTATTATGTGGCCACTCCAATTGAGAGTGTGCCTTATACTTCAAAACATAACAATCTACTGATTCTTCCTAATGCCTGAAGAACTTCCCACAGCGTGGCTTGTTTGCCATTTTTCATGATCATAAATAATGCTGCAGGGAATAGGGCAGTGAAGAAAATGAATGTTGCAGAAAACCTCAGGATTACCATTCTTGTTAGTCCAACTCGTTCATTAGTAACAGTGGCCTCAAGAGCTGAGCCCCCATGCCTGGCCAGTCTTTCCAAGAGATGCAACATGCTAACAGCAACCCCTGCCCTGATCTGGCTGGCTGACTGCCGTGACCTCCACTTGGCCCCCGAGGCCCCATCAGCTATCGGAATACTGTCCTGGCATCTGGCAACTGGTCATTTTATGACCTGGGTAAAGGAAGTGTGGGGTGTTCTTTCCTTCTTCCTTCTTTCTTGCCAGAGATCTGTTGTTTCCTGGGTAGGAAGTTCCTTTTGCCACATGAATGGCGATCAATACGGGGCCTGGCCTCACAGACTAATCTTAGTGGCCTTAGCTGAGGAAGACTGTCTGCCCAGGTCCCCTCCCCCTGCAGACCATAGGGCGCCGTGGCCATGGGAGCGTCAAAGATCTGCTTTCCTTCTTGTGATGGCCCCTGTAGAACTTCCTCATGGGCCAGAATCCCGGCTTAAAAGGGAGCCTCTCTCCAAAAGTGCATGAACACGCTTATTCCAAGGAAAGGTCTTTCTCTACTAAGAAAAATACGCTTTACAGCCTCCCAGAAATGAGGACAGCAATAATATTATTTTTTCCAGTTGGTGCTTGTATACATATATATACCGTTTTATTAAAATACGTTTTGGGCTTGAGACTTTATAGTTTTCATAAAATAACTGCCATGAACACGCCAGTCACCCAGTATCTCCACATAACAGGAGCCACCCTGTGTGCAGCCCTTGATCAGGGAAGCTTAGCACAGGGAGGTTAAGTTACTTGGCCAAGGTTGTACATCTAGTAGGTGTTGGATTCAAACTCACAAAGTCTACCTTTAGAGTCCAAACTTTCACCCATTTCCCTGTACTGCCACCTCTCACTACCAGCTAGCATTTTCTTTAAGAAGGAGATGTATTACATATATGAGGAAGAAGATATATATATTACTATATCCTCTTTTATATATAATATATATTATATTATATATATAAATATATATATAATTATATATAGATATATATAATTATATATAGATATATATATTCTATATTCTATATATATATAATATATAATATATAAATTATATATAGAATATATATTATATATAATATATTATATATATTATATATAATATATATATTATATATATTATATATAATATATATATTATATATATTATATATAATTTATATATATTATATATAGAATATATATTATATATAGAATATAGAATATATATAATATATATAGAATACAGAATATATATAGAATATAGAATATATATAGAATATATATTCATATATAGAATATATACATATATAGAATATATATTCATATATATGAATATATATTCTATATAGAATTTGAAATATATTCTACATAGAATATATATAATATATTAATATAATATATAGACAGTATATAATATAATATACAGACAGTATATAATATACAGACAGTATATAATATATAATATTATATATAATATTATATATAATATTATATAATATATTATATTATATATATTATATAATATATTATATTATATATAATATATGTAATATTATATATTATATTATACATAATATATTATATATAATATATTATATATAATATTATATATATTATATATAATATATATAATAATAATATTATAATATATAATATATAATAGTACAGTATATATTATATATATAATTCTATATATAATATATAGAATTCTATCTATTTATAATATATATAGAATTCTATATATAATATATAATATACAGAATTCTATATATATTATATATAGAAGTCTATATATTATATATTATATATTATATTCTATATATATTATAAATATATAGAATTCTATATATTTTATATTTATATTCTATGTTTAAATATAGAATATATAGATATATATAGATTTTATATATAGAACTCTATATAGATTATATATAGAACTCTATATATAGATATTATATATAGATATAAATACATATAGGATTCTATATATAATATCTATATATAAAATCTATATATAGAGCTCTATATATAATCTATATAGAGCTCTATATATAAAATCTATATAGAGTTCTATATATAATATATAGCAAGTTCTATATATAATATATATACAGTTCTATATATATTATATAGAGAGAGCATTCTCTATATATAATATATATAGAGTTCTATATAGAGAGCTCTATATATATTATATAGAGAGTGCTCTCTCTATATAATATATATATTATAATATTATATATATTATATATATTATATATTATATTATATATAATATATATAATATAATATATAATATATATAATAAATATAATATAATATATATTATATATATTATATATAATATATATAATATATATTATATATAATATATAATATATATTATATATATATTATATATATTATATATATTATAATATTATATATATTATATATAATATATAATAATATAATATAAATATTATAATATAAGAAGAAGACAAAAGAGTACAATGAACCCATATATAAATATCACCCAGCTTTTGAAGGATATAGTAACAGCTCCAGGACTAGAATTCCGTGGAACACAGTTTGGGAATCACCGTCCTAGGTCAATGTAAATGGCTCCTCCAGCATTTGATCAGAACACGGTAAGGGCCATCCAGGTAGTACCCAGGAGAAATCAGACCAGGTGCACAGAGGAAGCAGAGACAGTATACAGGGAGAGCAGAAGGGTCAGGAAAGCAGGCAAGGGAGAAACTCAGAGCTCCCGGGGGCGGCTGGCAGCAGTCTGGTTGCAGCCCTAGGGCATTCTTAGCCTAAGTCCCCTGGTGTGGACACTGCAAGGGACTACTCAGGTTCCCCTTCAAGAAAGGACTTGTCGAACCAGCTGGCTAGGAATGTTGCCAGCAGGTAGCCTCCAGGTGTCATTCTCTGTAGCACTGCCTTGGCTACAGAGAGCCACCTCGCCCTTACAGTCTCAGCCCATCTCAGCCCATCTGCTTCAGCGCATTAGCTTCAGAGGTCCCCTGCGGTGTTGGGGGTACTGAGGGTGTCATTAAGCCTACATTGTCTAGGTTGACTTCTCCTTCTCCCCAATCCCACTTCCTTCTTCTGCTTCAATAGGAGTGAATTCAAGGGAACTCCTTAATAAATATCCTGCACATTAAACCTGTCTGATTTTGCTTCCAGGGAAACCTAAACTGACATGCCCTTTTTGCTTAAGGGATCCCAAGTGAGTCTTTGTTCCTTGCAATCTAAAGAGGATAATTAACACAGTCACCCAGCCAGTCACCATATTGGGGCTGGGATCACTTTTACACTGTACTTCCTTTACAGAAAACATACAGACATTGGGACTAGAGAAAGAAAAAACACATGGGAGAGATTTTTAAATTGTATGCAGTATATCAGGGAAAGAGGTCAAAATGTACACACTAAGACCAATACTTAGGAAGAAAGAAAAACGCAGCTTGCTTTTTGTCTGGCAGTGCTTGGGTGCCCACACTGGCAGATGGGTAGTAAGTGAGCCGATTAAAGGAAACTCAGTCTCTTCCTGTTTGAAGCAGTCTGCTAAGGCTTCACTCAGTCTCCCCGCAGAAATGCTTGGTCTTGAGTGATTCCTTCTCTCTCTCCTCCCCAGAAAGGTTCAAGGCTCAGGGGCTTCCTTGCTTCATGGCTGTCAGGAAGAAGAGGTTCTCCTGGCGCTTATCCTCTCCATCCTTGCTGCATCTGCCGCCAAATCCTCTGCTGCTGACACATCTCAGGGTCTGTTTTCTTGGCAGAGTCATGGAGGTGGGGGGCTCTTGATGAGTCAGACTTCCCCTTGACCTTCCTAACCTGGAAAATTCCCCAAGATCTAACTGCTACTTTCCCTAAATTCCTGGCTTGGACGGCCTTCCCTGGGGCCCTCTTCACAGAGCCAGTTCATTCCTGTGTGTTGAAACCAGCCAGCCTTGCAAACTTAGCCTCAGGAAGTTTCTATGTTTTCCCGTGGGGCAGTATTATCTTAGCAGCTGGCACCAAAACTCTACTGAGGAAAGGAATTGTCTTTGGGGATCAGCTGCTGGTAGTAGGAAAGGAGGCCCAAAAACCTCCTTTAGCCAGAATGAAGGAAGCAAGGAACATTGTTCTGCTGTACACTGAACAAGTACACTATTCTACTGGGGAGAAAGAGGAGAGTTGGTATTTCTCAAGGGAAAGAATTAAGAGAAGGAGAGAATCAGAAAGGGTACAGGAGGCAGGGTGCAATGGCTCACGCCTGTAATCCCAACACTTTGGGAGGCCAAGGCAGAAGGATCACTTGAGGCCAGGAGTTAGAGACCAGCCCAGGCAACATAACGTGACCTCATCTCTACTAAAAATAAAAACTAAAAAAAAAATAACTGGGCATGCGCCTGTAGTTGCAGCTGCTCGGAGGCCGAGGAGGGAGGATCACTTGAGCCAGGGAAGTTGAGACTGCAGTGAGCCGTGATCACACCACTGCACTCCAGCCTGGATGACAGGGCGAGACCCCTTCTCAAAAATAGATAAATAAAAAAAATTATGTTGGGGGGTAGGTGGAGATAGTGTAAGTTTGGGAATACTTGGGAGAAGCACAGGAGGGTCCCCAGTGGCACAAAGTTGTGTCATTAAAGATATGTCTGTCTCTCCCCATAACCCAAAAACCTCTGATAAAAGTTGTACTGCACATACCAGCCGTATATTGTTCCTCTGAAAAAGGAAATCACGGCCAAGGGCTATCTACATATGGAGGTGCATTAATGTGGAGACACAGAAACTCTGAGAGATGAGAAATAACTATAAGAACAGAATATGCCTGAAAATTCAGAAAAATCATGGGGAAGCATCAAAAAGGAGTTGGAATCATTCTTAGCTAGATCTTGGTCAGATTCCAGAGAACATCCGAGTTACACATAAAATTTCAGAAACATCTGTCTTGTGGAGGTGAAAGGAGAGTTTAGATGTGAAAGGGATGATTTCTGAATAATAGACGCCAAGCCACTGATAAAGGGATCCCTCTACAGTGGTGTTTCAACTGCTAGTCACAGCCAATTAGTGGGTAATAAAATCAGACTGGCAGGTCATAATCAGCATTTTTAATAAAATGATAAAATGGCAAGGAACCATTCAACACCACTAGCCATTAGGGAAATGCAAATTAAAGCCATGATGAGATATCACTCCACACCTATTAGAATAACTAAAATTAAAACACTGACAATACAAAGTACTGGTGAGAATGCTGGGAAACTGGATCTCTCCTACATTGCTGGTGGGAATGTAAAACAATACGACCACTCTGCAAAATTGTTTGGCATTTTCTTACAAAACTCAGCACACACTTACCAAATGATCCAGTAGTCCCAGCCTCCCAACCCTGGGCATTTATCCCAGAGAAATGAAAACTTCCGTCCACCCCCAAAAATGCACACAGATCTTCAGAGCAGCTTTATTTTTAATAGCCCAAATATGAAACAACCAAAATGTCCTTCAACAGGCAGTACACCCATACTATAGGAACACAAAGAAATAAAAGTGTATGAAGTACTCAACAACTTGGATGGATCTTGTTTCTGTCTTTTTAAAAAATATAGAGACAGGGTCCACTATGTAGTGGCTGCCAAGGGTTATGGGTAGGGATGTGTGGGACTATAATAGGGTAACATGAGGGACTCCTTGTATGGTGATGGAATAAATCTGTAACTAGATTGTGATAGTGGTAATACAACTCTATACAGGTAATAAAAATGCCTATGGCTGGGCCCAGTGGCTCATGCTTATAATCCCAGCACTTTGGGAGGCCAAGGCAGGTGAATCACTTGAGGTCAGGAGTTCGACACCGGCCTGGCCAACATGGTGAAACCCCATCTCTACTTAAAAAAAAAAAAAAAAAATGGCCTGTAATCCCAGCTACTTGGGAGGCTGAGGCAAGAGAATCACTTGAACCCGGGAGGTGGAGGTTGCAGTGAGCCAAGATCATGCCACTGCACTCCACCCTGAGCAACAGAACCAGACTCTGTCTCAAAAAAATAAATAAATAAATAAAAGCCTGAAACTACACATGCTCAAATGAATACATGTAAAAATTGGTGAAATATGGAAATAGTCTATAGATTGGATGAACGTTGATTTCCTGGTTTTGATTTGAATTATTATAGTTATGTAAGATGTTACCACTGAGAAGAGTTGGGAGAAGGATACCAGGGACCTCGGTTTACTATCTTTGCAACTTCCTGTGAATCTATCATTATTTCACATTAAAAAAAATTAATGAAAAGGAATAGAATAGGACAGAGAAGGTCAGAGTTCTTCATTCAGAGTAAGGGTGAATATTGTTCTAGTGAAACTTTTGTTTCATTTGTGAGTGCTCATGTGAGTACTGGGTAACAATATTAAAGGTACTTAATGTATTTCTTGGGGGTGGGAGTGACCTCTCAGGTCAACAAAAATTTTTAAACCACTGATCTACAGTATGCTTAGCTGACTCAGAGACCTACAGGAGCCAGGCAGATCATATGAAGAAGCAAAACGGGCCTGGTTCATTAAGATTGGTGTCACTCATCTTTCCCATGTACAGTCAAATCTCTTACTATGGCAGGTTTTATAATGATACAAATATTCTTTACTTTCACAAATAAATGTGCTTTCTTATTTTTCTTGAATCACATGGCACTCTTGTTCCATCTTTCCTCCTCATTTTTTTCACTTTTTTCTTTATTGTGGTAAAATATACATAGCATATAATTTATATTTTTAAGTGTACAGTTCAGCGGCATTAAGTGAATTCACATTCTTGGATGACCATCACAATGATTCATCTCTAGAGCTTTTTCATCATCTCACACTGAAATTCTGTACCAGTAACAAGAACTCCCCATTCTCCCCTTCCCCCAGCCACTGGTAACCACTGTTCTACTTGCTGTCTCTATGTATTTTCTCCCTATTTTTGAGAGTGAATTAGTTTATCTATTGCTGAGAAACAAATTACTCCAAAACTTAGCAACATAAAACATAAAGTCACAGTTTCTGAGAGCAACTTTAGTTGAATAATTTCTAGCTCAGACTCTCTTATGAGGTTGCAATCAACTCCACGGCCAGGACTGCAGTCCTCTGAAAGCTTAGCTGAGGCTAGAGGACCCACTTCCTCACTTACTCATGCAGTTGTTGGCAAGTCTCAGCTGCTCACTGGCTGTTAGCCAGAGGCTTCAGTTCCTCACCACATGGGCCTCTTCACAGGCCTGCTCAAAACACAGTAAGTGGCTTCCCCCAGAATGAGAAATCCAAGGGAGAGAAGGACAGAGCCAGGCACCAAAATGGAAATTACAGTCTTTTGTAACTTAATCTCAGAAATGCCATACTATCATCTCTGCCATATGCCATCAGTCACACAGGACAACCCCAGTACAATAGAGGAGAGGACTACACAAGGATGGGAATAGGAGGCACTTGCTGGGGCCATCTTGAAGGCTGGCTCACACAGAGACCAAGGATCAAGAAATATTTCTGGCCAGGCACGGTGGCTCACACCTGTAATCCCAGCACTTTGGGAGGCCGAGGCGGGTGGATCACCTGAGGTCAGGAGTTCGAGACCAGCCTGGTCAACATGGTGAAACCCCATCTCTACTAAAAATATAAAAATTAGCTGGGCGTGCTGGCGCATGCCTGTAGTCTCAGCTACTAGGGAGGCTGAGGCAAGAGAATTGCTTGAACCTGGGAGGCGGAGGTTGCAGTAAGCCAAGAATACACCACTGCACTCCAGCCTGGGTGACAGAGCGAGACTCCATCTCAAAAAAGAAAAAAAAATTCTGTACTATAAGCAGAACACCAACCCAAATATAATAAGCAGCAATTGACACTTGTTTCCTTGTTTCCATGCTGGAGAGACATTAAGGAATGATAGAAATCCAGTACAGTGAAGAGGACATGCCTCATTTCAAGGGGGCAGCTGTTCACTGTGGTGTTGCCATGAGAAAATACAGACCCAGTGCTACTAGATCTTCAGTACAGAAATCTTCCAATGTTTGGGGGTTGCCTGAAGTCTATGTTAAATTTAGTGTGGCCAGACAAAATACATATGCCAGCTGGATCCAGGCTGGCAGTTTGCAAACTCTGCCGCAGGGTCTAGGCAAGGGCGGTGCAGTGGTGAGGTGCCCAGGCTTTGGAATCAGCCAGACTTGGGATTCAAGTCCCAGCAATGCCAATGACCAGCTGTGTGACGTCGACCAAGGCTTAGATACCTATACTATAAAGCAGAGATGTTCAAAATCCTGCTATTTCACACTATTATTTTGTCGAGGATTAAATAGGATAATACATGTGAAGTCCTTACTGCCAAATCTGGAACACAGTATCTGCTCAGTAATGTAAGTCGCTGTCATCATCGCTATTCTAACAGCAGATATGGAAAATCAAACAGTAACATTCTCACTCACACTGTGGCCTTTAGCCACCTGGGCTACCTAAGCAACTGCCAAGGTTTACGTAGGCACTAATCCACACTGTTCTCCACAGAGCAGAACAATCTCTGCTGAGGCTGAACCTCAAAGGCCCATTTTATTTTCTTCACAATTTTATCTTGGATGAGCCCTTAAGCCCCATGACCTACAAAAACATACAGCAGTTTCATGGTATGGAGAATATGGAATTCACATCCTGATTTCTTTGCTTCCCCTGCCTCCTTTGTGTGAGGTTAGCAACTATTTTCAGGCTGGTAAAATCTTCAGGCTGGCAAAACTGGCACTCAGAAGGAGACTGTTTCACAAATGGAATAGTAGCAATAGACGGACCAGTAAGGTCATCTAGGGCAAGCTTTCCTCACTTGTGAGCCTATTCTGGCCCATCTCTATAACAGTCCAAATACTTGGCTATCCTCTTCTCATTGAGGATAGCCTTTTCTGATTGAATGCCTCCAATGACAGGGAACTGATCACTTACCCCAAAGTAGCTCATTCCATTTCAATTAGGAAGTTAAGCATTTTTTGCTCTGCCTGGAAATGGCCCAGGTTTATGCATTTGTTCAAAGAATATTGACTGAGCACTTACTATATGTCAGGCATTGCCTTAGGTGCTGGAGATACAGTGGTGAACGAGACAGATGAGGTCTCCCATTTTCTATGGCAGGACATAGACAATACACAAAGAAATGAATGTGTAGCATGTTTACTTGTATATTGGTTAGAGATGGATTCTATGAAGAAAAATGAAAGACACTAAAGAGCAACAGAATGGCAAGGGTGTTGCTCTATATGGATGGCCAAGGAGAGTTCTCTGAGGAAAGAGACACTTCAGCAGGTTCCTAAATGAAGGAAAAATGTGCGCAATGCATATGTTTAGGCCAAGAAGAGCATAAACGAGGGCAAAGGTCCTATAGCAGGAGTGAATGGTTTTCTCACATTCAAAGGAAATCTGGACTGGACTCTTTCTTCCTATCCATACAATCACAAATTTCACTGCCATTTGCCAGTTAACCACATTAATCATCTCTCCCTGTATTTGTAGGATTCATATTAGGGCCAGGAAGCTTCCACATCTGTCTCTATCAGGTTTATCTCATCACATTTTGTTCATTTCTCTACGGTATCCAGCTGGTTTTGGAGCTTAGAGATTCATCCTTCATAACATAATCATTATTCTATCTACATCCTCATTCCAGTCTCTGATAAAAGTGTCAAGTTGGACAAGTCTGAGGAATGAAGCCCCATGGCAAGCCTCCAAAGTTGACCCCCAAGTTGACAGTCATCAAGACTTTCTTAGTTCCTCTTATTAGTTCTACATTTTCCAGAACATCCTTCTTGACAAAGAAAATGGCAATGTCATTGCAGTTTAGTAGTTCAGCTTTGTCTATTCCATCTGTGAACAGTATAAAATCTGTTCCCAGCAGCAAGCTGAAATGTTGTCACATATAAATGGCACCCCAAGTCATAAGTGAATACAAGGCATGACCGTGAATATTGACTGACTTTGAGTCATTTACTACACTACACTTGTAACTCGAGAGTTTCATTGTATCTTCCACAGCCAGAATGCTCCCAGATATTTTGTGAGCATTCAATAAACATTTATTGAATAAGTATATGTGTGTTACTTTAAGTATCTAGGAAAAAAATCCCCAAATGAGATGGGAGTGCCTGGAATCACCAGGTTATAATTTATCTACCTCATGGTGTTCCAGTTATCTCATGCTGTGTAACAAAACATTCTCAAACTTAGTGTCTTAAAACAACTACATTTATTTTGCTCATGAGTCTGCAATTTCAGCAGGGACAACTCATCTCTGCTCCACTTGGCATTAGCTGGGGCAGTTTGAAGCTTCGAAGTCTCCTTCACTTGTGTGGTTAGTGGTTGATGCTGGCTGTTAGCTCTGACCTCAGCTGAGGCTGTGGCTGGAATGCCGACATGTGGCCTTTCCTTGTAGATGCTTGATTTTCTCACAACTTGGAGGCATCCTGAAAGAACATCAGAAAGAACCATGTGGTCTTTTATGACCTAGCCTCAGAAGTCACAAAGCATCATTCATTCCATGTGTTACTCACTAAAAGAAAGTCACTAAGGCCAGTCTGTACCCAAGAAATGGTGGGAAAATGTCAAAGAATATGCAGATGTTTTAAAACCACTGCCCATGGGACTGGCTGAGACATAGATTTTGACCATTGTCCTTAAGCAATGAATGCCTAAGAGGCTGCCTGCTATGGTAGAGATGGGCCACAGGGCTGCACTGAGCAAGAATAAGGAATGTCTGTCTGCAAGTCCCCCTAAAGCTCCTTTGTTTGGGAGTCTTGCATACTTACTCGGTCTCCAAACATAGGTCTCCATAGCTGTATTTAGAAGTCAATTCCTTTGTTTTCTCAATAAAGGGAAGTTGGAATGAAAGTTCACCATGGGTCCAAATTGGTACAATTGAATATTCCTACACCCAGGTCAAAGGTGGGGCCCGGGAATGTATTATAATAATACCTAAACAATTATTGGCATTGCAACTGAAAAGGAGTCAAGTGCCAGTGAAACCCTCCAAAGAATCACTGTCTCTGAAAATCTGGATATTTTTACATTCAATTTAGCAGATCCTTCAACAGTGTATGGCAGAGACCTCTCCAAGACCACCCAACCCTGCTTTCTTTTTCTCCTAGGGACAGCTAGACTATATTTCCCAGCCTTCCTTGCAGTTATGTGAAACCAAGTGAATGAGCTCTGGCCAAAGAAATGAGAGCGAAAGTAATGGAGACTACTTCCAAGCCTGGTCCATAAAAACTCTAGTGTGGTCCTCTAGCCTCTCCTCTTTCCCCATCCACTGGCTGGATGGTGTGGACTTCAAGGACCTAGACGAGAGCAGAGTAACAAGAGAGAAGGGGCCTGAGTTCCTGAGTCACTAGATGGAAAAGAATTGCCTGACCAGCAACATCAGCACAGAATATTGCTGCATGAGTAGAAAATAAACTTGTAGGCTGGGCGCGGTGGCCCACACCTGTAATCCCAGCACTTTGGGAGGCTGAGGTGAGTGGATCATTTGAGGTCAGGAGTTCGAGACCAGCCTGGCCAACATTGTAAAACCCCATCCATACTAAAAATACAAAATTAGCCGGGCATGGTGGTGCATGCCTGTAATCCCAGCTACTCGGGAGGCTGAGGCAGGAGAATCGCTTGAACCCGGGAGGCAGATATTGCAGTGAGCCGAGATCATGCCTCTGCACTCCAGCCTGGGCTACAGGGCAAGACTCCATCTCAAAAAACAAAAAAGAAAATAAACTTGTATTGCATTAAGCCACCTTGGGGGCTGTGTGTTACCAGTTGTTTGCTGACCCTGACGTGAAGTTCCACTTTCATTCAAGAAATGTTCACTACCCTCCCTCTCTTACCATAGGTGGAATATTTTCCCCACTCTGTTGATGGTGGGCTTGACCAATAGGATGGCAGCAAACATGACAGGATATGACAGGCTTTGACACTTTAACATTTCTACACTATCTTGCAGTACAACCCTCTTGCTATTCTGCCATCACCAAAGAATCAGCCAGAGGATAAGATACCTGTGGAGCAAACCTAGACCCAATACAAAGTCTGGAGCCAAGCTCAGCCCGGCCCAGCCCAGCACCATCTGACCTGCCCATATAGGAACAAGAATAAATCATTGTTTAAACTCCTAAGCTTTGGGTGGTTTGTTACATGGCATATTGCAGCAGAAGTTAACCAATGCACTCATCAAATATAAGTGTGATATTCTAATGAGGTTGCTATTTGAAGTATCCACTTGAGGCCAGGCACAGCGGTTCACACTTGTAATCCCAGCTCTTTGGGAGGCCAAGGAGGGCAGATCACTTGAGGTCAGGAGTTTGAGACCAGCCTGGCCAACATGGTGAAACCCCGTCTCTACTAAAAATACAAAAATTAGCCGGACATGGTGGCACGTGCCTGTAATACCAGCTACTTGGGAGGCTGAGGCACAAGAATCGCTTGAACCCGGGAGGCGGAGGTTGCAGTGAGCTGAGATTGCACCACTGCACTCCAGCCGGGGCAACAGAGTGAGATCCGTCTCAAAAAAGAAAAAAAAAAAAAAAAAAAAGCTGCAGTGACCTGTGATCCCACCGCTGCACAGAGACCCTGCTAAAAAAAAAAAAAGAAAGAAAAAGTATCCACTCTATGCCTCTTCTTTATCTCACCTCAGTTTATGCCAAGGCTATTTTATAGATGAAGAAACTAAGGAAAAGATTTGCCCAAGGTCACACAAGCCTATGCTCTCTTCCCACTGTTCCAAACTGAAGGAACGTGAGAAAAGCAGGTAAAATCAGGAGGGGAGAAGCAGGGAGTGGTGCTCAGGCTTGTAATCCCAGCACTTTGGGAGGTTAAGGCAGGCAGATGGCTTGAGCCCAGAAGTTCGAGACCAGCCTGGGCAACATGGTGAAATCTCGTCTCTACAAAAAGAACACAAAAGATTTGCCGCTAGTGGTGGTGCACGCCCGCAGTCCCAACTGCTCAGGAGGCTGAGGTGGAAGAATCACTTGAACCGGGGAAGTCCAGGCTGCCATAAGCCGTGATCACACCACTGCACTCCAGCCTGGGTGACAGAGTGAGACCCTGTCTCAAAAAAAGTAAATAAATAAAATCAGGACCGAATTTAGGATGTCACCACCAAATCCCACTTTAAAGAGCTCGGTAATACTTCACACTTAAAAAAGGAAAGGTCAGGACAAATAAAAGAATGACCAGCCTTAACTCCGGGGCTGGTAATTTATGGAACTTATTACCTAACGGTGTTGCACAGGCTGAAAATACAACTTTTCTAAGAAAGATGTGAATAATTGCAGTATACCACTCCTACAATGGGTTAATAAGAAAAACAAGAACGTTTGTAGGCATGTGGGTCTCTATTATCCTCAAGGTTAACTTCAAGGAGGAAAACCGCACCCGCTGATACAGTGTTTCTAGGAGCTCGACGAGAAAAGGCAAACTGCGAGCCTTCTCGGGACGCCCTGTTCCCACCACAGCCCTTCACACAATGCGTCTAACAGCATTTAAGGAACACCCGCCACGCCAACGATCCTGCTGGAACCGCCCAGTTCAGGGAACAGGGGACGACTGACCAGAAGGCAACCGCCCCCAACCTGAGCAAAGAGCGCTGGAAACCTATTCCCCCCTCCCCCTACACCCCCCCGCCCCCCGCTCCACTACGGGACCCTCGGCTCGAATTCTTTTAGTGCAGGACCACCTTAGGACTCAGCCTCCCTAAGGAGAGGAAAAGTGGGGGAGGGAAGGGGACTCTGGAGGAGCAAAAGCAAGAGGCCTGGGGGCGACTGGGGTGGGGCGTCTCCTAGAGCGAGGATTGCTGCAGAGTGCGCGTGCACGCCCGCACATCCACACCCACGGCTACACATCATATCTGCACACGCACAAAACCACACACCCTCCCACGCCGGTCCCATATCCTTTCTGCGGGGTGAGCAGCAGATTCCCGGAAAGGGGGAAATGTAGCCGCAAAAGCAAAGCCGGGGGCCTGGCGCCCACTCTGGCGGCGACTACAGCCCCCACGCTGGGCACACTGCGAGCTGGGGGTGCCCGGCGCGGGAGAAGCCGCGCCCAGCCGGGCTGGTAGCCCAGCGGGGGGCGCGGCAGGGCGAGGAGCAGCCCGCGCTGCTCCCGCCCCTCGGGTGCCAGCACCGCCCCTGCTGCGGCGGGTGAGGGGCGGGGCGGGGCGCGGCGTATATAAGGCTAGGGGCGGGCGCCGCTCTTTTGTTTCTTGCTGCAGCAACGCGAGTGGGAGCACCAGGATCTCGGGCTCGGAACGAGACTGCACGGTGAGTGCGGCGCCGGGGCGGGGGGCCCACCCAGGGTGTGGTCGGATCCGGTGCACCGGGCGGGCGCGCCGCAACCGCGACAGGCGCCCTTCTCGGACCGGACGCAGGGGCCGGCGACCACGCCCTGGGACCGAGAAGAGGGGTGCGGGACGCGCCCAGATCCTCGGCCTTGGGGCTGCTCGGCACGCCTTGGCGCGAGTGCCACGTCGAGAGGCGTCGGCGGGGAGCGCGGAAGGGGACGCTGGCCCCCAGGCCCAGGTCAAGCGCCTTGGTTTGCCCACTAGGATTGTTTTAAGAAAATGGCAGACAAACCAGACATGGGGGAAATCGCCAGCTTCGATAAGGCCAAGCTGAAGAAAACGGAGACGCAGGAGAAGAACACCCTGCCGACCAAAGAGAGTGAGTGTGCCTCGGTCTCCCGCGCCCCAGCCCAGCCCCTCACCCTGCTCTTCCTTGCAAACCCACTCCTCCACCCCCCACCCCGCCGTTGTCCCCGGTGTGGGCGGCCCCGGCCACTCTTTCAGTTTCACAAAGCGCCTTGTTTCTCCCCAGCCCCAAGCTTCCTTCTAAATCCCCACACCTCGTGGGTGCCTCGCCCACACCGGGAAGCACCTCGGTTGCGGGTGGGGGTTGCAGCTCCCCTCCAGCGCCCGCTTCCCGCTCTCCACAGCCATTGAGCAGGAGAAGCGGAGTGAAATTTCCTAAGATCCTGGAGGATTTCCTACCCCCGTCCTCTTCGAGACCCCAGTCGTGATGTGGAGGAAGAGCCACCTGCAAGATGGACACGAGCCACAAGCTGCACTGTGAACCTGGGCACTCCGCGCCGATGCCACCGGCCTGTGGGTCTCTGAAGGGACCCCCCCCCAATCGGACTGCCAAATTCTCCGGTTTGCCCCGGGATATTATAGAAAATTATTTGTATGAATAATGAAAATAAAACACACCTCGTGGCATGGCTGGCGTGGTCTGAGTCTTTTAGTTGAGTATGCGTGGGCAGTGCCACTGCAGCAAAGCCCCTCGATGGAGTAGAGTTCCTGCCGCAAAGGGGAGGAGGTGGGTCGCAGAATGGGCTGACTCGGAGGGAGTTTTTAATTTTGGCTTTACCTGCTTCTCCGTAAGATTTCATGACTTGTTAGCCACTTAACTCTTGCTCGTAAGCAATCTGTGTAAAATTTAACCCCACTTTGTCCCCAGGTTGCGTTGGAAAATGCTTTTTCAAAAGAGCAAGGTTTGCTTTTGATAAGCTTCGAAAGCCCCACTGTTTCCCTCTGGCCTCCTCCTAGCTGACTCAGAAGGGAACACTGATTTTAAAGAAAGAAAAGACAATCTGGAATGTTGGAAATTGGGTGAGGTCACAAAGTCTCCGGAAGCCTTTCTTCGGGAGCTTAAAACAAAGGCGGGATCTAGGGATACAGCAACGGGAACGTCAGAACTAGAAGAACCAACACTAGAACTGGGGGAGGGGAGGGGGGAAGAGCTTTTGTCTTTTAACCCTAGTTCAGAACCTCCCACAAAAACATTAGCCATTAGAGGAAGTGCTAGACTGATCTGCTACCACCCAGTGCTCAGCAGGAAGGGTGGGGATGTGGTGGGAGGGAGGAAGGGTGGGCTGGCGCTGGCGCTGGCGGCCAAGCTCCAAGGGATGACACCTCAAACCCACAGGGAAGGAATAGGACCAGCCCAAGGGGGCCTGACAGTTGGGAACCTGGGGCTGCAGGCCATTCAGAAGCAGAAGAAACAGGCTTATAAAGACAGGGGTGGAGTTTTCTTTAAGGAAGGTGGATAGGACACTGCTTAGAGATTCGTCCCACATTTTTGCCCGGCCCCAAGAGGCTGGGCACTGGGTGAAGACAGTTAATTCGAATAAGATACGGTCCCTGTCCACGAGGAATTTAAAATCTGGTGAGTGAGATAGCCACAGCAGACCAGAGTCAGGACACCTAGGCTTGGCAGGGAGACTCATGCCCAAAGGCATTCTCTCTGAACTCCTATCTGCACCTCCCTCCTGGTACCTGGACACATACATCACCTCCCCCATTAGAGTAAATAGAGAGACTTTTTTTTTTTTTTTTTTTTTGAGACGGAGTTTCGCTCTTGTCTCCCAGACTGGACTGCAATGGTGCGATCTCGGCTCACTGCCTCCGCCTCCCGGGTACAAGCGATTTTCCTGCCTCAGCCTCCCCAGTAGCTGGGATTACAGGCATGAGCCACCACGCCTGGCTAACTTTTTGGTTGTTGTTTTTTTTTTTTTTTTTTTTTTTGAAATGGAGTTTCGCTCTTGTTGCCCAGGCTGGAGTGCAATGGTGCAATCTCAGCTCACCACAACTTCCACACCTCCGCCTCCCGAGTTCTCCTGCCTCAGCCTCCTGAGTAGCTGGGATTACAGGCATGCACCACCACGCCCGGCTAATTTTGTATTTTTAGTAGAGACGGGGTTTCGCCATGTTAGCCAGGCTGGTCTTGAACTCCTGACCTCTGGTGATCCACCCGTCTCAGCCTCTCAAAGTGCTGGGATTACAGGCGTGAGCCACCATGCCCGGCTGAAAGATTCTTATTAATTGATATTGGTGACTCTCACAGTAGTCAGCACTTAGTAGACACTCATAAGTGCTCACTGAATTGTAACTGAAGTATCATATGGCCTCGCCTGCTCCAACTTGGCTATGCTAAAGCCAAGCTGCTACCAGCCCTCCTCCCCCACTGTCTTGTTGGTTCTATTCTATTCTATGTACACATTGACAGGGCCCAAGCATGGTGAACTTGTGGAAGTTCAGGGAAGGCAAATACTTTCATTTCCCTCCCTGAGCCCAGTTCAGGATGAAATCCTACTGAAATAAGGGGAAGTACAGTTAACCTACAATTGAAGCTATTGGTAGGAAGCCTATATTACCCAGATGACAACTATAGGTCTCAGCCAGCTAAAAGATTTTGGATATTGGGTTGCTGATTTCTGAGAAATTCAGAAGCTGTGTTCCTGTTCCGCTTAATTCAACACGCTTTTTTTTAAGAACTCAGTGCCCATCATTGTACTAGGCCTGTGGAGGCTACAGAAGACATGTGCCAACTAACTACACAAAAGGCAGAATAAAATAAATGCTAAAGAGAGATTTAAGTAAAACCCTCTGGGAAAGTAGACAAAGGAGTGGTTAACTCTGGGACATGGTGCTGCTTCACGGAAGAGGAATCATTTGAAAGAAGACCTAGAGAAGTGAGAATGAGAGCAGGGCTTTCTCAATAGAAGGAGGAGCAAGGTATAGTGATACCACAGCATGTTCAGCAATGGGAAAGGTAAAGGTTCATTGAAAACAAAAGCACTTCAAAATTACCCTAGAAGGTAAGTAGGGTGTGGTTTTTCCTGTAGACAGTTGGAAACCACTGCAGATTTTGAGGGTTGGGGCAAAGTTATCTAAGATGTATGTGATAGCATGTGGAGGATGCTGTGGCTGATACAGATGGCTACGTACCCAACCACTACCACCACTGCCACCACCATCACTGCCATTAACACCATAACCACCACTGCCATCACAACCATCATCATTGCCACCACCATCACTGTGATCACTGCCATCACCATTGCCGCCACCAGCACCCATCACCATTACCACCATCACACCTCCACCACCACACCACTACCATTACCATCACCATGACCTTGCCACCACCTTTATCACCATCAACAGCACCACTATGACCACACCACCCCATCCCCATTGCCACCATCATTACCACCACCATCCCTATTGCCATCACCACCACCATCACCATTGCAACCATCACCATCACCTCCACCATCACACCACCACTACCATTATCATCATCACCATTGCCACCACCATCACTACCATCACTACTACCATCACCACCTCTACCATCACCATTGCCACCATCACACCTCAACCACCACACCACTACCATCACCATCACCAATGACCATTGCCACCACCTTTATCATCACCATCAACAGCACCACTATCACCACACCACCCTGTCCCCATTGCCACCATCGTCACCACCACCATCCCTATTGCCACCACCACCACCATCACCATTGCCACCATCACCATCATCTCCACCATCACACCACCACTACTATTATCATCATCACCATTGCCACCACCACCACTACTACCATCACCACCTCCACCATCAGCATTGCCAACACCTTCACCATCACCACCACCACCACCATCCCTATTGCCGCCGCCACCACCATCACCATTGCCACCATCACCATCATCTCCACCATCACACCACCACTACCATTATCATCATCACCATTGCCACCATCACTACTACCATCACCACCTCCACCATCGCCATTGCCAACATCTTCACCATCACCACCACCACCATCTTCACCATCACCACCACCACCACCACCATCACCATCACCACTACCAACAACAATAACGACATCAACACCAACACCCATACATCATCTTCTTCTACCCTGCCTATGAACAATGGCCAATAGAAGACCAATATTATGCAGATATCAATCAATGAGCTTCAGAGGGCCCAGTGCAGGAAATGAGGCTTGAGTAGTATAAATTTAAGGCACTTTGGGGTTCAGCAATATAAAAATCTGTGAGGACATTTTGTTTTGGTTTGGTTGTCATAATAATTAGGGGACATTATTGGCAGTTCATAGGCAGAGACCAGAAATGTTTGACATTCTGAAATGCATAGAACAATCCTACACATCAAATATTTGTCTCATGCATGACTTTGTTTTAACTCTTTACTGTATTATAACATATATATGGTGGCCAGGTGTGGTGGCCACACCTGTAATCCCAGCACTTTGGGAGTCCAAGATGGGCAGATAACTGAGGTCATGAGTTCGAGACCAGCCTGGCCAACATGGCGAAACCCCATCTCTACTTAAAATACAAAAATTAGCCAGGCATGGTGGTTGGTGCCTGTAATCCCAACTACTCAGGAGGCTGAGGCAGGAGAATTGCTTGAACCCGGGAGGCGGAGGTTACAGTGAGCCGAGATCGCGCCATTGCACTCCAGCCTGGGTGACAGAGTGAGACGCCATCTCAAAAACAAAACAAAAATTTAAAAACCATATATATAGAAAAATACACAGAACTGTACAGTTGGATGAATCTTTGCAAACTGAACACACCCTAATGCCTCTTCCCAGTCATATAACTATATGTGTTCTAACAGCATGTATACATTTTGCCTGTTTTTGAATGTAATATAAATAGATGCATGACTTCTATTCATATAGGTAAAACATCTCTTTATATGAGTCCAGCAACAACTAATTTTGCCCAATTTTACTATAAACTTTATTTGCCAAGAATGAAAACTATCATGTAATAGAGGGATGCCTTTTTTTTTTTAACTTGCAGCTTCACTAAGAATTGATCACTATTGCAGAAAATCATTTCACTAATAGAAATATCCTCTTGGTTTCTGAATTTTTTCATACAACACAATTGTATCATGTCCATCTGAAGCTGCTGGATCATGATAATATTACACATAAGTGAAAACATACATAAAGTGAAGACTACTTCTTTATATGCTAGAATATTGTTGTACCATCTTGTATTAGTCAGCTTTTGATAACTTATGCTGCAGTGACAAAAAACCCCAAAATCTCAATGGCTTAAAATAACACAAATCTATTTCTTGTTTACATTACACATCAGTTGCTGCTCTGCTCCTGTTCCACATGTCTTTTTCATTCTGACAGCCAGGCTAAAGGAGCAACCCCTATCTGAGACATGTTGTTGTTACGGCAAAGTCATGCGTCTTCTCAGACGTAGCACTTCCATTCATGTTACGTTGGTCAAAGAGGCAATGTAAATTACAAGTCATCAGGCTGGGATGTATAATTCCATTGTGGGGAAAGCGGAAAATAATTAGAACTCATAATACAATTTGCTATATATATTAAAATGCATATACCTATTTTCTTTATAAATTACCTTTATTTTACCTTTATATTCCGGTTAGGGCTTATATTTATGTTTTTAATGTGTGTGTAGGGGCAGGTTATATTATCTCTGATTTTCATTTCAGGAAAGAGGAGTGTTATAAAATACTTGATATGTAAGAAGGAGTTGGTTCTGAAGGGTTGGGAACCAGTGGTCTGAAGCAATCATGGTAATTCCATTATCTAAGAATAAGCATGGGTTGTGATCCAGGCCAAGGAGACCTCACAGGAAGCCTGTAAACAGGCTTCGTGGAAGATTTTGTTTCCTTTTTAAAACAGGCATAAGTACAAATGTGGTGATGTGAGAATGTGACATGTGAAAGATGACAGTCATCTGGGGGAAATGCTAACATCATGAGGGTGGCAAAGATTGAAAATGGAAAGAATCTAGGTAGTTGGTAAGCCCTTGAGCTGCTGAGTTTTCCTAAAAGTGCCTTATCTTTGAACTTTTTGTTATGTGAAACAATAAATATTTATTACATTTAGGAAGTCTATGGTTGGGTTTTCTGTTACTTATAGTCAAAGTATTCTAACAACGATCAGCTGGAAAGAGAAAAGTTTAACTGCAGAAAGTATTTCTGCAGGCGTGGTGACTCACACCTGTAATCCCAGCACTTTGGGAGGCCGAGGTGGGCGGATCACGAGGTCAGGAGATCGAGACCAGCCTGGCTAACATGGTGAAACCCGTCTCTACTAAAAATACAAAAAATTAGCTGGGCGTGGTGGCGAGCGCCTGTAGTCCCAGCTACTCGGGAGGCTGAGGCAGGAGAATGGCGTGAACCTGGGAGGCAGAGCTTGCAGTGAGCCGAGATCGCGCCACTGCACTCCAGCCTGGGCAACAGAGCGAGACTCTGTCTCAAAAAAAAAAAAAAGAAATACTGGTTAGTAGGATATTATAGTAGTTCAGACAAAAGGTAGGAAAAACTTTAATCAAGGAAAGACCCTCACATATTAGTATGATGGCAAATATCTAATAATCAGCTCAGTTCTGAGTAGAGGTGGGGAGGAGCTGATTTGTAGCTTTTGCTGATTTCCGCGGTGTAAATATTGCTAATTTCAAGCTGCCAACCGTTTAACAACCAACTTGCCTGCTTTCTGAAAATTTAACAATTGGCTCTTCGCAAGCTGCTGCCAGTTGGCTCCAGAACACCACTGACTATAGGGATAGGAAAGCAGGGCTGATATAAAAGATATTGCAGAGGGAGAATTAGCAAGACTTCGGATTATATGGGAAATTACAGAAATTGTAATCTGACAGATGAAAATAAATTTTTATTTATCTATGTGACTTCATTTTTCTGCTTTGAGTTTCAGAGGGGAAAACTGAAGCATTCTATAACCAGTGCATTTCCCAGAAAGTACGCAGAGAGACACAATACTGCTTTGGAGAGAGAGAAAGTGTTTTTTACAAGTTCCCAAGTGAGTATTATAAATTAGTTTTATTGCCAACATATTGTACGGAGAGACAATAAAACAAGGCCATAATAAAGTTGGTGCCTATGGTGATCCCGGTGAAGGGCAAGGTGAACTTACAAGATATCGCAGTATGATAGAAGCTGCATCAAGCAAAACCCAGGAAGCTAACACTGGGGGTGGTGTGGGTAGAAGCACAAAGTGAGAGAACAGCAGGCTGGACTGGTGGGAGTTAATGGCTAGTTAGGGCCAAACAAATTGAAGAAGCAATAAAATTATTAATTGATCTATTGCTTTCTCCATTCATTCAACCACAATATATTAAGCATCTGCTAAGTACTGGGTCCTATGCTAGGTACTTGATCAGGATAAACAATATGGATTCTTTTTTTTTTTTGAGATGGAGTCTCACTCTGTTGCCCAGGCTGGAGTGAAGTGGTGCGATCTCAGCTGACTGCAACCTCCGCCTCCTGGGTTCCAGCAATTCTTCCCGGGTAGCTGGGACTACAGGTGCGGGCCACCATGCCCAGCTAATTTTGTATTTTTACTAGAGACAGGGTTTCACCATGTTGGCCAGGCTGGTCTCAAACTCCTGACCTCAGGTGATCCACCTGCCTCGGCCTCCCAAAGTGCTGGGATTACAGGCATGAGCCACCATGCCTGGCTACAAAATTTATTCTTTGTAACGTAATTCTCTCAAAGATAGAATGATGAGATGACTCAGATTAATGACAAAATATGGGATCATGGAACTATGTGTCCTGGTTTAAAACTAAAAGG
Source organism: Homo sapiens (assembly GCF_000001405.40). Classification (NCBI taxonomy): domain Eukaryota; kingdom Metazoa; phylum Chordata; class Mammalia; order Primates; family Hominidae; genus Homo; species Homo sapiens. The sequence continues at coordinate 84,913,871 of NC_000002.12, forward strand.
ACACTAAGATGATTTTTTACCTCCCCTGTGAAATTCAGAAGACTGAGGTATCCGAGAGACAGCACTGTTGGCTCAGCCCTGGCTTTACTCTACATTTACTCTGAAGTCCTGTGGCATCCGTGTCTATTTCTTCAATATTACGTTGGTGTGCTTCGTAGAAGTCAACAAGATCAGAAGGACTATTGGTTAGAAGATAAAAACCACTGGCCCTACAAATGCTATTCAAGGTTGTCAAACAATCCATAGTTAGGAATTTATTCTATATTGTGGAAAAACCTTATTCTCTCAGAAGACAATGCTGCAGGGAAAAATGCCCACTCTTACATCAATGCAGCCCCAAGACCTTCATGGAAGCATCTGTAGCTAAAAAGAACCCATTCTTTGAGTCGCTTTGTTTGTCCAAATGTTATCTCCTGCCAAGCTATCTCTTATTGTGTTTCCTGCTACTCAGATGTTCAGGTTTTTTGATCTGGCATGTTCTTAGGAAAAAAATGAGTGAGGTGTATAATCGTATGATGAGGATTATTTGGTTTGTGACGAAAAAAGCAAAAGCAAAAACTCTATCCAACCTTGCTTAAGCAAAAAGGATTTATTTACTCACGTATATGGGAAGTCCATGGAGTAGGTTTTGCTTCAGGTGTGGCTGATGGAGATAGTTCAATGACGTCACAGGGACCTGGTTTTTCTTTCTCTATCTCTCAGCTCTGTATCTTCATCCTCAGGCTGACCCTCCCCTCATGGCGACATTATGGCTGCTGCAGCTCAAAAATTATATTCCTCCCAGGTGTAGAAGCGGCAGAAGAGAGAATTTCTCTTCATCCAGTTTGAACAAAAACCCTGGGCCTAACTTTCACTGGCCTGAATTAGGTCAACTGCCCGCCCCGATCTAATCACATTGGCTAGGGAAAGGGAAGACAGAGATTGTTTCAAATCTAGGTCACATGCTATCATTTTTTAAAATCATGTTAAAATTGGCATCACCAATAACGGAATAAACCAACATTACGTACTTCCTGATATGATACACTGAAATGAATTCAGCATCACATTCATGATACTGCTGACAAAAAATGCATAGCCTGAATCCAATCATGAGGAAACACCAGACAAACCCAATTTAAAGGACATTATATAAAACAACTGGCCTATATCCTTCAAAAATGTCAAGATTACAAAAGACAGCCCGGGCATCGTGGCTCACACCTGTAATCCCAGCACTTTGGGAGGCCAAGGCAGGCAGATCACTTGATCCCAGGAATTCAAGACCAGCCTGGCCAACATGGCAAAAGCCCGTCTCTACAAAAAAAAATACAAAAAATAGGCTGGGCGTGGTGGCTCATGCCTATAATCCCAGCACTTTGGGAGGCTGAGGCAGGCAGGTCACCTGAGGTCAGGATTTTGAGACCAGCCTGGCTAACATGGCAAAACTCCGTCCTACTGAAAATACAAAAATTAGCCGGGAGTGGTGTCTCACGCCTGTAAGCCCAGCTACTTGGGAGGCTGAGGTAGGAGAATCGCTTGAACCTCAAAGGCGGAGGTTGCAGTGAGCCGAGATCATGCCATTGCACTCCAGCCTGGACAATGAGAGCGAAACTCCGTCTCAAAAAAAAAAATGTCCTGCCAGATACAATGGCTCAAACCTGTAATCCCAGTACTTTGGGAGGCTGAGGCAGGAGAATCACTTGAGGTCAGGATCTTGAGACGAGCCTGGCAACATAGTGAGACCTCATCTTTACAAAATATTTTAAAAATCAGCCAGAGGCTGAGGTCAGAGGATCACGTGAGCCCAGGAGGTCGAGGCTACAGTGAGCCGCGATGGTGCCACTGTACTCCTGCCTGGGCAACAAAATGAGATCTTGCCCCAAAATAAAATAAAATTAAATTAAAAATTGCTTCTTCTCCGAGAAAACACCAAATGGCGGATGACGCCGGTGCAGCGGGGGGGCCCAGAGCCCTGGTGGCCATGGGATAGGGAACCGCGGTGGCTTCCACGGAGGTTTCGGCAGTGGCATCCGGGGCCGGGGTCGCGGGAGTGGACGGGGCCGTGCCGAGGCCGCGGAGCTCGCGGAGGCAAGGCCGAGGATAAGGAGTGGATGCCTGTCACCAAGCTGGGCCGCTTGGTCAAGGACATGAAGATCAAGTCCCTGGAGGAGATCTATCTCTTCTCCCTGCCCATTAAGGAATCTGAGATCATTGATTTCTTCCTGGGGGACTCTCTCAAGGATGAGGTTTTGAAGATTATGCCGGTGCAGAAGCAGACCCGTGCCGGCCAGCGCACCAGGTTCAAGGCGTTTGTTGCTATCGGAGACTACAATGGCCATGTCGGTCTGGGTGTTAAGTGCTCCAAGGAGGTGGCCACAGCCATCCGTGGGGCCATCATCCTGGCCAAGCTCTCCATTGTCCCCGTGCGCAGAGGCTACTGGGGGAACAAGATCGGCAAGCCCCACACCGTCCCTTGCAAGGTGACAGGCCGCTGCGGCTCTGTGCTGGTGCGCCTCATCCCTGCACCCAGGGGCACTGGCATCGTCTCCGCACCTGTGCCCAAGAAGCTGCTCATGATGGCTGGTATCGATGACTGCTACACCTCAGCCCGGGGCTGCACTGCCACCCTGGGCAACTTCGCCAAGGCCACCTTTGATGCCATCTCTAAGACCTACAGCTACCTGACCCCCGACCTCTGGAAGGAGACTGTATTTACCAAGTCTCCCTATCAGGAATTCACTGACCACCTCGTCAAGACCCACACCAGAGTCTCGGTGCAGCGGACCCAGGCTTCAGATGTGGCTACAACATAGGGTTTTTATACAAGAAAAATAAAGTGAATTAAGCCTGAAAAAAAAATTTTTTAAATAAGAATCCGAATATTTCATCATTCACAGAAAATAGATTTTTAAAAAAGAAAGAGTGGACTGGACACAGTGGCTCATGCCTGTAATCCCAGCACCTCGGGAGGCTGAGGCAGGTGGATCACTTGAGTCCAGGAGTTGGAGACCAGCATGGGCAACATAGTGAGACACCCCCCGCCCACTGGCATCTCTACAAAAAATAGACAAAAATTAGCTGGCCATCTTGACACATGCCCATAGTTCTAGCTGCTTGGAAGACTGAGGTAGAACGATCACTTGAACCTGGGAGGTGGTAGCTGCAGTGAGCCATGATCGCGTCACTCTACTTAGCCTGGGCAAGTAAGTGAAACCCTGTCTCCAAAGAGAGAGAGAGAGTAATATATAAGTAGTACTCAGTCCAACTCTGTGGAAGATCACGCATGTGGTCTAAACCAACAATGGATTTAACCTATCATGAAATTATTTTATCTTGTGCCCTAATTTTGAAGAAATAAATAAAAGCTAGTAAACTGGGCTATTCAGGAAACATTTACCTTTAGAACGATCCATTAAAGTGAATAGAAAACCAAACCATGGACACAATAATAGTTACCGCTCACACAGTCTAGGCTGAAAGCCATGGTGCATGCAACCCAGCAACATGGCTTGGGGGCTGAGTAAGGAAGCTGAATTTCAGGGATTGTGTAAACAGGCCTTGGAATGTGTTGACATCAATAGTAATAGCTAAAGTGGTTCCTGAGTCCCCAAATTATTCGTTGGTTCTATCAGGGTTTTCCAGAGAAACAGAGCCAATAGGAGATACACACACACACACACACACACACACACACACACACGGAGTGAAAGAGATTTTAAGAAATTGGTGAAGTGCCGTTGTTGTTTTTGTCTGGGGTAAATACTTGGGGTTCCTCGTCTCATGCCAAGGACACGGACACACACAATGAGTGAGTTTAGGAGCCGAGGTTTACTAGGCAAAAGAAAGAGAAAGGAGAACAGCTCTCTATCTTGCGAGAGAGAGGGAATTCCAAATGGGAAATCTGGCCCAGAATGGGAGTGCTCCGCAGGCTTGCAGAGGTGGTGTCTGATTTGCGTAGGGCCCACAGATTGGTTGGACCAGGTGTGACGCTTACGTAGTGCTCAGGAAGGCTGGCCACCCCATCCTAATCTTATTGTGAAAATGGGCTTTCCATTTGGTGGTCACCATGTTGTCTGCTCCTTACTGTACACATGGCTGGCAAAGAGAAGGGAAGGTGGAGCGCCATTTTGAATTTGCCTAGTTCCAGGTAACATTTTCCTATTGTCATAACTGCCAGCATTCACCCACGCAGGCTTCTGGCTTGCTTGTCTATGTCTGCAGCTCAATTTTACAGGCTGCTCTTTGTTAGAAAAGAAAATGATATGGGGGCTGCTTTTCATTAAAAGGAAAACCTTACCGAGGACTTCCTTCCCCTCACTCTCTGCCTAAATAATTTCTTTTTAACTCCTGTATCATTGGGTCAGATGATTGCAGGGGTTAACAAGTCTGAAATCCATAGGACAGGTCATCAAGATGGAAATTCAAGCAGTTCTTCCATATTATAGTCGTAAGATAGAAGTCCTTCTTCTCAGAGAAACTGCAGTTTTTTCTCTGAAGACCTTAAACTGATTGGATGAGGTTCACCCACAAAGACTATCTCCTTTTCTTCAAGTCAACTAATTGAACATGTTAATTACATCTACAAAATGCCTTCACAACAATATCTAGACAGTGTTTGACCAAATAGCTGACACCATAGCCAAGTTCACACATAAAATTAACCATCACACTGTTTGAGGTTTTTTTTTTTTTTTTCCATTTCATCTGCACAGGCACCTGGCTTCTAGCAGACATTTTCTCCTTGGATCTGGGCACCAGTACATCCCATGCCAGGCCTGGCCCACCACAAGGACCACTGAATGCAGAAGCCCAGCTCCCACTCCCACCCAGGGCCACGAAATGACACTAGGGATGGAAACTGATGTAGGATGGTGCAGCAGAAAGCATTAAGGTGACTGGGATCTCAGAGTTGCTATACCAGGCGTGGACTACTCCTTCCAGACATCTTTAATCTTTATCAGGAAGATGAATAAGCTTCTATTATGATATATAAGTCACTGGGTTTTTGTTTGTTTTTGTTTTCTTTTTTTGTTTTGTTTTGTTTTTGTTTTGAGACGGAGTCTCTCTGTCACCCAGATTAGAGTGCAATGGTACCATCTCAGCTCACTGCAACCTCCCCCTCCTGGGTTCAAGCGATTCTCCCACCTCAGATTCCAAAGTAGCTGGGATTACAGGCACCTGCCATCATGCCCAGCTAATTTCTGTATTTTTGTAGAGATGGGGTTTCACCATGTTGGCCAGGCTGGTCTTGAACTCCTGACCTGAGGTGATCCGCCTGCCTCAGCCTCCCAAGGTGCTGGGATTACAAGCGTGAGCCACCACGCCTGGTCGTGTTTTTGTTTCCTGAGACAGAGTCTCACTCTGTCACCCAGGCTGGAGTGCAGTGGTGCCATCTCGACTCACTGCAACCTCCGCCTCCCAGGTTCAAGTAATTCTCCTGCATCAGCCTCCGGAGTAGCTGGGACTACAGGTACTGCGCCACTATGCCCGGCTAATTTTTGTATTTTTAGTAGAGATGGGGTTTCACCATGTTGGCCAGCCTGGTCTCAAACTCCTGACCTCAGGTAATCCATCCGCCTTGGCCTCCCAAAGTGCTGAGATTACAGGCGTGGGCCACCATGCCTGGCCAGACAGTCCAATATTTTTAAATCAGCCATAAATCTATGCACCGAATAATGTCTCTCTCTCTCTCTCTGACACATACACACATACACACATGCGCACGCGTGCACACCCACACATTGTTACCACTTAGAAGAGTGCCAGGCCCAGATGGTTTCACAGACGATTGCTTTCAAAGCTGCAAGAAAGCAATAACTTCAATACCTCAAAATTTGTTTCAGTAGTTAGAAAAGGACATATGCTTCCTGTGATGGTTAATTTTAGCTGTCAACTTGACTTGATTAAGTAATACACTAGTCTCCCCTTATCCATGGAGGGTATGTTCCAAGATCCCCAGTGGATGCCTGAAGCCACACATGTACCGAACCCTGTACACACCTATGATAACGTTTAATTTATAAATTAGGCACAGTAAGAGATTAACAACTAATAATAAAATAGAACAATTAAACAGTTGAACACAAGCACTGTGATGCTGTGACAGTCACTCGTAACTGAGATGGCTGCTAAGAGACTAGCTAACGGGTGAGTAGTGTATACAACGTGGAAACACTGGACAAAGGGATGAGTCACATCCTGGGAGGGACAGAGTGGAATGCCATGAGATTTCATCATGTTACACAGAACGATGAGCCATTTAAAACTTACGGATTGTTTATTTCTGGAATTTTTAATTTAATATTTTCAGACCAAGGTTGACCAGGAGTAACTAAAACTACAGAAAGCAAAACTGAATAAAGTGGGGAGTCGAGAACCTAGAGAGCTGGTAAAGCATTCTTTCTAGGTGTGTCTGTGAGGGTGTTTTCACAGGAGATTGGCATGTGAGTGGGTGGGCTGACTGAGGAAGATCTGCCCTCAGTGTGGGCGGACAACATCCAATTGGCTGTGGGCCCAGATAGAACCAAAAGGCAGAGAAAAGGCAAATTCTTTTTTTCTCTCTCCTGAAGCTGGGCCATCCTTCTTCTTCTGACCTTGGACATCAGAACTGCAGGCTCCCTGGCCTTTGGACTCTGGGTCTTACATTAGCAGCCCCCAGGTTCTTGGCCTTTGGCCTTGGACTGAGAATTACACTATCAGCTGCCCTGGTTCTGAGACTTTAGGACTTGAACTGAGCCCCACTGTGGTATTCCACGGTCTCCAGCTTACAGACAGTCTGTCGTGGGACTTTTCACCTCCCTAATCTCATGAGCCAATTCCCCTAATAAATCCCCTCTCATATATCTATATACAGTCGCCCCTCATATCTATGGGAGATGGGTTCCAGGTTATGTTGCCCAGGCTGGCCTTGAACTCTTGGGCTCAAGCTATCCTCCCATCTCAGCTTCCCAAGTAGCTAGGACTATCATATTCTTTTTTTTTTTTTTTTTTTGAGACGGAGTCTCGCTCTGTCACCCAGGCTGGAGTGCAGTGGTGCGATCTCGGCTCACTGCAAGCTCTGCCTCCCGGGTTCATGCCATTCTCCTGCCTCAGCCTCCTGAGTAGCTGGGACTACAGGCGCCCACCACCACACCCAGCTAATTTTTTTTTTTTTTGTATTTTTAGTAGAGACGGGGTTTCACCATGTTAGCCAGGATGGTCTCGATCTCCTGACCTCGTGATCTGACCGCCTCGGCCTCCCAAAGTGCTGGGATTACAGGCATGCGCCACTGTGCCCGGCCCATATTCTTTTTTTTTTTTTTTTTTTTTGGAGACAGAGTCTTTTTCTGTCGCCCAGGCTGGAGTGTAATGACATGATCTCAGCTCACTGCAATCTCTGCCTCCTAGTTTCAAGCGATTCTCCTGCCTCAGCCTCCCAGGTAGCTGGGATTACAGGTGCCCGCCACCATGCCTGGCTAATTTTTTGTATTTTTAGGAGACACGGGGTTTCACCACGTTGGTCAGGCTGGTCTCAAACTCCTGACCTCAGGTGATCCACCCGCCTCGGCCTCCCAGAGTGCTGGGATTACAGGCATGAGCCACCGTGCGCGGCCAAACTATATTCTTAAACACATTTTGTTCTGGCTTATTGCTGCATATCAAATAACTCCAAGACTTAGCGTCTTAAAACAATCACTATTTTGTTATATATCCTGTAGGACAGGAATTCTTATCTCCCTGCAGATAGCAAAATCCAGAGATGGTCAAATCCCTGCTATAAAATGGCATAGTATTTGCATATAACCTATGCACATCCTCCAGTACACTTTAAATCATCTCGAGATTATTTATAATATCAATGTAAAGGCTATGCAAATAGTTGTTAAACAGTATTGTTTAGGAAATAATGACAAGGAAAACAAAGTCTATACATGTTCAGTATAAAAGCTTTTTTCCCAGATATTTTCAATCCACAATTAATTGAATTCCCTGATGTAGAAACCCTGGATATGAGAAGCCAACTGTATATATACATATCCTATTGGCTCTTTCTCTCTGGAGCACTCTAACATGCCTTCCAAAACATTTACAAAGCAAATATGATCCTGAAAACAAAATCTACTGTGAATATTGTTGCAAACTTCTAAATAAAATACTAGTAAATTTAATCAAAAAAGTATATTACAATAACAAAACATGGCCAAATAAGGTTTATTCCAAGGATGCAATAAAATTTCAATACTAGGAAATCTGTTGTCATAATTCAGCATATTAACTGGTAAAGCAAAATATGCTCATCTTTATTTTTATTTATTTTTTATTTTTGAGATGGAGTTTCGCTCATTGCCCAGGCTGGAGTGGAATGGTGCGATCTCAGCTCACCACAACCTCCACCTCCCGGTTCAAACAATTCTCCTGTCTCAGCCTCCCAAGTAGCTGGGATTACAGGCATGTGCCACCAAGACTGGCTAATTTTGTATTGTTAGTAGAGACAGGGTTTCTCCATGTTGGTCAGGCTGGTCTTGAATGCCCAACCTCAGGTGCTCCACCCGCCTCGGCCTCCCAAAGTGCTGGATTATAGGAGTGAGCCACTGCACCCAGCCAAAATATGCTCATCTTGGTATGAGCCTGTGATGGTTAATTTTATGGTCAATTTGAGTGGACCCAGATTAAACGTTGTTTCTGAGTATATTTGTGAGGGTGTTTCTGGATGAGAATTGCATTTGAACTGGTGGGCCCAGTAGATTGCCCTCCCCAGTATTTATGCGGCCTCATTGCTTGAACTGGGACATCTTTTATCTTCTGCCGCCTCAAAACTGAGATTCATATCATCATTTCCTCTGGTTCTCAGGTCTCTGGACCCAGACTGAATTATAGCCCAGGCTTTCCTGGGTCTCCAGCTTGTCGAAAGCAGATTGTGGGACTCCTCAGCCTCCATAATTGCATGAGTCTACTCATAATAAATTTATTCTTAGGCCAGGCTTGGTGGCTTACACCTGCAATCCCAGCACTTTGGGAGGCCAAAGTGGGTGGATCAAGGTGGGAGGTCAGGGGTTCGAGACTAGCCTGGCCAACATGGTGAAAACCTGTCTCTACTGAAAATACAAAGAATTAGCTGGGTGTGGTGGCGGGCACCTGTAATCCCAGCTTCTCAGGAGGCTAAGGCAGGAGGATTACCTGAGCCCAGGAGCTGGAGGCTTCATTGAGCCATGATCATGCCATAGCACTTCAGCCTGGGCAACAGAGCAAGACCCTGTCTCAAAAAAAAGAAGGAAGGAAGGAAGAAAGGAGGGAGGGGAGGGAGGGGAGGGAGGGAGGGAGGGATTGATTCTAGTTATATAATTCTATGTATAAAATATGCACATTTAAAAAAATATAAGGAAGACATAAAGTTATATTCTTTTGACAAAAAGAATTGTATGTAATACAGAGATTATGTAAAGCCTATTTATGAAAGAAGGTAAAAAGAAACTAGTAAATAGGTGAAAGAGATGTAAAGAGAGTCACAGATGTAAAGATGTATTTTTGGTAACAAAGATTAAGAAGAAAAGAGAATAATTTTGTATGAGAAATAATCTTATGTGGTAAATTTTTGTCCTACAGTAAAATGACTGTTTATTTAAGAAAGAGGGAAATTTATGACAAAACAAAAAGTTCAAGCATGTTGTAAATTGTCTGTGTAAATCATGATAAGGTTCATAAAAAGAAAAGCTATAAAAAATTTTGTGTATGATTAACTTGGCTATAATTAAAAGGAAATAATTTATAATAGTCATGATAAATGTGCTTAACTGCACAAGCAGCCAAAGGGCACAGGAACCACTCTGATTATTCTGTATAGAATTCATTTCCTAGGCCGGGCGCTGTGGCTCACGCCTGTAATCCCAGCACTTTGGGAGGCCGAGGTGGGAGGACCACGAGGTCAGGAGATCAAGACCATCCTGGCCAACATGGTGAAACCCCGTTTCAACTAAAAATACAAAAATTAGCCAGGCATGGTGGTGTGCGCCCGTAGTCTCAGCTACTTGGGAGGCTGAGGCAGGAGAATCACTTGAACCTGGGAGGTGGAGGTTGTGGTAAGCCAAGATCGCACCACTGCACTCTGGGCGACAGAGTGAGACTCCGTCTCAAAAAAAAAAAAAAAAAAGCAGCTGGGTGTGGTAACACACACCTGCAATCCCAGCTACTCAGGAGGCTGAGGCAGGGGAGTCACTTGAACCTGGGAGGCAGGAGTTACAGTGAGCCAAGATCAAGCCACTGCACTCCAGGCCTGGGCAATAGAGTGAGACCCTGTCTAAAAAAAAAAAAAAAAAGAAATTCAATCTGGTCCTGCACCCCACTATTAACTATATCTACCACATCAGTGCTCCTACAGGGGAGGCTACTTCCCTGAACACAGAGAGTGGGTGAGAGTCTCAGGTCCTTGAGGAAACTGCAGGCTTCTGGCTCCTCCCAGTCCTGGGGAGTTTCCCAAACCTCTCTCCCTTTGTCTTGACACTTCCTCTCATTCTCTTCCCCTGGGGTCAACCCACGTAATCCCGGTGCAGCCCATTCCTTCCTGGATTAGCCCACTAAAATGCTAAAACCCATCAGAGTTTCCTTACCACCAACACTGCTCGTGAACAAACCTGTCACCAGGACCTGAACTGTACCAAGGGATGCTTTTCCCCACTATAATCTTCATCAACCTCTTAAATAAAATAAGCACTTATAATATCCTCATATAAACATGAATAAAGGCATCTCTGGAAATGTTTCTGTTTTAATTAAGCTGCAAACGCTTCATCCTTACAAGGCATATAGAGTTTCAAGGCAAACCCATAGTTGCCCCCCACATCCCCAGACCACCCCCTCCTGACTGAAGCAGAAAAATAGGGTCTGGAGGCAGGGAACCTAAGGCCGATTCACGCTGACTTTCTAGAACTAAATCAAAAGGAAAACCCCAACTTTCCACACCTAAGTAACAAAAGGACTGGAGGCTACTCCCTTTGCAAACCCCACCCCCCTTTTCTGTGGGGCCGACGGAAAATTGAAAGTATCTCTGATTGGTTGATTTCTGCAACCAGATATTTGCATAGGAGTGTAACTTTGTAACTTCACTTCAGCCTCTGATTGGTTGCTTTCCACAACCAATCAGACACTTACAAAGGTGTAAGTTACTTTGTAACTTCACTTCAGCCTCTGATTGGTTAATTTCTGCAACCAATCAGACTGATAGTGGGCCACTATTTCTTTTACTTAGAGTGTACACCAAGTCGCCAGTGGGAAACCTCTAGAGGGTATTTAAACCCCAGAAAATCCTATGCTTGGTCTGTTCGCACCCTGTGGAGTGTACTCTCGTTTTCAATAAATTTTTGCTTTTGTTGCTTCATTCCTTCCTTGCTTTGTTTGTGCATTTTGTCCAATCCTTTGTTCAAACTGCCAAGAACCTGGACACCCTCCACCCATAACATAACCAGATTGCTGCCTTTGAGCCTCTTCTTTTTTAGAAATTCTAAAGGCGCTACTGAGAATATGATGCATGTCCCTTCAGCCACTAGCTGTTCCCATCTCTTCTGGGAGATGTTCAGCGCTGGGTCCTCTCCACCTGCCCACAGGTTTAGGGAGCCGAGGGAGCCTTCCAGAGCCTCTAAGTCACCTCTCTAGGAGGCTGTCTGCCTGGCCCACACACAGGCAGGCCCCATTCTTGGCCTCCCCAAGCCAAGAGGGCACAGACTGATGATCCAGGGCAGGTCTAGGCAAGTGGGGCATGCAGGGATGTTGTATTAAAGCTTAAGCATCATGAGAGGATCTGATGACTCAGGGAGCAATTTCTTGAGCCCATATTGTCCACCTGGGAAGAAATTGTGGCTGAGGAGTATTCAGGAGCAGCTATGGGGGAGAGAGGGGCAGAAATACACCTCAAGGTAGGCCTCTACTGGGTTCAGGAGGTCCCGGGGCTAGGCAGAGAAAGGCAAGCTTGAGACCCAACAGCGCCACCCACCATGCATAAATCGGTTCCCTAGTCATCAATTCGCTTATGAATACGGAGGCCCCGGAAAGGTGAAGGGTGCCTTCTGGTGGCCAGCTGTGGAGGTGGCCTCGGAGAAGGGTGACCCGAGTGACAAGTTGCAGTGAGCGCTGGCTGCGTGCCCAGCCGCGTTGCACAACTCCCGGGCCACCAGGGGGCGCCATTCTCACACATTCCAGAGCAAACGGTGCTCCTTGGAGTTGAGCGGCGCGACGGTCCTGCAGCAGCTAGCCTGGGATGTACCCACAGCTCACCGGGGAGTCCGGGCCACACGTCAGCTGGATCTTGAATGAGATGAAGACGGGGAGAAAGGGCCTTCCGGACAAAGGGCTTACGCCCTGGATAAAGGGCGTGGAGGGGCGTGGCACGTTCAGTCTGGACACAGCATAAAGTGCATTGGAGAGAGGCGGGAGACAGGATGGAAAGGAGGGTGGGAAGAGCTATGAAGCTCCCCAGGGCCTTGCTAACGCGTTTGGACTTTATCCCGCGCCAGACTTTTTAAAGGTGGTAAGTAGTTTACAGATGTGCGTTTTGAGGCCAGCACATTTTGTTGTTGTCGTTTGTTTGTTTGTTTTTCTTTGAGACGGGGTCTCACTCCCAGGCTGGAGTGCAATAACGTGATCTCAGCTCACTGCAACCTCCGCCTCCCAGGTTCAAGCGATTCCCCTGCCTCAACCTGTCGAATAGCTGGGGCTACAGGCGCCCACCACCACGCCTGGCTAATTTTTGTATTTTTAGTGGAGACGGGGTTTCACCACGTTGGCCAGGCTGGTCTCGAACTCCTGACTTCAGGTGATCCTCCCGCCAAGGCCTCCCAAAATCCTGGGATTACGGCCATCGTGCCGGGCCAGCAGCACAGCGTCTTAAGCAATTTTGGATATGAATACCTTCGAGACGAGCTTGCGCTCCCACAGACCCCACCACTCCTACAGTCTGTAATTACCCCCAGCTGCACCCATATGCGTAGCTTCCCTGGTCCAGAGGGACGTGCGTGTGTGACCCTGCAGGATAGTGGGGTGGCCCTGCATGGCATGGCTGCCAGTGCTAAGAGGGGTGTGCCGCCAGCCTCTGATCCCTCTCACCGGCGGGCCCCCCATCATCATCACTATATGATGACCTGAGGCGTCCAGGCTCCCGAGGAAAGCCTGCCGCCCTGGTTCCTACAAGGGACGCCTAAACACAGAGTCCTAAACACAGAGTCCTAAACACATGCAGGGTTGGAGGGAGACTGACGAACTCAACTACCAGCCTGCAGTCGGCAGCCATCAGCGGATTGCAGGTACCCCGCGTGCGTGTCTCGGCTACAGTGCGGAAGACAAGAGGCCTTAGGAAGTGGGAACGGGCGCCATCTGGTGGTCATCTCTGGAGTGACAGCAGAGAACTGGAACATATTTTATATTTTGTTTCCACTGCTCCATGACTTGACTAAAGCAGAAACAATTCGGAGAGTACTGTAGTATTAAATACCTAAGGGCCACACCAGGCCAGAAAGCAACAAAAAAGAAATGCTAAAAAGAAGTTCTTCAGAGAGGGATCCAAGAAGGAATAAGTGAAGGTAAAATGAAATCCTTTTTCTTATATTTAATTAATCTAATAGATAACTGATAAAAGTTCTAATAGCAACAATGTATTAGGCAATTGTAGCATATGTATAAGTGAACTGAATAACCGCAATGTTATAAAGGATGGGAAGGAGGAATTGTGAATGCATAAATGGTACCTGCACCACTTGTAACACTTGTGAAGTGCTGCAGCGTTATTTACAAGTGGAAGTAGCCAGACACAAAAGGGCAAATATTGTATGAGTCCATTTATATCGTTGCCTACAATAGCCCAAATTAGAGAGAGAGAAAGTAGTACAGAGTTTACAGGGACTAAGTCAAGGGAAAAATGGGGAGTTGTTATTTAATGGGTAGAGTTTCTGGGATGGTGAAAAAATCTACAGACAAACAGTGTTTTTTTGTTTTGTTTTGTTTTGTTTTTTGAGATGGAGTCTCGCCCTGTCGCCCAGGCTGGAGTGCAGTGGCCGATCTCGGCTCACTGCAACCTCCACCTCCCCGGTTCAAGCAATTCTCCTGCCTCAGCCTCCCAAGTAGCTGGGACTACAGGCGCCCGCCACCACACCCCGCTAATTTTTGTATTTTTTAGTAGAGACAGGGTTTCACCATGTTTGCCAGGCTTGTCTCGAACTCCTGACTTTGTCATACGCCCACCTCGGCCTCCCAAAGTGCTGGGATTGCAGGTGTGAGCCACCGCACCTGGTCCAGCAGTGATGTTTATACAACATTGTGAGTGTACATGATGCCACTGAATTATACACTTAAATATTGTTAAAATTTGTCAGGCATGGCTGGGTGCAGTGGCTCACACCTGTATTCCCAGCACTTTGGGAGGCCAACGTGGGTGGATCACCTGAGGTCAGGAGTTCAAGACCAGCCTGGTCAACATGGTGAAACCCCGTCTCTACTAAATATACAAAAATTAGCTGGGAATGGTGGCACATGCCTGTAATCACAGCTACTCAGGAGGCTGAGGCAGGGAGAATTTCTTGAACCCAGGAGGCAGAGGTTTCAGTAAGCCGAGATTGCACCACTGCACTCCAGGCATTCCAACCCGGGCTACAGGACAATACTCATAAAATAAAATAAAATAAAATAAAATAAAATAAAATAAAATAAAATAAAATTTGTCAGGCATCGTGGCTCATACCTATAATCCCAACTCTTTGGGAGACAAAGGTGGATCACTTGAGCCCAGGAGTTTCAGATAAGCCTGGGCAATATAGTGAGACCTCAGCTTTACAAAAACTTTAAAAAGGAGCCAGGTGTGGTGGTGTGCACCTGTAGTTGCAACTACTCAGGAGGCTGAGGTTGGAAGATCCCTTAAGCCTGGGAGGCAGAGGTAGCAGTGAGCCAAGATCATGCCACTGCACTCCAGCCTGGGCTACAGAGCAAGACCCTGTCCAAAAAAAAAAAAAAAACAAAGGTTAAAATGACAAATTTTGGGGCCGGGCGCGGTAGCTCACACCTGTAATCCTAGCACTTTGGGAGGCCGAGGTGGGTGAATTACTTGAGGTCAGGAGCTCGAGACCAACCTGGCCAACATAGTTGAAACCTCATCTCTACTAAAAATACAAAAATTAGCCGGGCATGGTGGACTGCACCTCTACTCCCAGCTACTCGGGAGGCTGAGGTGGGAGAATCACTTGAACCCGGGAGGCAGAGGTTGCAGTGAGCTGAGATCACAGCACTGCACTCCCACCTGGGCAACAGCATTAAGACTTATCTCAAAAATAATAATAATAATAAATGACAAATTTTATGTTATGTATATTTTACCACAATAAAAAATGAAATAGGCCAGGAGAGGTGGCTCACACCTGTAATCCCAGCACTTTGGGAGGCCAAGGCAGACGGATCACCTGAGGTTGGGAGTTTCGAGACCAGCCTGACCAACATGGAGAAACCCCATCTCTACTAAAAATACAAAATTAGCCAGGTGTAGTGGCACATGCCTGTAATCCCAGCTACTCGGGAAGGCTGAGGCAGGAGAATCGCTTGAACCTGGGAGGTAGAGGTTGCAGTGAGCCAAGATCGCACCATTGTACTCCAGCCTAGGCAACAAGAGCGAAACTCCGTCTCAAAAAAAAAAAAAAAAAAAAAAAGGAAATAACACGTGGCCAGGCACTGTGGCTCATGCCTGTAATCTCAGCACTTTGGGAGGCTGAGGCAAGCAGATTACATAAGGTCAGGAGTTCAAGACCAGCCTGGCCAACATGGCAAAACCCCATCACTACTAAAAATATAAAAAATTAGACAGGCGTGGTGGTGCACACCTGTAGTCCCAGCTACTGGGGAGGCTGAGGCAGGAGAATTTCTTGAAGCTGGGAGGCGGAGGTTGCAGTGAGCCAAGATTGCGCCACTGCATTCCAGCCTGGGCAACAGAGCAAGAAAAAAAAATGTGACATGAATAGAAAAGTTACAAATATGGTAGATATTAATCTAACTATATCAATAGTCATTTTAAATCTGAACCATTTTTTAAATCTACTCTGATGGTGTGATCATCAGAGTGGATTTTTAAAAGAACCCCAATTAGATGGTGTATACAAGAAATCCACTTTAAATATGAAAACTCAGATTAATTAAAAATAAAAGAATGAAGTAAGATATATTATGCTAAAACTAATCCAAAAAGAAAACTGGAATAGCTATATTAACTTTGGACAAAGCAGACTTCAAAACAAGGAAAATATCATGGATAAAGAAGGCAGTATGTAATGACAATGGAGTCAGTTTTCCAGAGGGATATAACAAATTCTTAACCTAGATATACCTAACAACAGAGCATCAAAATATGTGAAGCAAAAACTGATGGAACTGCAATGAGAAATAGACAGATTCACCATTTTAGTTGGAGACTTCAGCGCCCTTGTATTAGTAATTGACCCACTCATGAGGCAAAAAATCAGTAAGGATATAGTTGAACTGAACAGCATCATCAATCAATTGGATCTAATTGACATCTATAGAATATTTCATCCAGCAACAGCAGAATACACATTATACTCAAGCTCACATATAATATTCACCAAGATAAACCATATTCAGGGCCACAAAACATGCCTCAACAAATTTAAAAGAATAGAAATAATACAAAATATGTTCTGAGACCACAGTGGAATTAAATTAAAAACCAGTAAGAGAAAGATAGCTGGAAAATCCCAAAATATATGGAGAATAAACAACATAATTTTAAATATTCCAAATAAATAGGTGAAAGTAGAGCTGTCAAGAGAAATGTTTACATATTTTGAACTAAATAAAAATGAAAATACAGGTCAGGCGCGGGGGCTCACGTCTATAATCCCAGAACTTTGGGAGGCCAAGGCGGGTGAATCACTTGCGGTCACAAGTTGGAGACCAGCCTGGCCAATATGGTGAAACCCCATCTCTACTAAAAATACAAAAATTACCTGGGTGTGATGGCGGGCACCTGTAATCCCAGCTATTCGAGAGGCTGAGGCAGGAGAATCGCTTAAACCTGGGAAGTGGAGGTTGCAGTGAGCTAAGATCGCACCACTGCTCTCCAGCCTGGGCAACAGAGTGAGACTCATCTCAAAAAAAAAAATAGAAACTACAACTCATCAACATTTGTAGGCTATAGTGAAAGCAGTGCTTAAAGGTAAATTTATAGCATTACATATAAATGTAAAAGAAGAAAAATCAAAAATCGATAATCTGGCCGGACGCAGTGGTTCACGCCTATAATCCCAGTACTTCCGGAGGCCCAGGCGGATGGATCACGAGGTCAGGAGTTCTAGACCAGCCTGGCCAACATTGTGAAACCCCGACTCTATTAAAAATACAAAAAATTAGCCGGGCATGGTGGCAGGCACCTGTAATCTCAGCTACTTGGGAGGCTGAGGCAGGAGAATCACTTGAACCCAGGAGGCAGAGGTTGCAGTGATCCAAGATCATTCCATTGCACTCCAGCCTGGGTGACAGAGCAAGACTCCGTCTTAAAAAAAAAAAAAATCAATAAATAACAGCTTTCCATAAAAGAAAACACCAAGCCCAGAGAGTTTCAGTGGTGAAGTCTAACAAACATGTTTTTAATGATATCAATTTCCTCTCATCTTTTTCAGAAAATAGAAGCAGTGACAGTACTTCTGTTTTGTGTTTTCTTAGTCTATATTTGTCTGTTTCACATCCATTAGTCACAGGGCCAAACTAATGGCCAAAGTTGTTTAACACCTGTCCTGCAATCCAGAGTCCATACCCTGAACCACCCTTTGTATCTAATTCTCAGACATCAAGACAATATTTTCTTTTCCCTAAATCAACCCAGGGTCAGGTACCAGACAACTAGGGACAGCCTCTATGCCACAAAGCCCACTGGAATTCTTCTAACCGGCTAATCCTAAACTGTTTCCTTTGCCCTGCCTTGCCTTTCCCATGGAAAACACAACATAGGCTCTGGGCCGGGCTGTCCCCTGGCTCACTCTGCCTCTTGACCTACTTTGGTGCTTCCCCATGTGGCCCTCTATTGCATACCCCCTTCTCCTGGGAAACACAAATAATAAGTTCTTCTTTCAAAGACAGTTGTCTGTGTGTCTGTCACCTTACCACACCTAATTAAGACAAATCCCAGGTGCACATTTTAGAGCAACTTCCTGACTCATTGAATGGGGCCAGCTTTACCCTAATACCAAAGCCAGAGAAAGGCATTATAAGAAAGGAAAACTACAGATCAATATCTCTCATGAACATAGATGTGAAAATCCTCAACAAAACATTAGAAAATCAAATCCAACAATGTATAAAAAGAATTATACACCATGACTAAGTGGGATTTACTCCAGGTATGCAAGGCTGGTTCAACATTCAAAATAAATTAATGTAACTCATCACATCAACAGAATAAAAAGAAAAATCATATGATCATATCAATTGATGCAGAAAAATGCATTTGACAAAACCCGACATTCATTCATGTTAAATGAACAACCACTCTCAGAAAACTAGGAATAGTGGGAAACTTCCTCAAGTTGATAAAATCTACCAAAAAAACCAGTTAACATCATACATAGTGGTAACAAGCTACATGCTTTCCCCCTAAATTCAAGAACAAGAAAATTACATCCACTCTCAACACTCCTATTAAACATCACACTGAAAATCCTAACTTATGCAATAAAATATGAAGACAAAAAAAATTTTAAAGGCCAGGTGCAGGTGGTTCATGCCTTTCATCCCAGCACTTTGGGAGGTCGAGGTGGGAGGATCTTTTGAGCCCAGGAGTTCAAAAACAGCCAGGGCAACATACTGAGACCCTGTCTCTATGAAAACAGAAAAATGATCTGGGCATGGTGGTGTGCACCTGTAGTCCCAGTTACTTGGGAGGCTGATGTGGGAGGATCCCTTGAACCTGGGAAGCAGAGGTTGCAGTGGGATCAAGCCACTGCACTCCAGCCTGGGCAACAGAGCAAGACTGTGACTCAAAAAAAAAAAAAAGAAAGAAAAAAAGAAAAGAAACATTAGCTGGGCATGATGGTGTGCACCTATAGTCCCAGCTACTGGAAAGGCAGAAGTGGGAGGATTACTTGATGCCAGGAAGTCAAGGCTGCAGTGAGCCATGATCATGCCACTGCACTCCGGCCTGGGTGACAGAGCAAGACCCTGTCAAATAAAATAAATAAATAAATAAATAAAAAGAAGAAGAAGTAGGGGGCAGGTATAAGCGTTGGTAAGGAAAAAAAACCTGTCTTTCCTCACAGATGGCATTAATGTCTCTGTGCCCAAAAAATCAACAAGAACCTTCTAATGCTAATAAGCCTTATAGCAAGGTTGCAGAATCCATTGGTCACAGGGCCAATATGCAACAGTCAATTGCTTTCCTAAACACTAGCATGAACCATTGCAATTTGAAATTTATTTTTATTTTTTACTTATTTACTTTTTGAGACAGAGTCTCACTCTGTCACCCATGCTGGAGCACAGTAGCCCAATCTGGGCTGAATGCAACCTCCACCTCCTGGGTTCAACCGATTCTCATGCCTCAGCCTCCAGGTAGCTGGGACTACAGGTGCCCACCACCACACCCAGCTAATTTTTTGTATTTTTAGTAAAGATGGAGTTTCACCATGTTGGCCAGGCTGGTCTCGAACTCCTGACCTCAGGTGATCTGCCCACCCTGGCTTCCCAAAGTGCTGGGATTACAGGCGTGAGCCACAGTACCCGGCCACAGTTTGAAATTTAAAACACAATACAATTTATATTAACACCAAAATAGAAGAAAGAAATATTTTGGAATAAACCTATAAAAATAAAAGGAGAAATATTCCATGTTCACGAATGAGAAGTTTCAATATTATTAAGATGACAATTCTGCCCAACCTGATCTGTAGACTCAAGGCCATCCCAATTAAAAAAAACAAAAAGGCTGGCAAGTTATTTTGTGGATCTCTACAAACTGATTCTAAAGTTTACATGGAAAGGCAAAAGACCCAGAATAACCAACACAATACTGAAGAGAAAGAACAAAGTCAGAGGTCTGACACTATTCAATTTCAAGACTTACTATAAAGCTACAATAATCAAGGCAGTATGGTATTTGCAAAAGAATAGACAAATAAATTAATGGAACAGAATACAGAGCCTTGAAATAGATACACACAAATACAGCCATCTGATCCTTGACAAAGGAGCAACGGCAATACATTGAGAAAAGACAGTCTTTTTAACAAAGAGTTAGGAACAATTAGATGTACATAGGCAAAAAAAAAAAAAAAGAGAGAGAGAGAGAGAATCTAGGTCAGGCACGGAGGCTCATGCCTGTAATCCTAGCACTTTGGGAGGCTGAGGCAGGCAGATCACCTGAGGTAGGGAGTTCAAGACCAGCCTGACCAACATGGAGAAACCCCGTCTCTACTAAAAATGCAAAATTAGCCAGGTGTGGTGGCACATGCCTGTAAACCCAGCGACTCGGGAGGCTGAGGCAGGAGAATTGCTTCAACCTGGGAAGCAGAGGTTGTAGTGAACCAAAATCGCACCATTGCACTCCAGCCTGGGTGACAAGTGAAACTCCATCTCAATTAAAAAAAAAAAAAAAAAAGGAATCTAAACACAGGCCTTACACCTTTCACAAAAATTAACTCAAAATGGATCATAGACCTAAATGGAAAATGGAAAACTATGAAACTTCTAGAAGATAACAAGCCAGGTATAGTGGCTCACACCTGTAATCCCAGCATTTTGGGAGGCTAATGCAGGCAGATTGCTTGAGCTCAGGAGTTCGAGACCAGCCTAGGCAAAACCCCACCTCTACAAAAAATACAAAACTTAGCCAGGTGTAGTGGCACGTGCCTGTAGTCCCAGCTACTCAAGAGGCTGAGGCAGGAGGATACCGTGACTCTGGGAGGTTGAAGCTGCTGTGAGCTAAGATCGTCCCACTGCACTCTAGCCTGAGCAACAGAGCACGACCCTGTCACAAAAAAGAAGAAAAAAAGTCAACTTTAATTTAAACTATGGACCTTAGCTAATAATGTGTTCATATTGGCTTATTAATTGTAATTAATGTACCACACTAATGCAAGATGTTAATAATAGGAGAAACAGTGAGAGGAAAATATATGGGAACTTCCTTTACTATCTGTTCAATTTTTCTATAAATTTTCTATAAATTCAATTTTCTATAAAGGTGGGCTGGGCACGGTGGCTCATGCCTGTAATCCCAGCACTTAGGGAGGTCAAGGCAGGCGGATCACCTGAGGTCAGGAGTTCAAGACCAGCCTGGCCAACATGGTGAAACCCTGTCTCTACTGAAAATACAAAAATTAGCTGGGCATGGTGGTGCACACCTGTAGTCTCAGCTACTCAGGAGGCTGATGCAGGAGAATTGCTTGAACCTGGGAGGTGGAGGTTGCCGTGAGCCCAGATTGCACCACTGCACTCCAGCCTGGGCGACAGGGTGCGACTCCATCTCAAAAAAAATTAAAATAAAAATAAAGGTGTTCTAAAAGTAGTCTTTTTTTTTTCTTTTTAAAAATATTATGCTTAGGCTAGGTGCAGTGGCTCACGCCTGTAATCCCAGCACTTTGGGAGGCCAAAGCGGGCGGATCACCTGAGGTTGGGAGTTCGAGACCATCCTCACCAACATGGAGAAACCCTGTCTCTACTAAAAATACAAAATCAGCCAGGCATGGTGGCACATGCCTGTAATCCCAGCTACTCGGGAGGCTGAGGCAGGAGAATCGCTTGAACCTGGGAAGCAGAGGTTGCGATGAGCCAAAATTGCACCATTGCACTCCAGCCTGGGTGACAAGAGCGAAACTCCATCTATAAACAAATAAATAAATAGTATCCTTAAACCGATGAATAATATTTTGATGTAAGTGTTTATATGTGTTTTTCCCTGGTATTTTCTGCTACCCCATGATCTTCCCTACCCAGGCAGTTATATCAAGAGTCCCCTCTTGACTCATGGATGGGTGATTACAGAGGATCAGAGATCAAAAATGTCTGAGGCTTAACCAGAATTGGTGGTGCGTGCCTGTAGTCACAGCTACTCTGGAGGCTGAGGCGGGAAGATTGCATGAGCCCAGGAGTTTGAGACCAGTCTCGTCAACACAGTGAGACCCCCATCTCAAAAAACAAAACAGGCCAGGTGGGGTGGCTCATGCTTGTAATCCCAGCACTCTGGGAGGCTGAGGCGGGTGGATCATTTGAGGCCAAGAGTTCGATACCAGCTTGGCCAACATGGTGAAACCCCATCTCTACTAAAAATACAAAAATTAGCTGGGTGTGATGGCGCGCTACCTGCAATCCCAGCTACTCAGGAGACTGAGGCACAAGAATCACTTAAATCCAGGGGGTGGAGGTTGCATTGAACCAAGATGATGCCACTGTGCTCCAGCGTGGGCAACAGAGAAAGACTCTATCTCAAAAAAAAAAAAAAAGTCTGGGCGTGGTGACTCATGCCTATAATCCCAGCACTTTGGGAGGCTGAGGTGGGAGGATCACTTGAGCCCAGGAGTTCAAGACCAGTTTGGGCAACATAGGGAGATCCTATCTCTATAAAAAATGAAAAAATTCACCGGCTGTGATCGTATGCGCCTGTGGTCCCAGCTACTCAGGAAACTGAAATGGGAGGATCGCCTGAACTCAGGAGGTAGAAGCTGCAGTGAGCTGTGGTCACACCACTGCACTCTAGCCTGGGTAACAGAGTGAGACCCTGTCTCAAAAGACAAACAAAATGCCTGAGTCTTGACGTTGAGACTTCCAAAATCTAAAAATGATTTAGAAGATACTCATTCAGACTGGGTAGTTTTCCTTTTGGGGAGGAAGAAAAAAAGATGTCCTGGGCTAGGCCGGGCGTGGTGGCTGTAACCCCAGCACTTTGGGAAGCCAAGGCAGGTGGATCACGAGGTCAGGAGTTGGAGACCAGCCTGGCCAACATGGTGAAACCCCATCTCTACTAAAAATACACAAATTAGCCAGATGTGGTGGCATGTGCCTGTAGTCCCAGCTACTCGGGAGGCTGAGGCAGGAGAATCGCTTGAACCTGGGAGGTGGAGGTTGCAGTGAGCCGAGATTAAGCCATTGCACTCCAGTCTGGGCAACAAAAACGAAACTCCATCTCGAAAAAAAAAAAACAGATGACCTTAATTTCAATGTGCAATGTCCAGTAGTCTTCCATGTTGTTTTCAGTACAACCTCTTCAACTTGCGTATAAAAGGAGGTTAGACAAGACACATCTGCTGGTCTAATCTCCATCTTGATCTGGAAAGGGTTTATGGTGGTTTACAAGTTTATAACAAGACAGAAATTAAAACGGAGGCAAAAGGGCTTGGGCCCAGTGGCTCACACCTATAATCTCGGCACTTTGGGGGTGCTGAGGTGGGTAGATCACCTGAGGTCAGCAGTTCAAGACTAGCTTGGCCAACATGGTAAAACTCCATCTCTACAAAAATACAAAAATTAGCCTGGCGTGGTGGTGGGTGCCTGTAATCGTACCTACTCGGGAGGCCAAGGCAGGAGAATCACTTGAACCTGGGAGGCAGAGGTTGCAGTGAGCTGAGATTGCGCCATTGTCCTCCAGTCTGGGCAACAGAGCAAGACTCAGTAAAAAAAGGAAAAAAAAAAAAACTGAGACAAAAGTAAAGAAAAAGTCAAGCCAGGAATAGGGATTAAAAATTCAGAGCTTAGGCTGGGTGCAGTGGCTCACGCCTGTAATCTCAGCACTTTGGGAGGTCCAGGCGGGCAGATCACGAGGTCAGGAGTTCGAGACCAGCCTGGCCAACATGGTGAAACCCCGTCTCTACTAAAAATACAAAAATTAGCTGGGCGCAGTGGCCTGTGCTTGTAGTCCCAGCCACTCGGGAGGCTGAGGTAGGAGAATCGCTTGAACCCAGGAGGAGGAGGCTGTGCAGTGAGCCAAGATCACACCACTGCACTCCAGCCTGAGTGACAGACTCCGTCTCAAAAAAAAAAAAAAAAAAAATTTAGAGTTTAGCCAGACACAGTGGCTCACACCTGTAATCCCAGCATTTTGGGAGGCTGAGGCCGGTAGATCGCCTGAAGTCAGGAGTTCGAGAACAGCCTGGGCAACATAGTGTAACCCCATCTCTACTAAAAATACAAAAAATTAGCTGGGCGTGGTGGTGGGCCCCTGTAATCCCAGCTACTTGGGAGGCTGAGGGAGGAAAATCACTTGAACCCGGGAGGCAGAGGTTGCAGTGAGCCGAGATCGCACCATTGCACTCCAGCCTGGGCAACAAGAGTGAAACTCCATCTCAAAAAGAAAAAAGAAAAAAAGAAAAAAAAAATTCAGAGCTTAAAGAATTCAATGCTTGCCAGAGCTGGGCCGTATATTTGACTCAAAGTTTCCTAGCAGCCTGTGTGAAAAGGGAAATCTGATTAGTTATGCAGTTTACAATAACTATGTGATAAAGGCAAACTCTTGGCCGGGCATGGTGACTCACACCTGTAATCCCAGCACTTTGGGAGGTCCATGTGAGAGTCCAAGAGTTCAAGACCAGCTTGGGCAACATAGTAAGACCCCACCTCTACAAAAAATTTTAAAAATTAGCAGGGTGTGGTGGCACACGCCTGTGGTCAGCTACTCAGGAGGCTGAAGTGGGAGGATGCCTCATGAGCTGTGGTCACACCACTGCACTCCAGCCTGGGAGACAGAATGAGACCCTGTCTCAAAGAAAAAAAAAAAAAGGCACACTCCTGAATCTAAAGAAGTACAACTCTTTTTTATATAAGACCAGAAAAAAAATAATAAAACTCTATCCTGGAGTTTCTTATAAAGATGACACGTGTGATTTATTACTCATTTAAAAAGTGAAACCAGAGGAGAAACATCCTGAGGTAAGACTTTAACTGAACCCTTATGTGGTATAACAGACCTTATTTTTCATTTCATCACGCTACATGCTAAGTTAGAAACAAGTTCCCATGCATGTTAGGGTACATTTATATTTATGCCACAGTGTCAGAGTCTACACAGTTATTTTTTTCTTTTTTTTTTTTTTTTTTTGAGACGGAGTTTCACTCTTGTTGCCCAGGCTGGAGTGCAATGGCACAATCTCGGCTCACTGTAACCTCCTCCTCCCGGGTTCAAGCAATTCTTTTGCCTCAGCCTACTGAGTAGGGATGCCCGCCACCATGCCCAGCTAATTTTTGCATTTTTAGTAGAGATGGGGGTTTCACCGTGTTAGCCAGGCTGGTCTCAAACTCCTGACCTCAGGTGATCCGCCCACCTCGGCCTCCCAAAGTGCTGGGATTACAGGCATGAGCCACCTCACCCAGCCGTGTCCACAGTTTTCTAGTTTGCTGAGCTGCGGACCCACCAGCAGGTCTGCAGGGAAGGGATGTTCCTGGTAGAGCTCCTTAGGCCTCCCTCAGATCCATGGGATGCACTGGGACTGTTCCTTTAGCTACACAGATACATGACCATGTTCATCCTCTGCAGTTATTTAGTTATTACCCCAATCTTTCAGTGAAGTCTCTGCTAGACAAATGGAGTTGTAAGGTGACCTTGGTGTGACGGCAGGGGTAGTGATTATGATGGTGGTGATGTGAAAGGGTAGTGGTGAAAGTGAAGGGGATGAGGGTAGGGGTGGGGGGTGGTTACTTAAGGCTGCAGTCTGCAGTCTACTGCCGTGGCTGCTGAGAACAGTCTCTATTTGTCTGCCGTCAGTCTATCCAGATCCTTCTACCTGGGGGAAGATCTGGACTGGCCAAGCCTGGTCACATGGCAGCAACCAGGTTGCAACCAACAAAATTTCCTCTCTGGAGGGAAAATTAATCTAGATTTAGAAACTGCCAAGAGCTGGGTTTCTCAAGCCACCTTGGCCTTGAACTTCCTCCAAGGGCGGTCATCAGCAAGGGTGTAAGAGGTACTTGGGAGCCTGCAGTTGGTGGAGCTGAGATGGGTGTGGAGACCCCGCCTTTGTGATGGCCTGCAGGTTTCAGTTTTAAGCACGTGGCTTTAAAGGGGACTTTCCCCACCAGAGGAGGAAGAACTGACAATTGGAACAGCCCCTGAGCTTAACAAACTTTGCTGAAAGCAGCTACAATTGTCAAGCAATAAAGACTGAGATGGTAGAGTGTCCACACAGCTGCCGGCCGCTAGAGCCAAGACTGAAATCCAGAACCTTAGCCTGACCAAACCGGGAGTTCGTGAAAGCACAAAGCCTTCTGTGGGAAGGAGAAGGGAAATGAAAGCTAATATTAGGCTAAGCAGTTGTTGATAACGTTAAAAGTTTATGCCAAGTCAATGTGAAGAAAGAAATGACCAAAGATGGGCTTTCTGGTGGAGGAGATAAAGGATCATTGAGATGAAATGAGACCAGCATACCTTCCCTGAGATGCAAATTGCCCTCACCCCCCAATCTCAGCTAGGGAGACTGGGGGAGGGAGCTCTTTAAAAAATCAGGCCAGGCACAGTGGCTTGCTCCTGTAATCTCAGCACTTTGGGAGGCCTAGGTGGGCGGATCACTTGAAGTTAGGAGTTTGAGACCAGCCTGGCCAACATGGTGAAACCCTGTCTCTACTAAGAATACAAAAATTAGCAGGGTGTGGTGGCGCATACCTGAAATCCCAGCCTGTGCAACATGGCGAAACCCCGTCTCTACTAAAAATAGAAAAATTAGCCAGGCACCTATAATCCCAGCTACTTGGGAGGCTGAGGCATAAGAATCACTTGAACCCAGGAGGCGGAGCTTGCAGTGAGCCGAGATGGCACCACTGCACTCCAGCCTAGGCAACAGAGCGAGACTCCGTCTCAAAAAAATAATAAATAAGTAAATAAATAAACAAAACATAATAAGTTCAAAATTCCAATGGTAAAAAGAATACACAGTGGAGTTTCCCACTCTGGGACACCCAGTTCCCTTCCCCAGAGGATCTACTGGTTTCTTTTGTTTCCTTCCAGAGCTAGTTTATACATATACAAATTATATGAGTGTGTATGCATATATATACTTTTTTCCTTTTTTTCCTACAAAAGGCAGCATATTATTAATATAACAGGGTTCAGATACATGCTTTTTCATATATCAGGATATCTTGGAATGATCCAGATCAGTACCTAAAGAGGTTCCTCTTTTTTTTATAGTTGCATAGTATTTCTTTATGCAGTTGCACCATCATTGTTATTTATGTTGAGCACAGAGGTTACTTCCAGTCTTAGTTATTACCAACAGTGCTGCCATG
The DNA here is from genome assembly GCF_000001405.40 of Homo sapiens. Lineage (NCBI taxonomy): Eukaryota > Metazoa > Chordata > Mammalia > Primates > Hominidae > Homo > Homo sapiens. Next base: position 84,941,069 of record NC_000002.12, read on the forward strand.
CAACACCTTATACAAATGTAATTTCATACACATGCAAGGAAAGAAGCAGTCCTAGAAGAGAAAATGGTGGCAAAATTTTGTTAGTTATTGCCAAATTGCCCTCCATAAAATTTACACCAACTTTACCCTCCCATTTGCAATACAGGGCGGTGCTCCAGGTGTGAATGGAGACGACTTCGAGCTCACTGTGCTGAGAAACTGCTTTTCAGAGGGCTTCTACAGAGCCCACAGGTGAGTGAGCCCCTGGAGGAGGGGGCAGCTCTCTCCTTCCAAAGCTCTTCCTTTATACCTTTCTCATCTGAAGTTATGAAATTCACCATGGTCATTTGTTTAGTCACTCTCCCCACTCTGGCTGTGAACTTCTTAGGAGCTAAGATTTGGCTTTATTGGCCAGTGTGGTGGCTCACGCTGTAATCCCAGCACTTTAGAAAGCCGAGGTGGGTGGATTGCTTGGGCTCAGGAGTTGGAGACCAGCCTGGGCAACATGGCAAAACCCCATCTCCACAAAAAATATAAAAATTAGTCAGGTGTGGTGGCTCACACCTGTAGTGCCAGCTACTCGGAAGGCTGAGGCAGGAGGATCACTTGAGCCCAGGAGGCTGGGGTTGCAGTGAGCCAAGATCGTACCACTGCACTCCAGCCTGGGTGACAGAGGGAGACCATGTCTCAAGAAAAACAAAAACAAAAACAAAAGATTAGGCCTTTATTCACCTTTACACCTGTAGTGTCTGGCCCAGAGCTCTTAGATGATCAACAAGGGTTTTATTAGATGAGTGAAAAAAATTAATAAATTGGGCCAGGTGTGGTGGCTCACGCCAGTAATCCTAGCACTTTGGGAGGCCAAGTTGAGACAATCATCTGAAGTCAGGAGTTCAAGACCAGCCTGGCCAACATGGCAAAATCCTGTCTTTACTAAAAATACAAAAATTAGCCAGGTGTGGTGGTGCGTGCCTGTAATCCTAGCTACTTGGGAGGCTGAGACAGGACAATCTCTGGAACCCGGGAGGCGGAGGTTGCAGTGAGCTGAGATCATGCCACTGCACTCCAGCCTGGGCCACAGATTGAGACTCCGTCTCAAGGAAAAAAAAAATGATAAATTGGGCTTCTAGGTTCAATCTCAGGAAAACAACTGGAAACTATATACTGTAAGGACTAAGGCTATAATCACCTTAAGAGATTTCATGACTCTGCAACTTCCCCATGTGTGGGATTTTTGTCTTCTCACCTGTATTTCCCTAGACAGACTAGTAATTAAACATCTAAAACAAAAAGGGTCAGTGCCCTGTAAGCGTGTAGAGTATCCTGACTCAGCCAGCAGGTATCTTCCGCTCACTGGGCCCACACTGGCCACAAGGCCAGGACATAGCTTCTGTCTCAGAATCCTAGTCATGGCTCTGTGGTGCCATCTTTTTAGAAGTAGAAGTATTTCTTGAGGGCTACAATGTGCCAGGCACTGGACTGGTGGTCTGAGCTCCATCTGCATAGGGGAGGGATTTCAGAGCATTGCCCCTTAAAGTGAATACTTGTTGCTTGTTCCCCACCCCTCTTTCTCCAGCACAAGACCCTGCTGCAGGTTCCTGACCTCAGAGATCCATTCAGGGGCCAGCAAATGACCCTACTGGCCCCATCAGAGTGACTCTCAGCACTGCTGCAGGCACCTGTGGATAAAAGGCTTGCCCTTTTTGGCTTGACTTGATCTGGAAAGGAATGAGTTGGAACTACTATTACCATTTTTTTTTTAGATGGAGTCTCGCTCTGTTGCCCAGGCTGGAATGCAGTGGTGTGATCTCAGCTCACCAACCTCTGCCTCCCGGGCTCAAGCGATTCTGGTGCCTCAGCCTCCTGAGTAGCTGGGATTACAGGCGTCCACCACCACGCCCGGCTAATTTTTGTATTTTTAGTAGGAGATGGGGCTTTACCACGTTGGCCAGACTGGTCTTGAACTGCTGACCTCAAGTGATCAGCCTGCCTCGGCCTCCTAAAGTGCTGGGATTACAGGCGTGAGCCACTGCACCTGGCCTACTATCACCATTTTTTGCCACCACACAGAGAACCCCCCCAAGAATAGAGCTGAGAGATAGGAAGTGAGACTGAATCATCAGGGAGTGAAATCAAGGGCCTTGCCACATTTACATCCCTAGATCCAGTCATGCCTAAAGTGAGGCTTTCAGTTACATGTGAGAAAGAGCTCTAGCATATATTCTCTGTTCTCTCTGACTATAGAAGATCAGTCACATGACAAATTTTATTTCACAAAGCTGCTGGAGGCCTGAGCTATAGGTCTGCATACAGGTAAGAGGCCCCCCGATGAAGACTGAGAGGAAAGATCCATAGATACATGGGTGAAACAAGGTCAATAAAAGGCATTCTGCCTCCACTGAGATACAACAGGTATGTAAACATATGGGAGAGAAAGGGAAATGGGTCAGTCAGAAGCCAAGCCAAGCTGGGGTTGTCAACTTGGTCCAGGAGTGGGAATGAATGTGCCAGTCCCCCCCAATTACCAGGAGACATAATAAATGATTGTTAAAGGCTGGGTGCGGTGGCTCTTGCCTGTAATCCCAGCACTTTGGGAGGCCAAGGCGGGTGAATCACCTGAGGTCAGGAGTTTGAGACCAGCCTGGCTAACAGGGTAAAAGCCCGTCTCTACTAAAAATATGAAAAAGTAGTGGGGTTTGGTGGTGCTCGCCTGTAATCCCAGCTACTCGGGAGGCTGAGGCAGGAGAATCGCTTGAACCTGGGAGAAGGAGGGGTTACAGTGAGCCGAGATTGCGCCACTGCCCTCCAGCCTGGGTGACAGAGCAAGACTCTCTCAAAAAATAAATAAATAAATAAATAAATAATTGTTGTTGTTTGTGTCACCGACACAGTAGATAACTGAAACTATCTTCCTTCCCATATCTGCTCCTCTTCTTTTTTTTTTTTCTTTTTCTGAGTCGGAGTTTCATTTTTATTGCCCAGGCTAGAGTGCAATGGCCCAGTCTCAGCTCACCACAACCTCCCGGGTTCAAGCGATTCTAGTGCCTCAGCCTCCTGAGTAGCTGGGACTACAGGCATGCGCCACAATGCCCAGCTAATTTTAGTAGCGACAGGGTTTCTCCATGTTGGTCAGGCTGGTCTTGAACTCCCAACCTCAGGTGATCCACCTGCCTCAGCCTCCCAAAGTGCTGGGATTACAGGCGTGAGCCTCTGCGCCCGGCATCTGCTCCTCTTCTCATATCTCCCATGTTGGCTAATGGCACCAGCACCTCCTGTGGTAAATATGTATTCTGTCTTTGTCCTCAGTCTTTGCACGCAGCTCCTATAACCCTTGGAATCCCTGGAATGATATCTTTTGTGTGCTAATAAGGTGCCTGGTGGCTGGGGGTCCCCGACATAGCTTGAGGATGGGGGCTGGTCACCAGAGAGACCAAGGCATGACAGAATTGGAACTTTCAGCTCATCCCCAGACCTCCAGGAAGGAAAAGGGGCTGGTGATTGAGTCAATCAGCATTGGTCAATGATTTCATCAATTGTGCCTGTGTAATGAAACCTCCATAAAAACCCCTAAATGATGAGATTCGGGGAGCTTCCAGTTGGTGAACACACTGAAGTGCTAGGAGGGCGGCCTGCCCAGAGGAGACATAGAAGCCCTGCGTGCCCCTCCAATACCATGCCCTATGCTTCCACCTGGCTGTCTCTGAGCATATGTCCTTGATCATAAAGTGGTAAGCCTAACGAAAGTGTTTCCGAGTTCTGTGAGCCATTCTGGCAAATTATTGAACATGAAGAGGGGGTTGTGGTAACCTAGGACTTCTATAGCTGGTTGGTTAGAAATACAGATGGTAACCTGGTACCAGCAACCGACATCTGAAATCAGGGCAGTCTTGCGGGATGGAGCTCTTTGGTGGCATTGACACTAATTCTAGGTAGATAATGTCAGAATGGAATTGATTTGTTGGATACCCAATTGGTATCTGGAGAGTTGAATAACTGGTCAGTATAAGAAAAAACTCACACATTTGGTGGCAGAAGTATTGTGAATAAAAACAGTTCAGAGCTCCCCTACTCCCAAACCAGAAAACCTGGAGTCATCTTCGATGCCACCCTCTCACCACCCACCCTCTGCACTATCCCTGCCAATCACTTGCCAAGTTACCCTGATTCCACCTCCAAATACCTCTCTCATCTCCCGTCTTCACTTTTCATTCATCATTTACTCATTCAATCACAAATATTTGCTCTTATCTTCTCTGTGCCAGGCTTTGTGATAGGCATTGGAGTCAGAAGAATGAATGAGACCTGGTAGGAAAATCACAATCTAGTGGTAAAACAAAAACCAGAACACAATCATAAAGCAATGGGATTCACACTCAGAAATGCATAGAGCTGCTGGGCGTGGTGGCTCATGCCTGTAATCCCATCACTTTGGGAGGCCGAGGTGGGCGGATCATGAGGTCAGGGGTTCGAGACCAGCCTGACCAACATGGTGAAACCCTGTCTCTACTAAAAATACAAAATTAGCTGGGCGTGGTGGCACATGCCTGTAATCCTGGCTACTCAGGAGGCTAAAGCAGGAGAATCACTTGAACCTGGGAGGCAGAGATTGCAGCAAGCCGAGATCGCACTACTGCACTCCAGCTTGGATGACACAGTGAGACTCTGTCTCAAAAAAAAAAAAAAAAAAAAGAAAAGAAAAGAAAAGAAATGCACAGAGCATCATAGAGTCCAGGGCAGGGGTCCCTGACCAAGCTCGGGAATGGTGGGGGATGGGGTGGGGACATCAGTGGAGTTTTTTGGGGTTTTTTGTTTTGCTTTGTTTGAGACAGGGTCTTGCTCCGTCACCCAGGCTGGAGTGCAGTGGTGTGATCATAGTTCACTGCAACCTTGAACTCCTGGGCTCAAGGGATCCCCCGGCCTCAGCCTCCTGAGTAGCTGGGATTACAGGCATGAGCCACCACACCCAGTCAATAGACTTTTCTTGATGTGGGTGACACCCAAGCTTTAAGTTTGAAGACTAAAGGAGAGCTGGCACACCAACAGTATACGAGGGGAGGGGAGGGGAGAGGGGAGGGGAGAGGAGGGGAGAGGGGAGGTGAGAGGGGAAGGGAGGGGAGGGAGGAGGGGAGGGGAGGGGAGGGGAGAGGACACAGCAGGCTGGTAGGGCAGCTTTGAATATGGCTCAGAGGCGAGGCGAGCAAGGTCTGAATCACTTCTGCTCCAAGTCCAGGCCCACATTACTTCTTATACGGACAAGAGGCCAGTAACTGCTCTACCCACACATTCTCCTCCCCTACCATCAGAAAAATCTCCCTAAAGCTCAAATTTGACTTCCTGTCTCCCCTGCTTGCTACCCTCTGCTGGTTCCCCTTTCTGATCTGTGGTGTCTCAGCTCCACCTCTGTTCATAAACTTCATATGGTGCCTTCAAAAGTATTTCCGTCTCTGGACCTTCATCCCTGCACTACTGTCTGCCTGGAATTTCCTGCCCTGCCTTGGTTGATGAGGTGGACTCCTATTCATACTTCAGAGTGACTCAGATGTGACTTGTTCCACAAAGTCCCCACCCACTTGCACTCACCTCCGTGGTGCACGTATTCCAGGGCCGTGAGCTTCACCTCTCTGCACGTCTCCCTCCTGCTACAGCTGTGAGGGTGCAGACCTCCTCTGCTGGCACCAGGGCCCGGCCTGCAGTGGGCCTTTGGCAAATGAGGAACTAGGGCTACCGGTAGGTGAAAATGCAGCTAATGCCCAGGAAGCTAGAAGCTGTTGGAACATTTCTGAGACCCTTTAGACCTGGAAATAGCTCTATGTTAGAGGGTTGCTGATAGAGAAGGCTGGAAGTGAGGTCCCTCTGTCCCCAGCTCGCCTCAGACCCTGGTTCCAGATACAGTTGCATGTGTTTCCAACCAAGACTCTGACCTGGCTCCTCAACCAAACCTCCCCTGCGTCCATGGATCTATCTGAACTCCCATTTATAATCGTAAGAGGCTGTGGGTTAGAGGCGCTGTGCTAATGATGGCTGTATGGTTATTATGATTGTGAAGTTGTTATATTTTACATAGAATACAAGTTTATGTACATTACGATTAAGACTAGTAAAGCTCTTTGGAACTTTAAAAACAAATCCCAGTCAGGCGTGATGGCTCACGCCTGTAATCCTAGCTCTTTGGGAGTCCAAGGCAGGAGGACTGGTTAAGCCCAATTCTCCAGGAGTTTGAGACCAGCCTGGGCAACATAGTAGGACCCCATCTCTACAAAAAAATAAAAATCAAAAAATTAGCCAGACGTGGTGGCATGCACCTTTAGTCCCAGCTACTCGGGAGGCTGAGGCAGGAGGACTGTTTGAGCCCAGGAGGTGGAACCTACGGTGAGCCATGATCTCACCACTGCACTCCAGCCTGGGCAACAGAGTGAGACCCTGTCTCAAAAAAACGAAACAAAACAAATCTCAATTCAATTACATTTAATTATTTCAAAAACCAAGCTCTCTCATTGTACAACATTCAAACAATAACGTAAGAAAAAGTGCCTATGGGTCCCAAATTGGTGTGACTCCTGTGTCCTGTCAGCCTATAGAAACACAAGTGTCTGTGTGTGTAACTTTGACCCCTTCTCCTCCCCCTCCAAAAAATGTACATGCATATATATATATATACTTTTTGTTTTGTTTTTGTTGTTTTTTGTTTTTGATATTAGTAGAGACAAGGTCTCACTATGTTGCCCAGGCTGGTCACAAACTCCTGGGCTCATGCGATCCTCTCACCTTGGCCTCACAAAGTACCGGGGTTATAGGCGTGAGCCACCATGCTCAGCCTATACATTCTTATTCTTTTTTTTCTTTCTTTTTTTTTTTTTTTTTGAGACAGAGTCTTGCTCTGTCACCCAGGCTGGAGATCAGGCCATTGCCTGATCTCGGCTCACTGCAACCTCCACCTCCTGGGTTCAAGCGATTCTCCTGCCTCGGCCTCTCGAGTAGCTGGGATTACAGGCATGTACCACCACACCAAGCTAATTTTGTATTTTTAGTAGAGACGGGGTTTCACCATGTTGGTCAGGCTGGTCTTGAACTCCTGACCTCAGGTGATCCACCCACCTCAGCCTCCCAAAGTGTTAGGGTTACAGGCGTGAGCCACCATGCCCAGCTATATATATATTTTTTGTTTGGTTGGTTTTGTTTTGTTTTGTTTTTTGAGGCAGAGTCTCGCTCTGTCACCCAGGCTGAAGTGAAGTGGCACGATCTCGGCTCACTGCAACCTCCGCCTCCCAGGTTCAAGCGATTCTCCTGCCTCAGCCTCTCGAGTAGCTGGGATTACAGAAGCGCACCACCACGGCTGGCTAATTTTTTGGTATTTTTTAGTAGAGACAGGTTTTCACCATGTTGGTCAGGCTGGTCTTGAACCCCTGACCTCAAGTGATCCGCCCGCTTCAGCCTCCCAAAGTGCTGGGATTACAGGCGTGAGCCACCACACCTGGCCTTATATTCTTTTTAAAAAAAAAAAAAAACAAAACAAAAACAAAAAGAAAAAAAACACCTGATGGGGTCAGGTGTGATGGCTCACACCTGTAATCCCAGCACTTTGGGAGGCCGAGGTGGGCGGATCACTTGAGGTTAGGAGTTAGAGACCAGCCTGGCCAACATATAGTGAAACCCCATCTCTACTAAAAATACAAAAATTAGCTGGGTGTAGTGGCGCACGCCTGTAATCCCAGCTACTCAGGAGGCTGTCTGGAAAATCACTTGAACCTGGGAGGCGGAGGTTGCAGTGAGCTGAGATCACGCCATTGCACTCCAGCCTGGGCAACAAGAGCGAGACTCCATCTCAACAAAACAAAACAAAAAAACAACTTGATGGATATCTTTGTCAGTACATATAATTCTATTTGGTTCTTTTTAATGGTCACATAGTAAGACTTATTATATTAGGGTCAGCAAAGTATGGCCTCTAGACCAAATATGGCCCAGCACCTAAAAGAAGTTGTATGGGAACATAGCCATGCCTATTCCTTTCCATAGAGTCTCAGCCTGCTTTTGCACTATAGTAGCAGAATTGAAAGGTTGCATCAGAGACTGTGGCCTACAATGCCCGGAGAGTTTACTATCTAGCTCGTTACAGAAAAAGTATGCCAACCTGTGCAATATATGGCTGTATCATGCTTTATTTAGCCAGTCCCTGTTAATAACATTTAAATTGTTTCCATTTGTTCAGCATTAGCAAACAATCTCAAAATTAACACTTTCGTTTTCAACATTTACATAAGTTGGTTGGGCGCCGGTGGCTCACGCCTGTAATCCCAGCACTTTGGGAAGCTGAGGCGGGCAGATCACGAGGTCAAGAGATCAAGACCATCCTGGCCAACATTGTGAAACCCCATCTCTACTAAAAATACAAAAATTAGCTGGCCCTGGTGGTGCGCGCCTGTAATCCAAGCTACTCGGGTGGCTGAGGCAGGAGAATCGCTTGAACCTGGGAGGCAGAGGTTGCAGTGAGCCGAGATCACGCCACTGCACTCCAGCCTGGGTGACAGTGCGAGACTCTGTCTCAAAAAAAAAAAAAAAGAAAAAAAAACATTTACATCAGTTGATGGCCACCACGGCTATCAGTGAGTGAGAACATTAGTAAGTGTGAACCCAATGTATCCGTACAGAAATGTTTCCTTTAAGAGTGGACCCTCACATTAATAGACATTGTGGCTCCAGGGGCAACTTTGGAAATAGGAGCAATTGCCAAAGTTGCCAAGGCAAAGGGCTGTACAGAAAAATCTCATTTTCATAATAAAGAACCAGAACACTCACCAAAGAGCATCAAAGCAGGCTTCAGGATCCAGGATGAGGTGAAAATTCAGGGATGCAGAACAGTGAAACATAGATACGAGCCGTGGATGGCCTACTGTCAGTGATGGAGTGACATAAAGGAGCCCAAAAGTAAAGGGAAAGATATCATTTTAAACATTAGCTGGGCACAGTGGCACATGCTTGTAAGTAATCCCGGCTACTCGGGAAGCTGAGGCAGGAGGATTGCTTGAGTCCAGCAGTTCAAGGCTGCAATGAGCCATGATCATACCTCTGTGCTCCAGCCTGGGCAACAGAGTGAGACCCTGTCGAAAAAAAGAAAAGAAAGAGAGAGGCCGGACGTGGTGGCTCACACCTGTAATCCCAGCAGTTTGGGAGGCTGAGGCAGGTGGATCGCCTGAGGTCAGGAGTTTGAGACCAGCCTGACCAACATAGTGAAACCCTGTCTCTATTTAAAATACAGAAAATTAGATGGTGGCGGGCGCCTGTAATCCCAGCTACTCAGGAGGCTGAGGCAGGAGAATCGCTTGAACCCGGAAGGCAGAGGTTGCAGTGAGCCGAGATCGTGCCATTGCACTCCAGCCTGGGCAATAAGAGCAAAACTCCGTTTCAGAAAAGAAAAAAAAAGAAAAGAGAGAGAGAAAGAGAGAGAGGAAGGAAGGGAGGAAGGGAGGGAGGCAGGAAGGAAAGGAGGGAGGGAGGGGGAAGGAAAGGGAAGGGAAAGAAAGGAAGGAAGGAAAGAAGGAAAGAAAGAAAGAAAGGAAAGTAGCAATTACCAAGCATTTGCCAGGCACAAGTGCTTGATATTGTATAGGCAGGCATGGTATTCCAAATGTTCAATAAGGATTATGGCTCAGACATCAGCCAATCAGAACAGATGAAGAACTTTTGTGTTTTTCTTTCTTTCCTTCTTTCCTTCCTTCCTTTCTTCCTTTTTTTTTTTTTTTTTTTTTTCTTTTTGAGACGGAGTTTCGCTCTGTCGCCCAGGCTGGAGTGCAGTGGCGCGATCTCGACTCACTGCAAGCTCCGCCTCCCGGGTTCACGCCATTCTCCTGCCTCAGCCTCCCGTGTAGCTGGGACTATAGGCACGCGCCACCATGCCCGGCTAATTTTTGTATTTTTAGTAGAGACAGGGTTTCACCGTGTTAGCCAGGATGGTCTCGATCTCCTGACCTCGTGATCCGCCCGTCTCGGCCTCCCAAAGTGCTGGGATTACAGGCGTGAGCCACCGCGCCCGGCCCTTTCTTCCTTCCTTCCTCCCTCCCTCCCTTCCTTTCCCTTCCTCCTTCTCTTCCTTTCTTTCTTCCTTTTTTTTTTTTTTTTTGAGACACAGACTTGCTCTTTTACACAGGCGGGAGTATAGTGGTGCAATCATGGCTCACTACAGCCTCGACCTCCCAGACTCAAGTGATTCTCCCACCTCGGCCTCCGTAATGCTGGGATTACAGGCATGAGCCACTGCACTCGGCCAGATGCAGGACTTAAATAATTGATATCACTGAACCAGTGTGAGCTGCTGAATATCACACTGCCCATATTCAGTACTCAATTTAATCCCCACAGTCATATGCCACCTGACAGTCAAGAGAAGCAACTTTGAGGAAAAATATCAACCAACACAGTTTCCTTCTCCTCCAAGCATGTCTCGGGATATGTCCCCTCCACTCTAACCACTGATGGTAACTGAAGAAGCAATTGTCAGACCTCCTGCACAGTCTCAGACTGTACTAGAAAAGATGGATATTTGTGTGTAAAGTTATATATTGCTATAGATATTTTTCCCAAGAAGATATACAAGTGGCCAATAAGCACAAGAAAAGATGCTCAACTGGGCGTGATGGCTCTTGCCTACAATCCCAGCACTTTGGAGGCCGAGGCGGGCAGATCACCTGAGGTCAGGAGTTCAAGACCAGCGTGGCCAACATGGCAAAACCCTGTCTCTACTAAAAATACAAAAAAATTAGCCAGGCATGGTGGCAGGCACCTGTAATTCCAGCTACTCGGGAGGCTGAGGCAAAAGAATCGCTTTAACTCAGGAGTTGGAGGTTGCAGTGACCTGAGACTGTGCCACTGCACTCCAGCCTGGGCAACAGAGCGAGACTCCATCTCAAAAAAGAAAAAAGAAAAAGAAAGAAAGAAAAGAAAAGATGCTCAACATTATTAGTTATTAGAGAAGTGCAAATCACAACCACGAGATACTACTCCATATCCACTAGAATGGATATAATAAAAAGAGGGACCATAACAAGTGTCAATAAGGATGTGTGTAGAAATTGAAGCCCTCATCCACTGAAGGTAGGAATGTAAAACAGTGCAGCTGCTGTGGAAAACAATTTGGCAATTTCTCAAAAAGTTAAACAGAGGTACCATATACCCCAGCAATTCCACTCCTAGGTATACACCCAAGAGAAATGAAAACAAGTGTCCACATAAAACTGGTACACAAATGTTCATAGCAGCACTATTCACAATAGCCAAAAGTAGAAACAACACAAATGCTCATCAACTGATGAATGGCTGAACACAATGTGGTATATCCATACAATAGGCTATATTATGCAGCCATGAGATGTACTGAGACATGCTCCAACATGGATGAACCTTAAGGACGTTGTGCTAAGTGAAAGAACAGACACAAGGCCTGGCGCAGTGGCTCATGCCTGTAATCCCAGCACTTTGGGAGGCCAAGGCGGGCAGATCACCTGAGGTCAGGAGTTCGAGACCAGCCTGGCCAACATGGTGAAACCCCATCTCTATTTTAAAAAAGTACACAAATTAGCCAGTCATGGTGGTGTGTGCCTGTTATCCCAGCTACTCAGGAGGATGAAGCAGGAGAATCGTTTGAACCCGGGAGGCAGAGGTTGCAGTGAGCCAAGATCGTACCACTGCACTCCAGCCTGCGCGACAGAGCGAGACTCCATCTCAAAAAAAAAAAAAAAAAACCCAGAAACAAAAGGCCACATAGTATATATGATTCCGTTTTCATGGAATGTCCAGAATAGGCAAATCCATGGACACTGAAAGTAGATTCATGGCAGCCTGAGACCGAGGGTGGGAGAAACGGGAAATGACTGCGAATGGGTATAGGCTGATGAAAATGTTCTAGAATTAGATAGCGGGGATGGTTACATAACTTTGTTAATATACTAAAAACCTTTAGAAGAGTGTGAATTTTATAGTATGTGAATAACATTTCTTTAAAAACTACAGATTAGGCTGGGAACAGTGGCTCGTGCCTGTAATCCCAGTACTTTGGGAGGCCAAGGCAGGAGGACTGCTTGAGCCCAGGAGTCTGAGACCAGCCTGAGTAACATAGCAAGACGTCACCTCTACAAAAAAATTTTTTAAATTAGCCGGATGTGGTGGCACTCGCCTGTAGTTCCAACTACTCAGGAGGCTGAGGTGGAAGGCTTGCTTGAGCCCAGGAGGTCAAGGCTGCAGTGAGCTGTGATTGAGCCACTTGCACTCCAGCCCGGGTGACAAAGTGAGACCGTCTTAAAAAAAATAATAATAATAATTTTTAAAAAGCTACATATTATTAGCCAGGTGTGGTGGCACATGCCTGTAATCCTAACTACTTGGGAGGCCGAGGCAAGAGAATTGCTTGAACCCGGGAGGCGGAGAGCCAAGATTGTGCCACTGCACTCCAGCCTGGGCAACAAGAGCGAAACTCCGTCTCAAAAAAAAAAAAAAATTACATATTATTATGCCAATGAACCACATTCCTTGGTGATTTGCCTTCATTTTTTACCCCAAAGATCTCCCTGTATAAGAGAGAGTATGTGCTTCATTTTGGCACATCCTAATTATCAGTAATGCTTATATAGACTTACTCTGGGCCAGATACTACGCTAAGTGCTTTCCATGAGTGAATGAACTCTATTGTGTGAGATGAGCCACTATTTATACTTCTGGACCCGTGATCCCTGATGTCTGCCCATTTGAGTTCTGAGAGTTGGCCTCAGCACTAGGATGGTGGCAGCAGTGGTGCAGAGAGAGAGAGCACAGGTACTCGGTTCAAAAAACTCAAGAAAACTCAGAACACTGATAGAAAATAGTCTGGGACAGTATCCAAAAACAGAAGAACAAGTTGAAGCTCAAAATCAGGAATTAGGTTGCAGACTGGGATTGGTAAAGAAATTGGAGTTGGGGGTGGGTTCCCAAAAAGGGACAATGTCAACACCCCATGCTACAACACCGAATCCCAATAAAACATAGTAGCTATAATCCAGGTCTACATCAAAAGTTCTTGGGAATGTACATGAAATCATACTGGGGCCAAGATATGTGGAGTGAGGCACAGATCTGGCCATGCAGTGCAGGGATGATGCCAGTGTTGATTTCTAAGCCTGTGTTTTCCCTGAGTTCTGATGGATCAGTGCCTAGGAGAACAAAGGCAGGATCAAATGCTCCAGGTACTCAGAGTCAAAAATCCAATCTACAGGGCAAGCAATGAAGACAGCAAGACAGGACCGCAAGACGAAAACTAAAGGCCAAGCCCAGGGATGGGTGATGATTTCCAAGAAAACATGTAAGCTCACTGACTGTCCCTGGCCACTGGCTCCCTGGTGCCAGATTATAAAGCGAAGTTATGGGAAACAGCAACATGAACTCAGGGATCAGCCCAGGACAAACAGCTGAGTCTGCTTTCAACCTGCCCCCTGGAATGAAGTGAGCTATGGACTACATAACAGGATGCGATGAGACGACAGGACAGCAGAAAGCTAAAGGCAAGCCTAGTAGACTCTATCCAAAGTGTCCATCTGGGTTGGACACAGTGGCTCATGCTTGCAATCCCAGCACTTCGGAAGGCCAAGGCAGGCAGATTGCTGGAGCCCAGGAGTTCAAGATCAGCCTCGGCAACATAGTGAGACTTCGTCTCTACAAAAAAAAAAAAAAAATTGGGGCCAGGCGCAGTGGCTGACGCCTGTAATCCCAGCACTTTGGGAGGCCGAGGCGGGTGGATCACAAGGTCAGGAGTTCAAGACCAGCCTGGACAATATGGTGAAACCCCATCTCTGCTAAAAATACAAAAATTAGCCAGGCATGGTGGCAGGCATCTGTAGTCCCAGCTACTTGGGAGGCTGAGGCAGAGAAATTGCTTGAACCCAGGAGGTGGAGGTTGTAGTGAGCCAAGATCACGCCACTGCACTCTAGCCTAGCCGATAGAGCAAGACCCCGTCTCAAAAAAAAAAAAAAAAGTAATCAGCTGGGTGTGGTGATGTGTGCCTGTAGTCCCAACTATTCCTGTGGCTGAGGTGGGAGGATTGTTTGAGCCCAGGAGTCTGGGGCTGCAGTGAGCCATGATCATGCCACTGCACTCCAGCCTGGGTGACAGAAAGAGACACTATTTCAAAAAACACAACACAAAAAAAACAAAAAAGTTTGGCCGCAATGGCTTTTTAGAGACACCACATCTAAAAAAAAACAAGAAAAAGAAGGGCAGGGCATGGTGGTTGACACCTGTAATCCTAGCACTTTGGGAGGCTGAGTCTGGAGGATCATTCTGAGGTCAGGAGTTCTAGACCAGCCTGGCCAACATGGTGAAACCCTGTCTCTACTAAAAATACAAAAATTAGCTGGGTGTGGTGGCACCCATCTGTAATCCCAGCTACTCGGGAGGCTGAGGCATGAGAATTGCTTGAACCTGGGAGGCAGAGCTTGCGGTGAATCAAGATTGGGCCACTGAACTCCAGTGTGGGCGACACAGCGAGACTCTGTCTCAAAAAAAAAAAAGAAAAGAAAAGAAACAACTGGCCACAGAGTAGAGAAAGAACAGAATGGGAGAAAGACGAGAGGCTTGGGGACCAGTTAGGAGACAACTACAAGTTGAGAGTAAAGTGATAAAGGCCTAAATCAGAAGTTGACAAACTTTTTCTGTAGGGCCAGAAAGATGTTGGGTAACTCTCCCAGGGTCACCCTGATGGTATGTGGTTGACAAACTTTTTCTGTGGTAAATATTTTAGTCTTTGCATGCCATAAGGTCTCTGTATCAATTTTTTAACTATGCTATTGTAGCACAAAAGTAGCCATGGATAAGAAGTAACAGGCTGGGTGAGGTGGCTCACACCTGTAATCCCAGCACTTTGGGAGGCCAAGGCGAGTGGATCACCGGAGGTCAGGAGTTCGAGACCAGCCTGACCAACATGGAGAAACCCAGTCTCTACTAAAAATACAAAATTAGGGCTGGGCGCGGTGGCTCACACCTGTAATCCCAGCACTTTGGGAGGCTGAGGTGGGCAGATCACCTGAGGTCAGGAGTTTGAGACCAGCCTGGACAATATGGTGAAACCCTGTCTCTACTAAAAATACCAAAATAAGCTGGGCATGGTGGCATGCGCTTGTAGTTCCAGCTACTCAGGAGGCTGAGGCAGAAGAATTGCTTGAACCCAGGAGGCAGAGGTTGTGGTGAGCCGAGATCGTGCCATTGCACTCCAGCCTGGGCAACAAGAGCGAAACTCCATTGCAAAAAAAGAAAAAAAAAAAAAAAAGAAAAATTAGCTAGGCCTGGTGGTGCATGCCTATAATCCCAGCTACTCAGGAGGCTGAGGCAGAAGAATTGCTTGAACCCGGGAGGTGGAGGTTGCAGTAAGCTGAGACGGCACCCCTGCAATCCAGCCTGGATGACAGAGACTCTGTTTAAAAAAAAAAAAAAGTAACAAATAGGCATGACTGTGTTCCCTGTGTTCCAATAAAACTTTATTTACAAAAATGGTGGCGGGGGGCCAGATTTGGCCCATGGCCTGGTTTGCCTA
Organism: Homo sapiens; assembly: GCF_000001405.40. Taxonomy (NCBI): domain Eukaryota; kingdom Metazoa; phylum Chordata; class Mammalia; order Primates; family Hominidae; genus Homo; species Homo sapiens. The sequence goes on from NC_000002.12 coordinate 84,956,596, forward strand.
CCCCAGACCTAAAGTAATAATACAATAGTCAACATTTGTTGAGAACTGTGACATACCAGGCACTTTATTACTGATTCTCACTGCAACCTTGAGGGGAAGTATTATTGGCTCCCTTCTAAAGAAACTGAGGCTGAGAGATGTTGGGTAACTTTCCCAGGGTCACCCTGATGGTATGTGGCAAAGCTGGGATTCAACTCAGGTCTTACTCCAGAGTTCATGATTAGTCTATGCCACCTGCCGGAGCAGTCAAGAGGAAGGGAGAGGGGAATATATGACTATCAGGTCTCAGTTCCTGGGAGAATTCACTCACTCACTCACTCACTCACTCACTCACTCACTCACTCATTCATTCATCCATTCAACAAATGCTATTTGCAAAGTACTTGGGATTCAAAGACAAATAAGATATGATTGCTGTCCTCGAGTAGCTCAGAATCTACTTTTTTTTTTTTGAGACAGGGTCTTGCTCTGTCATCCAGGCTGTTGTGCGGTGACACAATCATGGCTCACTGCAGCCTCGACCTCCTGGGCTCAAGTGGTCCTCCCGCCTTAGCCTACCAAGTAGCTGCGACTACAGACATGCAGCACCACACCAGGTTAATTTTTTTGTATTTTTTTTTTTGTAGAGATGGGGTTTCGCCATGTTGCCCAGGCTGGTCTCGAAGTCCTGGCTCAAGTGATCCACCCGCCTTGGCTTCCCAAAGTGCTGGGATTACAGGCGTGTGTCACCATGCCTGGCCAAGTCTAGCATTTAAACCTTTAACTGAATGTAAGGGATGAAGAAAAGGGAATGTGATTTATTTTTTATTTTTATTTTTTGAGACGGAGTCTCGCTCTGTCGCCCAGGCTGGAGTGCAGTGGCGCGATCATGGCTCACTGCGAGCTCCGCCTCCTGGGTTCATGCCAATCTCCAGGCTCAGCCAGTAGCTGGGACTACAGGCACCCACCACCCCGCCCGGCTAATTTTTTTTTTTTTTTTTTTTTTGTATTTTTAGTAGAGACGGGGTTTCAGCATGTTAGCCGGGATGGTCTCGATCTCCTGACCTTGTGATCCGCCCGCCTCGGCCTCCCAAAGTGTTGGGATTACAGGCATGAGCCACCGCGCCCGGCTGGGAATGTGATTTATTAATAAGATCAATGAATTAAAACATTGAAGTTGCTCTCATCCCTGCTTCCTTCCTTCCTCTAAGCATCCAGAGAGCCCTCTGATCCTTTGGGATCACAGACATGGGATATTTTTACTCTCCAGCATGAACACATAGGTGGATTTACTGTGAAACTACTGAAGCTTACACTTCAGGGTCCCTGGCTTCCTCAAACAGGGCTTCCAAGCCCTATATCTAATTTTGCACTTCTTTCTTAAGAGTTGCCTGTACCAAATATATAAGCCTCAGGGCCCCAAACCTGGATCCAGCCTGAGTGAATGTTTTTTTAGAGCCAGGTCTGATAGAAGCCTGTTTTTAAGGAATTACCAGGAACTGAGCATGCTGTTTTTGGCCCTCAGGGGTTTCTCTCAGAACTAAGAATTTGGGGGCTGTCCTCAGTCACAGGTGCAGCCTGAAGTCTGTTCCCGCCATGTTCACTCTCCTCTATTTACCATCACCTGCCCCTGCTGCGTCTTCCTTTAAAATACAGCCCTGGGCCCTAAGCTTTGTGCTGATTCAAGCTCTTTGGAATTCAAGACATCCAGGAATCCGACGCTCCAAGAATTTTCCCAACGACCTCTCAGTGGGCCATTCAGGCAGGAAAGGATACACACATTCCTAATGGGGCCAGGGGCTGTGACTTAGCCTGTGTGTGGCTGAGAGCCTGCTGAATACAAGGTGCTGGCAGTTGGCAGGGCTTCCCAGGGTGGGGACTTCTTGCTGAGCTCATCAGCAGGCCCAGCTCTGTACCCATTTGTCCAGGGAAAAACCAACCCCTAATGGAACTGTTTGTTTTATACTCTCTCATCGAAGTCATAAATGACTCACAACTAGAATGTTATTAACGTGAGAACAGAGGCCTACCTGGCAGAATAATTGGTTTTGGTCATTTGCTCAGAGTGCCAGGCAAATCCACAAAGCATATCAAATTACAGGTTAGAAACCTGATGAATAAACAAGAATAATACTGTGAGTTCTCAAGGGTACGTCCTGTACCTGTTTTGCCCACTGTCATATCTCCGGCAAGACACAGTGAATACAGCCCCTGACACATTGGAGGTAATCTATAAAGAGTTACTAAATGATTAAAGAAAAGGGATGAGCTGTTCTTAGTGGAAACACCCATTTCTCCTAAGATGAATTCGCATTCTTTTGGACCAGTTCTTTCTAAATTAACAGCACTACCCAGTGGTATCAGAGCATCTATACCTTTGGATATTACAACAACTCTATAAATTCTAATTGCTTCTTCTTTTTTTTTTTTTTTTTTGAGACAAGAGTTTTGCTTTTTCACCCAGGCTGGAATGAAGTGGCGCGATCTTGGCTCACTGCAACCTCCACCCCACCGGGTTCAGGCGATTCTCCTGCCTCAGTCTCCTGAATAGCTGGGATTATAGGCGTCCGCCACCACGCTGGCTAATTTTTGTATTTTCAGTAGAGACGGTGAAGCCATGTTGGCTAGGCTGGTCTCGAACTCCTGACCTCAGGTGATCCACCCACCTCAGCCTCCCAAAGAGCTAGGATTACAGGCGTGAGCCACCGTGCCCAGCTGAGACGCTATAATTTCTAACCTATGGCTTCCCCTTTTCTGGATTCCATGCAGTCCACACACAAGCATTCTATGACTCATTACCTCCTGAGCATCCAGCTTCTTAACTGTTACATTCTAGGGATCTTTTCCACAGTATGTTTCTAACTCCTTGATGGTTTTTGGGGGAGACCTGGGTGACACACTTGGAACAGACCTGCTCCAGGGGCTTGTTACTTTGTGTGCATCCCGCTCCCTTCACTTTCAGGTGACCTCATTTTCTAATCTTCCTTAGAGCAACCAATCCCCCATACACTGTCTCCTTCTTCAGAGAATCTTTCTATGTGGATTTGTGCTTTTTAAATTGGCATATGAGTTTTAGGCACAGTTGGACCAGGAAATGCCTTCCTGAGGAATTCAGCAGCTTCTAGAGATAAAATGTGATAGAGCAAATTATGAGTCTGGGAATCAGGACATCTGGGTTCCAGTTTTGTACACATCATTCATTTCACAAATAAGCACCCAAAGCCCACTATGATAGCCAACTGCAGGGCTGTGCTACAAGTATGTAAACAAAGACACCTACTCCTGCCCAAGGGCAGCCCAGTGGGGGAAGTGAAAGGATTAAATTGCAATAATAGAGAATTGTAAAAGGAATTGGGAGCACTTAGTGAGGTGGTTCTACAACTTTATTGCACCATCAGGATCCCCACGGGTGTTCTTTCAAATGCCAATCTTTGAGCCCCATCCTTCAGAGATCCTGATCCGGTTGATCTAGGAATGCTCAGGGACATTGAATGTTTATTCTGAGCACCTTCCCTCCTCCCTCCACTCCCCTCCTGGTGATTCCACTGGAAGTGGCCCCAACCCACACTCTTTCCTTCAAGAAAAGGTTCACAAAGGCAGGGGTCTGGAGCTGATTTTTTTTTTTTTTTTTTTTCCCAAGAGACAAGGTGTTGCTCTGTCACCCAGGCTGGAGAGCAGTGGTGCAATCATAGCTCACTGCAGCCTCAACCTCCCGGACTCAAGTGGTCCTCCCATCTCAGCTTCCCAAGTAGGAACTACAGGCATGTGCCACCACGTCCAGCCCTTACAGCACATCCAGCTCTTACAGCTGATTTTTAAAGGAGGAAGGAGTACAAACTTATGAGGCACAGAGGCAAAAAATGGCATGATTTTACCCTACGCTCTAAGAAAATGAAGGCCATGAGGCATGAATACCACAGCTTCCTGACCTACCCAAATGGACACCTTTATCTCCACTGGCAATTTTTCTTTTTTGACAGAGTCTCACTCTGTCTCTCAGGCTGGAGTGCAGTGGCACGATCTCGGCTCACTGCAACCTCCACCTCCCGGGTTCAAGCGATTCTCCTGCCTCAGCCTCCTGAGTAGATGGGACTACAGGCGCGAGCCACCATGCCCAGCTAATTTTTGTATTTTTAGTAGAGATGGGGTTTCACCATCTTGGCCAGGCTGGTCTTGAAATCCTGACCTCCTGACCTCCTGATCTACGCGCCTCGGCCTCCCAAAGTGCTGGGATTACAGGTGCGAGCCACCGTCACTGGCCAATTTTTGTATTTTCTTAGTAGAGACAGGGTTTCACCATACTGGCCAGGCTGGTCTTGAACTCCTGACCTCGTGATACACCTACCTTGGGCTCTCAAAGTGCTAGGATTACAGGCATGAGCCACCGCACCCGGCCCATTGGCAACCTTCCTATAGCACCAGCAGAGGAAGAGGCATCCTGCTCCTGGTGGAAGCTAAATTTATCTGGGCTCCTTCTCCCCTCCATCTCCCACCCTCACCACCCCCACCTCCCTGCTCCACACACACATACACCCTTCAGTTCTCTGCTGCCTCTCCTGGATCCTTCCCCTAAACCTCTAAACACACTAGACTCTCCTATTCCTAAAACCAAAAACACTTCCCTTCACTCTGGGGCCTCCACTTACCATCTTTTAATTTCTCATTTATTTCTCTGACAAGCTTTTTTTTTTTTTTTTTTTTTTTTTTTTTTTGAGACGGAGTCTCACTCTGTTGAGTGGTGGCACAGTCTTGGCTCACTGCAACCTCCAGCTCCTGGGCTCAAGTGACCCTCCTGCCTCAGCCTCCCAAGTAGCTGGGATTACAGGAGTGTGCCATGACGCCCAGCTAATTTTTGTTATTTTTAGTAGAGACAGGGTTTCACATGTTGGCCAGGCTGGTCTTCAACTCCTGACCTCAAGTGATCCACCTGCCTCAGCCTCCCAAAGTGCTGGGATTACAGGTGTGAGCCACCATGCCCGGCCTCTGCCAAGCTTCTTTAAATACAAAAGAAAGAAAAAAGAAACAAAAGGGCTATGAAACCAGTGTATATGTTCATTACAGAAAATTTCAAAACTAAAAGGAAAAAAAGTCCTTCATACCTTATCATAAGCTCTCAAAACATCAATCAGAACTGCTTCAATTAGTTTTGTCACCAGAATGTAAACACCTCCAGGATGGGGACATAGTTTTCTTTTTCATGATTGTGTCCTCAGTGGACCCAGAAGACTCAATAAATATGTATTTATTGGGGACTACTAGATGGAAGAGAGAGGGAGTGAGTCAAGGGCTGAAAACCTACCTTCTGGGTACAATGCTTAGTGCCTGAGTGATATAATCATTCACACCCCAAACCTCAGCATCATGCTATATACCATATAACAAACCTGGGTAACATAAAAAAAAATACATCATCCATATTATACCCCCATAACCATATTGACTCTGATAGCCATCCAATCTTTACATGTTTTATTAAAAATAAAAAATGAGGACAGGTGCCATGGCTCACGCCTGTAATCCCAGCACTTCGGGAGGCTGAGGTGGGAGGATCATTTGATGCCAGGAATTTGAGACCAGCATGAGCAACATAGCAAGACCTCAACTCTAAAAAAAAAAAAAAAACTTAAAATTAGCTGGGCCTGGTGGTACATGCCTGTAGGCTCAGCTACTCAGGAGAGTGAGGGTGGGAGGATCGCTTGAACCTGGGAGGTCGAGGCTGCAGTGAGCCATGATCATGCCACTGTACTCCAGCCTGGATGACAGAGCAAGACCCAGTCTCAAAAAAACAAAAACAATAATGACATCAGGCTGTACATACATAATTTAGAAAAGAATGTTTTGTAACCTGCTTTTTTCACTAAAAACACATCATATTTCTAGTTCATTACCCATTTTTAGTTGCTGCTTTTGGTTTGGATAGACAATAATTTATAGGTTTTCAATTTTAAATATTAAAAAGAACACTGTGATAAACATTCTTGTGTCTAAAATCTTTGCATCTATCAGTAATTACTTAAATAGACTGAGTTGAGCTGGGATTACTATGGCAAAGAATGGGCAAAAATCTATTGCTCTTGAAACCTACCATAAAATCCCATTTGGAATGCTTGTAACAAGTCATATTCCTTTCTTGACATCCTCATTATCAAGTATTATTAAAAGTATTTTTCTGCCAATTTAAGAGGTGAAATGGTGTCTCCTTTTAATTTGGATTTGATTCCTAGTGGTTGAGTTTGTTTCACATTCTTATTTCAGCTCATCTTCTAGAAGTCATCTATAGCTACTGTCAGTTTCTAGGCTTCCAAGGACACCCTTCAGCCTACTGCAATGCAGCTTCTTACCCTACTCCTCCATGGACAGATGACATCCATTTCTGAAATCCAGGGGCCACACTTCAATCTATCTCATGAGGTATCTCTGCTTGGTGGACACCGATGTTCTCCCTTCCTGAAGACTCTGCTTCTCTGACTTCTGTGAGCATAGCCTCTTCTGGTCACTCGTTCTCTGGCATAGACTTCTTCTCTGTGGGCTGGCAGCGAACAGTGGGGCCTTCAGCATCATTATTGCTCAGGTCAGTACAAAGGACCACATAAGGGAGTATGATAGTGAGGAGCCAAGATCACTCCACATCTCGAGAAGAGATGATAGCAGCCTGGAATGGTTTGGTGGCCATGGGAATAAAGAGAAAGGGACTGATTTGACAGATGTTTAATGGGTAAACATCACAGGATTTGGCAATTGGCTATGGAAGATAAATGGGAGGAAGGAGTCTAGGATGACTGTTGTGTTTCATCTTGTTGGGGGGTGACTTGACTAGGCTGATGACTTTGCTCAATCCAATAGGGGATACAAAAACAGCAAAGACATGAAAGAGAAGATGATGATAGTGGTATCCCAGAAAATGAGAGGGTAACCAACAGCACCAAAAGTCAGGCAATCAGATAAACCAGTTTCTAAGCTGAGGAAGGGGAGTGACAATTCTTTCAAGAAGATTGTCCACAGAGAGAAACAATAGGGTAATAACCAGGAGTGCAGGGTTGAAGGGGCGTTTTTTGGCTGAGGGCAACGGACCAGTAGAGGCTGAGCAGCTGAAAGTACAGGTGCCAAGGGGGTGGCTGAAGGAGTAAGATCCCATTGATGGGATGAAGTGGGATCATAACAGATGACAGGTTGAACAGAAAGGCTATCTCCATGCATGAGGCAGCAGGATGCAGATGTACACACTCCCTTGGAGGCTCACAGTGGGAAGTGAAAGTTCCTGCATTTTGAACTTTCCTCCCTCTGTGAATTAGGAGGTGAGGTTATCTATTAGGCACGTGGGTGAGTAAGCAGTTGGAACCAAGTGGTGAATGTTTATAGAAGAGGGTTCTGACCAAAGACAAAGATTGCTCAATGGCACTGAGGTCCAACCGCAGTTGAATGCCCTAGATTCATAACAGCCACAATCTGTACACTTCTATCATTTTTAGTTGTTATATTCTACACCCCAAGCAGATACACACAGGGATAAACTGAGTCAGGCAATTCAGGCTTGGAAGCTTGCAAAGCTGGTAGAGTTTGAGGATGAGGGGTTTAAGGAGCTGAGGGCATGAATGAGAAGTCTGAGTTGACCACAGGGCACCAGTTGCATAAGGTAGAGAATGGGGTTAAAAAGGGAAAAACAAAAGAAAAAACCGGCTGGGCGTGGTGGCTTACACCTGTAATCCCAGCATTTTGAGAGGCCGAGGCGGATGGATCACTTGAGGTGGGGAGTTCAAGACCAGCCTGGCCAACATGGTGAAACCCTGCCTCTACTAAAAACATAAAAATTAGCCGGGCGTGGTGGCAGGCGCCTGTATTCCCAGCTACTCGGGAGGCTGAAGCAGGAGAATCACTTGAACCCAGGAGGCGGAGGTTGCAGTGAGCTGAGATCAGGCCACTGCACTCCAGCCTGGGCAACAGAGTAAGACTCTGTCTCAGAAAAACAAACAAAAACCATAACAGCAAGTGCAAACATCAAGGATTAGGCCAGGCGTGGTGGCTCATACCTATTAATTCCAGCACTTTGGGAGGCTGAGGTGGAAGAATCACTTAAAGCCAGGAGTTCAAGACTGGCCTAGGTAACAAAGCGAGACCCTTGTCTCTACAAAAAATAAGAAAATTAGCTGGGTGCAGTGGTGCACGCCTGTAGTCCCAGCTACTCAGTGTCCACTGATAAATAAAGATGATTGCTCGAGCCCAGGAGTTCAAGGTTGCAGTGAACCATGATCGCACCACTGCACTCCAGCCTGGGTGACACAGCAAGACGCTGGACATTAAAAGAAAAAAAAAAAAGGTTTAGTGGTAGAGAGTAAGAAAACTGAAAAATAGGAAGTTACAATAAGACAGATTATTAGAGTTTCGAGCATGGTCACAAGAGAGGAATGGGTGGTTGAAGTGGAAGTGCACACAGATTTGAAAAAAATCAAGGCCTTGTAAGGCCAATTGTAAGGCCATACTTGAAAACATTCAGGGTGGCAGAATTTGGGATGAAGACTGCAAAGCAGAATTGAGGCCTCAGTGACTCCTGCATAGTGACTGTGAGATTGATAGATAACAGAGAACTGGTGAAGTAACCAGATGGCATTTGGGCCTTCTGACCCTTTCCAGACTTCATGGAAGTGGCAGAAAACTGTAGCCAACATCAGGGCCTCAAATTGTGGTTCCACCAGTGACTAGCTACATGGCCTTGGGCAAGTCAATTTAACCTCTCTGTGCCTCACTTGCCTTATCAGTAACATGAAGACATAATAGTATCCTCAAGTAAAGTGCTTACAATAAGGCCAGCCACATGTACCAGAGCACTAAATGTCAGCATCATGACCATTTCTCATTTGAACAATGAGGGCTTTGTTAACAGTCTCTAAGGCACAGATTCTTAAATATTTTGGTCTCAGAATCTTTTTACATTCTTAAAAATTGTCGAAGACGCCAAAGAACCTTTTTTTTTCTTTGAGACAGAGTCTCGCTCTGTTGCCCAGACTGGAGTGCAGTGGTGCGACCTCGGCTCACTGCCTTCCAGCGAACCGCCTTCCAGGTTCAAGCAATTCTCCTGTCTCCTGAGTAGCGGGGATTACAGGTGTGTGCCACCACACCCGGCTAATTATTTTTTGCATATTTTGTAGAGATGGGGATACACCATGTTGATCAGGCTGGTCTTGAACTCCTGCACGTGATCTGCCCGCCTTGGCCTCCCAAAGTGCTGGGATTACAGGCATGAGCTACTGTGCCCAGCCCTAAGAACTTTAAAAAAAAGTATTATATCTGTCAATATTTTTCATATTAGAAAACTGAGAAAATATTTTTAAAATACATAGTCGGCTGGGCGTGGTGGCTCACGCCTGTAATCCTGGCACTCTGGGAAGCAAAGGCGGGTCAGGAGTTTGAGATCAGCCTGGCTAACACAGCAAAACCCCATCTCTCCTAAAAATGCAAAAAACTTAGCCAGGCGTGGTGGCGGGGGCCTGTAATCTCAGCTACTTGGGAGGCTGAGGCAGAATTGCTTGAAACCAGGAGGCAGAGGTTACAGTGAGCCGAGATGGCGCCATTGTACTCCAGCCTGGGTGGCAGAATGAGACTGTCTCAAACAAACAAACAAACAAACAAAAACGTAGTCACTTAAAAACAGTAATAAACCCACTATCTAGTAACAGAACACATTTTAAAGAAAAATAACTTATTTTTTCCCAAAAAATGTGGAAGTACGATATTGTTTTTCAGATCTCTTTAATGTTTGGCTTAAATGAAGACAGCTGGATTCTCTTCTTCTGCATTCAATCTGTTAGGATGTGCTGTTTGCTGAAAGCATGAAAATCCTAGCACCTCACCTCACCTCTTGGGGACCTTGGACCGCACTTTGAGAACCATTAGTTTTTCTTTCAGCTCTACATCATTCACAGCCGGGCCTGGTGGCTCATGGCTGTAATCCCAGGACTTTGGGAGGCTGAGGTGGGTGGATCACCTGAGGCCAGCAGTTTGAGACCAGCCTGGGCAACATGGTGAAACCCCGTCTCTACTAAATATACAAAAATTAGCCAGGCGTCATGGCACCCTCCTGTAGTCCCAGCTACTCAGGAGGCTGAGGCAGGAGAATCACTTGAACCCGGGAGGCAGAGGTTGCAGTGAGCCGAGATCGCACCACTGCACTCCTGCCTGTGCGACAGAGAGAGGCTCTGTCTCAAAAAATAAATAAATAAATAAATAAATAAATAATTTGTTCATTCACTCACTCATTCAACACTACTGGATCCCAGAGACAAAGAACAATGTGGTCGCTGCCTTTGAGGAGTCTAGTTGAGAAAAAAGATGAAAACGAATTAAAAATTACAGCACGACATGAGTGAGCAGAGGAGGAAGTTAGGAAATTACTGGTTTGCCTAAGGGAGGCAGGGAAGGCTTACAGGAGTACAGGGAACCCGAATTTTGACTTTACTTTCCTATGCTCCACCTAAGCAGAAGGAAGAGTATGCACAAAGGCACAGGGGCAGGAATTAATACAGTACAAGGAAGCCCAGGGTGCGCTGGCAGGAAGAGTCCGTATGCTGGAAAAGCACGTTGGGCCTTAAAGTTACATTTCATCCTACAAGCCCCAGGAGGCTGGGGTGATGAGAGCTTGCTTTTCTTTTTTTTTTGAGAGGGAGTCTCGCTCTGTCACCCAGGTCTGGACGCGATCTCGGCTCACTGCAAGCTCCGCCTCCCGGGTTCACGCCATTCTCCTGCCTCAGCCTCCCAAGTAGCTGGGACTACAGATGCCCACCACCACGCCTGGCTAATTTTTTTGTATTTTTAGTAGAGACAGGGTTTCACCATTTAGCCAGGATGCTCTCGATCTCTTGACCTCGTGATCCGCCCATCTCCGCCTCCCAAAGTGCTGGGGTTACAGGCGTGAGCCACTGCACCCGGCCAAGAGCTTGCTTTCCTTATCTTAATTCAGGTTTACTGAAGTATAATTTATATAGAAGTAAAAACCACCCTTTGGCTGGGTGCGGAGGCTCACGCCTGTAATCCCAGCACTTTGGGTGGCCGAGGCGGGTAGATCACTTGAGGTCAGGAGTTCGAGACCAGCCTGGCCAACATGGTGAAACCCCGCCTCTACTTAAAATACAAAAAATTAGCCGGGCGTGGTGGTATGCACCTGTAATCCCAGCTACTTGGGAGGCTGAGGCAGGAGAATCGCTTGAATCCGGGAGGCGGAGGTTGCAATGAGCCGAGATCACACCATTGCACTCCAGCCTGGGGGACAAGAGCGAGACTTCATCTAAAAAAAAAAAAAAAAAAAAAAACCACCCTTTTAGGTGTATAGTTCTATGAGTTTTGACAGATTCACAGAGTCATCCAGTAATGTAAATACCACAATCAAGTTAGAGAATATTCTCATCATCTCAAAAAGTGTGATCAGTCCACCCTTCCCCAGCTCCAGTTGCCAGTAACCATTGATCTAATTTCTGTCCCTATACTTTAATTTTTTACTTTGAAATAATCATTTACCCATAGGTAGTTGCAAAGAGGGCCCAGGTACACTTTCTCAAATGGGAACATCTTACAAAGCTATGGAAAAATATCAAAAGCCAGGAAACTGACATTGGTACAATACTATCAAGTAGACTACAGACCTTATTCAGATTTCACCAGTGCTTACATCCATTAGCTTATTTGAAAAAACATAATTGGGCCATAGTATGAAAGAAGGGTCAGCCTAGCAAAAACACGCATTAGTTACAGTTGTCCACAGAAGAAAGGAGAACTCAGGAGGGTGCAGAGAGAGGAAGGGACTGGAGGAAAACATTTCTGGAGTGGAACAAAAATCATTTGGTAGACAATTTGGTATAAGGATTTAAATTAATCCTTCTTGATCTTCTTTTCTTTTTTGAGACAGAGTGTCACACTGTCACTCAGACTAGGATGTGGTGGTACAATCACGGCTCACTGCAGACTCGACCTCCTGGGCTCAAGCAATCCTCCCACCTCAGCCTCCTGAGTATTTGGGACCAAAGGCGGATGCCACCACGCCCAGCTAATTTTTTTTTTTTTTTTGAGACGGAGTCTCACTCTGTCATCCAGGCTGGAATGCTCCCAGGTTCAAGCAGTTCTCTGCCTCAGCCTCCCAAGTAGCTGGGATTACAGGCGCGTGCCACCACATCAGGCTAATTTTTGTATTTTTAGTAGAGATGGGGTTTCACCATCTTGGCCAGGCTGATCTTGAACTCCTGACCTCGTGATCCACCTGCCTCGGCCTCCCAAAGTGCTGGGATTACAGGTATGAGCCACTGCTCCTGGCCGCTAATTTTTATATTTTCCGTAGAGATAGGGTTTCGCCCAGGCTGGAAATTAATCCTTTTTTTGGAAATGAAATTTCCCATATGGCAGGGCAGCAAGCAAAAGGTTGTTTTAAATTGAACAGCCTGACCGCTAAGTGAATGAAGGTCATGAAAACCCCAAATAACCATAATATTTCTGCTTACTCTTATTTAAAGAGGAAAAAAAATGGTTTAGTTACTCTCTCCTTACTCTTGCCTGACTGAAAAAAATGAAGTAACTGTCGAAAACAAAGTTATCTGTTTAGTTAGCTAACCCTCTGCAAAACCAAGCAAATGAAATCTCTATATTTACTCTTAGTCCCTCCTGCAGTTCAGTACTGTTGTAGGCTTTCCTATCTGCTCCACCATTTTATCAGACTACAGCACTGATAATGCCTTAATCTCTATACAATTTATTTATAGACATCACTTACCCATCAGGAGACAATGGGATCAGCGTTGTTCTCCCCATTTTTACAGCCCAAGAAATTGAGGCTCCTGATACCCAGGATCACATATGCCAACACCGTAAAATGCTCAGAAAGGCATCGACACAGAGCTTTACTTAATACCCTTCTTTCTACTCCACCACACCCCATTTACGGCCAGGTTGGATCTCTTTCTACAAGAGAAATGGAATAAATTTGTGCAGGAGCTCCATACAGGCAATAAAAATATCTCTGGTGACAAAGTCCTCATTTAAACTCCAGTTTGTTTATCACTAGTTACTACCAAATACAGTCCCTTGGGAGTTCTGAGTGACCCAAAACCTACTTCCTGGACTTCAAGATGAGCTTTTAGTTTCTTTGAAATCAGGAAGTGTCTTAAAACCAGATTCAATGAAATACGGTAACAATCTTTTTACTGTGTCCTGTGCTAGGTATTTTATATGCATTTTAGCACTTAACCTCCAAACCTCTTATTATTAAACCTCTGTTGTTACGTCCATTTTAAAGATAGAAAAGTCAGGGCACAGAGAGGTTTAGAGATCACACAGCCAGCAAATGGTGGACAGTATAAGAGTAACCTCAAAGCAAGCAGTACCCCAGATTCCAATTTCAGTTGACTTAGCCTGGTAACAGTTCAATTTTATGCAAAACCCACAACTTCAAATGGAAAAAGATAAATTAAAACAACCACAAAAACCAGACAAATGGAGGCTCAGCAGGCCTTGTAGCTCATCCACGGTTACACAGAGGATCTCAGAGCCAAAATTCCATGGCCGATCCGTCTTGACTTCAAAGCGCGATCTATTTCCACCAAACCACGGAACCATCGACACGTGGTAAGGGGCAGTACAAAGATTTGTTGAATTAATAATGCCTGAAAACAAATTGACAATAAGAAGGTAAAAATGGAAAACACAGATAAAATCGGAAAAGCAGACCACTTTCAGGAAACAAAAAACTCCAAATTTTCAAGGCAGGGCATTCACGGTGAGCCAAGGCGCTGGGACAAAGTTTGCGCGGGTACCGCCGGACTCCCGGGCTGCCCGGCGCGGAGTCTTTAACGGAGATGGTTCGCAAGGAATCGGCCTCGGAGCCCGGCAGCCTCCTGGCTTCCCTCCTGACCACCAGTAACCCGGCCGGGAAACACTGGCGAAGACCGGGGGCCAGTCGCCTTCCCTTTCTGGGCTGTTGGCTTAAAATACACACAAACACAAGTCCCCAGGCGGTCCGCGGCCTCTCAGTGGGGCTGGAGCTCGCTGCCCGAGGCCCGCCCGGAAGCCATGCACCTGCGGACAGGAGTCTCTCCGAGTCGCAGCTCGCCGCCGAGAAGCACCCACCTCCCGCGGCCGGCGCAGCCCAAGGCCCTGGCCCCTATAGCCCGGCCTAGGCCCGCCCCAGGCGGGGCTAGGGGCGGCGTGGCGGGCGGGCGCCCCTCGGGCCGCGCCGGTGAGCAGCGGGAGCCGGCGCCGGGCATTTCCTCTTCCTCCCTACGCGCGGCGCGGCGGCGGCGGCGGCGGCCAGGCCGAGGCTGGGCACGGGCGCCCGATCGCGGCCTGCTGGCTAGCGCGGGCAAGCGCCGCGCCCCGAGCCGCCGTCGCCGCGTCGCCCCCGTCGCGACCGCCGGCCGCGGGGCCTCCGGGCGGCTGGGCCCGGCGAGGGCAGCGAGAGGCGGGGCTGGCGTGCGGGCGGCGGAAGGAGGCGGAGGAGGAGGAAGAGGAGGAGGAGGAGGCGGCGGCCGGGAGCCGGGGGAGAGGGGCGGGGGGTGGGCCGGGGGAGGGGAGGAGCGGGATTTGCGGAGCGCCGCGCCGCTGCCGGGAGCCGGCAGGCCCGAGAGTGACCGGAGTCACGGCGGGCGCCGGCGGAGCTGCGGCGTCGGACCCGCCTCCTGGAGGAGCTCAGCCCCGACCAGGCCCGGCCCCATTCCCGCCCCGCGCCGCCTCCCCGCCGCCGCCGCCGCCGCCGCCGCGGGAGCGCTCCCCTGCCCACCCCGCCCCCGCGGCCGAGCCCGGGAGTCGAGTGGGAGTCGGCCGGCCGGCGCGGGCAGCGCCGGGACCCCGCGGGGGACACTGCAGCCGGAGCCCGGGAGGGGCCGCGCCGCCACCGTCTGAACTAGGATGTCCCGACATGAAGGTGAGAGGAGCCCCCGCCCCCACCCGCACCTCCCGGGCCTCGGCCTACCCCGCCCGGGCCGGGCGCGGCGGAGGGCGGCCGGGAAGCGGCGGAGACTTTGGCCGAGCCCGAGCCGGGCCCGAGGCGCTGGACCCGGGAGCGAGCGAGCGAGGGCGGAGAGCCGCGGCGCCGCTGCCGCCACGGCCGCGGCCCTTAGCTGGGCCTGGTGCTGGAGGCGGGGCGGCCCGGGCGGCCGGAGGGTTTGCACTGTCATGGGGCGGAGGGGGAGGGGAGGCGGCGGGGCCCGTTACCGGCGGGAGCTCGGCCTTCGGGACTGATACCGGACGCCAAGGCCCGCCCGGCCGGTTCAGGAGCCGCGGGCCCCAGCGCGGCCTAGCGCTCCCGCCGCCCCGGAAGAGCCCGGTGTGGTCGCAGAGCCGGGCCGCGGGCGGCAGCAGGAGGCAAAAGAGCCGGCCCGGGACCCGGCAGGCGCGTCCGGTCGCCGGGAGACGACGGCGAGTGTCCCCGCCTGCGGGCGACCGCGGGGCTGGCGGGAAGGCTCTGCGGCCAAGGGACGGGAAGCCCTCGCCGCCTGGAGCCCGCCCCGGCCTCGCGGCTAGGCCTCGGCGCGTCCCTGGGCTCGGGTAACCAAGTTCCCGGGGTGGATCCGACCCCGCCGCAGCAAGCAAACTCCCTGCTCAGTCACCCAGGCGGAGCAGGGCTCGCTCCCCGCGGCCCTGGTGCCCTCGCCGGCATGTGCTGCCTACCAGACCAGGTTTTGGAAAATGACGATGGTGAGGTCTGTTCATGGTCGGGGGTCGTTTTGGACCTTGTTTTGCCATTTTAAAACACGATTGGAGTACAGTTGCAAATAAGCAGACAGCTCTAAGCCCAGTCCCAGGGCACAAAGAGACAAATGTTTAGGGTCGATGTATAGGCTTTGAGCTGGTAAGAAATAAGTTAACTTTAATTTATTGCCATATGGTTTAGAAAAGGAGGAGGGGGTTGTGTTTTCTTTGTTTCACTACTACAGGTTTTTGGATAAAAAGTGTTAAGAGTCTTGGCGAAAAGTTTGTCCTGCTAAGGTTAATACAAGATTGTAGAAGTGGCTTGAAAGTTTGTGTACTCCGGATTTTAAAATCCTGTATAGGTGATGTAGGAGTGGAGAAAGTTTAGTGAGTCAGTTTAGTGTGTGCTTAGCACTATGGGAAGGATATTCTTTGGGAAATACGGACCTTAGAATTTCAAGGCTGAAAAACTCAGATTGATTAAAATTGTATTTAGAACAAGTTTCAAAATTCGCATTACTAATTGCGACGTTGAAATTGACTCAACATTCTGTGTTCAACGATTCTGTATTTTAAAAGTTACAAAACTAATATGAAATATACTATATTTTCTTCGCAAAGCATTTGTTGAGTACTTACAGTGTTCAAGTGTTGGGCATTTTGAAATAATGAGGTACCTAGCCTCATTGAAAGGGACACAGAAGTAGGAAGCTATGCCTCTTTTCCCCACTTCGTCTGCTTAATCGAAATGTATCCTTATCTCTGTAATTTTAAGAACTCGTAATTAAAGTTATAATCAGTTTTCAATTTGGGATATTAAAGTTTATCTTAAACTGTAGTCCTGTGTACATTGACCACCTTCAAGACAAAACAAAAGTGAGCAATGGCTGCAAGCTCTCTTACTCTTGAAAACTGGGAGGGTTAGTTAGAGAATCACAGCCATGGAAGAGTGTTTCAGACCCATTCTCCTTGGTCTAAGAAAGCATACAGATAGTTCCAGACGAGCATTCTAATTGAAGTGTCCTGGGAAGAAAATTCCTTCACCCCCAGTGCTCTGTTAGAGTAATTAAAATCTCATATTTGGAACATTCTTGAATGTAACATATATTCTGTAATTTAAGCCCATTTCCCCCCATTTGGTGCTGTGCAAAGGTGTGTGGTTATGAAACTTATATTACCTTTTAGTTACTTGAATATTGCTGAACCTCAGCACACTAGTAGCACACCTTTCCTAGTAACTTATGTTAATGTCAGTAAATAGAACATACCTAATGAAAAAGGAACATACCTAAATACATCTGTTGAAGACTTATAGTACAATATTCGACAAGTGATTCTCTTTCAAGGGTCTAGTTTATGGCCTAAGACAGGAATAGCAGTCTCACGAATCACATTTAACTCATTAGATACATATTTTGTGGAATATTAGTTCAGACTGTCATTATTGTCATCAGTAAGACTTTGACCTATCAGTAAATACAGTGTTTGGCACCCTTGCTATTAGTTCTTTTCTTACCTTTGCCTTTTTTGGGCCAAAGAATCCCATTTCTTTCAGCATTTCTTTCTTTCTTTCTTTTTCTTTATTTCTTTCTTTTTTTTTTTTTTTTTTTTTTAGCTGGAGTCTCACTCTGTCACCAGGTTGGAGTGCAGTGGCGTGATCTCGGCTCACTGCAACTTCCACCTCCCAGATTCAAGCAGTTCTCCTGCCTCAGCCTCCCAAGTAGCTGGGATTACAGGCGCCTGCCACCACACCCATCCAATTTTTGTATTTTTAGTAGAGATCGGGTTTCATCATGTTGGTCAGGCTGGTCTTGAACTCCTGACCTCAGGTGATCCACCCGCCTTGGCCTCCCAAAGTGCTGGGATTACAGGCGTGAGCCACCACGCCCAGCCTCCGTGTTTCTTTAGTGGTGTAATTTTTGCACTCTCAGTCATCTGTCCACCTCCAAATTCTCTGTAGTTCTCATTTCCTTTCAGTAGTGTGATCCTGAACTGGATATAATAGTCTGGTAAAAGGTTTGAACAAGCCTATCATGTTGTACTTGCTTGGTGCTTCCTTTTCAGGGCCTTATGTGTGCAGGTAATATGTTACTTTGTCTTTGTACCCACCCTAATGAATTACACTAAATCCTATGATTTTATTAATGTAACTTTGGATGACACAGTCCTGAGATGGACACCTGTCAAGCTTGAAGGCTCAACCTTGTGAAGCAGTGCCTCTGAGAAAGGCAATGCAACCAGGAGCATAGAGAGATGCTCTAGTCCCGGGTTCAGCATGCTTCTTCTGTAAAGGGCTAGGTGGCAAACATTGCAGGCTTGGCGGAGCTGTAATAGTACGAAAGCAGCTATAGACAACCTGTAATTGAAAGATCATGGCTCTGTTCCAATTAAAACTTTATTTGTGGACACTGACATTTTAATTTCATATATATATATATATATATATATATATATATATTTTTTTTTTTTTTTTTTTTTTTTTTTTTTTTGAGACACAGTCTTGCTCTGTTGCCCAGGCTAGGGTGCAGTGGCGTGATCTTGGCTCACTGCAACCTGCACCTCCCGGGTTCAAGTGATTCTCCTGCCTCAGCCTCCCGCGTAGCTGGGATTGCAGGCGCCCACCACTGCGCCCGGCTAATTTTTGTATTTCGTTTAGTAGAGATGGGGTTTCACCATGTTGGCCAGGGTGGTCTCAAACTCCTGACCTCGTGATCCGCCGGCCTCGGCCTCCCAAAGTGGTGGGATTACAGGCGTAAGCCACCGCACCTGGCCGAATTTCATATAATTTTCATGTGTCATGAAATATGATTTGTCATTTGACACCCCCACCATTCAAAAATACAAATAACCATTCTTAACTTTCGGGCTATATAAAAGCTGGTGGTGGACCGGCCGTGGTGGCTCACGCTGAGGCAGAGAATTGCTTGAACCCAGGAGGTGGAGGTTGCAGTGAGCTGAGGTCGTGCCACTGCACTCCAGCCTGGGCGACAGAGTGAGAATCCATCTCCAAAAAAAAAAGTGGTGGTTGGATTTGGCCTGAGGGCTGTAGTTTGCCTTACTTTACCTCTGCCCTAGACTGGCGCTTTAGAGAGTTGATAGAGCTTGAACTATCAAGAGTCTAGAAGGGGCCCAGTCAGCTTGGGATTCCGTCATTTTCTTTGGGTGATGGGAAATGAGTTCACAGACTGAACCAGCTCCTCCGTACTTCACTTTTCAGCAGCACCATGAGGAATGGAAATAATTGTTCCTCAGGAGTGGACAACAGGCTCCCCACCCTACAGACCCTTAGTGGAGATGGCAGTACCCTACATTTTTCCTGCTTGCCCGTTAATACTTTTCCAGTGAGAATTGTAGGGCCACTTTTAACTCACTTTGTGGTGTTCTTGTCATGTTAACATTTTATAGACTTTAGCACCCACTTTGTGTTCACCCTGCCAACACTGTCTAGTTCACAGTGAACCCAATCATTTTTTATCTTGATGTATTTTTTAAAATGTCTCACTATCATACTTTCAAATACATTTAAAATGTAAGTATGTTATTCAGAGCTTAAAATCTACTTTTAAAGCTTTCCAAATAAAAAAAAGCAACTTAACAAATTGCTCGCTGCTTATTAGCTAAAATGAAATCATGAATGTTCTTGCATAGATTAGAGCCTAATTGATTACCTGGATCTAGGTACATGTGTCGCCTTAAATCATTCAACCTTTCAGTCACTACTATGTGTAAGGCAGTCTGCTAGGTTCCAAGGAATGTGGGGCTAAGTGAATAAGATGCAGCTCCTTACTTTAAGTCTGGCAAGGAAGATGCATTTTTTACGTAGCTTCCACAGTGCATTGTGAAACATGCCATAAGGAAGGGATAAACACTGATGACAAAGTAATTGCCAACTTTTACTAATTTTGTCAAATTTCAGAGAGGTACTCTACTGTGATTCTAGCACTTTTTTCTTGAGTGCCTTCTTAACTCCTTTTTTTTTTTTTTTTTTTAAAGACAGAGTCTCGCTCTGTCGCCCAGGCTGGAATGCAGTGGCGTGATCTTGTCTCACTACATCCTCCACCTCCTGTGTTCGAGTGATTCTCCTGCCTCAGCCTCCCGAGTAGCTCGGATTATAGGCACCTGCCACTGCTACTGGCTAATTTTTCTATTTTTAGTGGAGACAGGTTTCACCATGTTGGCCAGGCTGGTCTCGAACTCCTGACCGCAAGTGATCCACCCACCTCAGCCTCCTAAAGTGCTGGGATTACCGGTATGAGCCACCACGCCCAGCACCTTCTTAACTCTTTCTGGGCTACTTTTGATTTTGGGTAAAATTGTTTGAGATTTCAAGCCGGTTGCAGTGATGTGCACATGTAGTCCCAGCTAGATGGGAGGCTGAGAGACCCTATTTCTTTAAAAAAAAAAAAACAAAAAAAAACAAATTGAGATTTCAAGTAGAGTCCTTATCTTTATCTGATTTATAATTTCTCTAGCTTTTTGAAGATTTTCACATGTAAAAATGATAGTGGATAAATGAGCAGGTGGTCATATTGTTATGCTAGTTTCAGAAGTATCTGATACTATTTATTTTTAAAATGTAAAATACAAGACTACGTAGGCCATTAATCTACTTAGTCCCAACTTTTTTTGTTTTTATTTTTTTAATTGGCAAAAATTGTATATATTTATCATGTATAACATGATGTTTTGAAATATGTATACATTGTAGAATGGCAGCTCCAACTTTTTGAAAGTTGTACCACTCTTTTCTTAGTAGATTCTAATTTTCTCTCTCTCTCTCCTTTTTTATAATTATTTTTTTTTACTCTCTGTTGCCCAGGCTAGAGTAGAGTACATTGGTGGGATCTTGGCTTACTGCAACCTCCATCTCCCAGGCTCAAGTGATCCTCCCATCTCAGCCTCCCAGAGTGTTGGGATTACAGGTGTGAGCCATTGCTCCTAGCCTTAATTTTCTCTTCTCAAAAAATGTTATCTGCCACTGAAGCACACATATAGACAGAAATAATTTGGTTTTGGGATTTGGGGACTGCAAAGCCAAGATTGGTAATTAGCATGTGATTTTAATGCAGTGCCTTTTGCCTCCCTATAGAAATGTAAGTGGACTCCCACTGATAAGATCCTTACCATCAGGTCTTCTTACAACTTATTGTACTTTAACTGTAATCTGTTAACAGATTATGACATTCTTAAGACTTTTTCAGTTCGTTTTTTGTTTTTGAGACAGGGTCTCTGTCGCCCATGCTGCGCACCAGCATAGCCCGCTGCAGCATTGACCTCGCAGGCTCAAAGAATCCTCCCACTTCAGCCTCCATAGCAGGTCGGACCACAGGTGTGCGCCCCACACCCGACTTTTTTTTTTTTTCTTTTTTGTAGAGACTGGATCTTCCAGTATTGCCTAGGCTGGTCTCAAACTCCTGGGCTCAAGTGATTCTCCCACCTCAGCTCTCGAGTACTGGGATTATAGGTGTGAGCTGCCATGCCCAGCAACTTTTTCAGTTTGAATAAATCGTAAATTACATTTACCTTGACTTTCAATAGAGAATATATAAGAATGTAAATTTATGGGAAAATGAATCACATTTTAATTTCTGGGGTCTTTGATTTCATAATTTCATTTAAAGTTCATTTTGAAGCTCATTTTCCCATATTTTTATATTCATGTTTAAGTTAAAATGTAGTAAAACATAACTACATGTTCTTGTTTCAAATTGGGAACTCAATTTGGAAGAGATTCCTTTTAGTCTGAGATTTTAAGATGTTTTAGCAGCAATCTTTTTTTTTTTTTCTTTCCTCGCTCTTGTTGCCCAGGCTGGGGTGCAATGAGGCGATCTCAACTCACCGCAACCTACGCCTCCCAGGTTCAAGTGATTCTCCTGCCTCAGCCTCTCGAGTAGCTAGGATTACAGGCATGCGCCACCTCACCCAGCTAATTTTGTATTTTTAGTAGATAGAGGGTTTCTCCATGTTAGTCAGGCTGGTCTTGAACTCCCGACCTCAGGTCATCCACCCGCCTCGGCCTCCCAAAGTGCTAGGATTACAGGCATGAGCCACCGTGCCCAGCCTTAGCAGCAGTCTTGTAAGATGGTAACTTTTTCACAGTAGCAGCTTATGAAACTTATGATGTGAAATAACTAAACAGACCCCTTCATATTAAGCTTTGCAACCTTTTTAAAAGAAATCCATGCATCATAACTTATTTTCAAAACATCAACTTTATGATATCTATCATATATATTTGCCTAGGTTTTTTGTCTTTTGGTTTTTGGGTTTTTTTTTTTTTATACTTTAAGTTTTAGGGTACATGTGCACAATGTATTTGGGTTTTTTTTTGAGACAGAGTCTCACTCTGTCATCCAGGCTGGAGTGCAGTGGCATGATCTCGGCTCACTGTGGCCTCTGTCTCCCAGGTTCAATAAATTCTCCTGCCTCAGCTTCCCAAGTAGCTGCATTACAGGCATGTACCACCATGCCTGGCTAATTTTTGTTTGTTTGCTTTTTGAGATGGAGTTTCGCTCCTGTTGCCCAGGCTGGAGTGCAATGGCGCGATCTCAGCTCACCACAACCTCCACTTCCTGGGTTCAAGCGATTCTCCTGCCTCAGCCTCCCGAGTAGCTGGGATTACAGGCATGCGCCACCATGTCTGGCTCATTTTGTGTTTTTATAGAGACAGGGTTTGTCCATGTTGGTCAGGCTGGTCTCGAACTCCTGACCTCAGGTGATCTGCCCACCTCAGCCTCCCAAAGTGCTAGGATACAGGCATGAGCCACCGTGCCTGGCTAATTTTTGTATTTTTAGTAGAGATGGGATTTCACCATATTGGCCAGGCTCGTCTCGAACTCCTGACCTCAAGTGATTCCCCCTTCTGCCTCCCAAAGTGCTGGGATTACAGGTGTGAGCCACCGCGCCTGGCCATGTTTTTTTTGTTTTTAAACTAGAAGCTCCAAAAGTTTTTAGTGAAGGCTAAGCTGTCATTGAATTATCCTAGAAATAATGTTTTTTAAATCACTTTATGAGCTGGGCGCTGTGGCTTATGCCTGTAATCCCATGGGAGACCAAGATGGGTGGATCACTTAAGGTCAGGATTTTGAGACCAGCCTGGCCAACATAGTGAAACCCCATCTGTACTAAAAATACAAAAAAATATCTGGGCGTGATGGCAGGCGCCTGTAATCCCAGCTACTCGGGAGGCTGAGGCAGGAGAATCTCTTGAACCCAGGAGGCGGAGGTTGCAGTGAGCTGAGATCACCCATTGCACTCCAGCCTGAGCAACAAGAGCGAAATTCTGTCTAAAAAAAAAAAAAAAATCACTTTATAAATATAGCTGTGGGGCTACTTTCATGCATATGGACTCAAAGGAAGCGCTCCCTAAACTGCATATTCATAAAAGTTAAAAGTAGAATGCTGTTCCTAATAAAAGTCTTTTTTTATAGAAGATTAATTTTTTAATTAATTTTAGTGTTGTGCTAAGGACCATGATGTTTTTCATTTCCTTAAAATTATAAGGTATTTTTTCAGTCTTTGAAGTTATTCATTAAAATTGAGAAAAGAACCCGTAAGCAGTATACAGATCAGAGCATCTTAAAATTTGGTAATTTTTTTTTTTTTGAGACCGAGTTTCACTATTGTTGCCCAGGCTGGAGTGCAGTGGCGCGATCTCGGCTCACCGCAACCTCTGCCTCCCGGGTTCAAGTGTTTCTCCTGCTTCAGCCTCCCAAGTAGCTGGGATTACAGGCATGCGCCACCACGCCCGGCTAATTTTGTATTTTTTTTTTTTTTGTAGTAGAGATGGTGTTTCTCCATGTTGGTCAGGCTGGTCTTGAACTCCTGACCTCAGGTGATCTGCCCACCTCAGCCTCCCAAGTGCTGGGATTACAGGCATGAGCCACTGCGCCCAGCCAGTTATTTTTATATGTTAGCCATGTCTTGATTTATGTTAAAGATCTGGGATAAGGCAGACAGTTTCCTAAAGGAACATATTACCTAGATTACATGAGAAGGAAGTGAGGAGCCAGGAAAAGATAGGCTGTTCTTGGGTTGGTAAGGACCAGTGGCCAGGTGGGTGTTGGCAGAGGAAAGACAGGCAAGGTGGGTGTGAAGCTTGGAAATGGATCTGTAGCTACAGGATGTTGGAAACAGAAAACCAGCTCTCACGCCTGATGGAATGTCTTGAGAGCTGGGTACCAGGAAGTGAAAACACTGCCCAATGAAATGAACAAGAGATGAATGAATTGCCTTGTTAGGCACCTTCCACCATTCCCTCTCTGCTACATCCCTGATGGCCCTCTTGGTGTTTGTTAACCATGGTAACTGCCTGTAGAATTGTTTTTAGTTGTTGGCTCTCTGAGTTGTAGCAAAGTAGAATTATGAGTTCATCCAATTCATATACACAGTCAATTAGCCTCATATCTTTTTTTTTTTTTGTCTTGAGGCCGGGTCTCACTCTGTCACCCAGACTGGAGTCCAGTGACATAAACAAGGCTTACTGCAGCCTCAACCTTTGGGCTTACGTGATCCTCCTGCCGCAGCCTCCCAAGTAGCTGGGAGTACAGGCATGTGCTACCACGCCTGAATAATTTTTGAAATTTTTGTAGAGATAGGGTCTCATTGTGTCATCCAGGCTGGTCTTGAACTCTTGGGCTCAAGCAATCCTCTTGCCTCGGCCTCACAATGTGCTGGGATTATAGGTGTGAAGCACCACACCCAGCCTAGCCTCATCTCTTCTATGGCCACAGTGCCAGCCAGCAGTCCATCAAACTTTGCCAGTGGCCACGGGGGTACTGGCAAAGAAGTATAGATGGATCCCTGTAACTTAATCACTGCTACTAGAAAAAAAAAAACTGAGATCAGAAGAGTGGGTCAGTTGTATTACCCTCAGCTAGAAGAAATAGCAGAAGAATAAGTGGATGAAGCATCTTGATATCATGACTAATTAGGTTTGCACATTATCTTCTGTTGAATTTTTTTTTTTTTTTTGAGACAGAGTCTCACTCTGTTGCCCAGGCTGGAGCGCAGTGGTGCAATCTCGGCTCACTGCAAGCTCCGCCTCCCGGGTTCATGCCATTCTCCTGCCTCAGCCTCCCAAGTAGCTGGGACTACAGGCACCTGCCACCGCTCCCGGCTAATTTTTTGTATTTTTAGTAGAGACAGGGTTTCACCGTGTTAGCCAGGATGGTCTCGATCTCCTGACCTCGTGATCCACCCACCTCGGCCTCCCAAAGTGCTGGGATTACAGGCGTGAGCCACCGCGCCTGGCCTTTTCTGTTGAATTTTAATGTTTTTTTAATCTCTTTTGCTGGTACTCAGTGCCAGTGTCATGATATCAACTTTTTCTACAGTAAGAGGATTTTCATTAGGAGAGTCACTTTTTAGAGTACTAGGTTGATGAGTTGACTTGGAACAGTCACAGGTATATTTGATTATAATTTATTATTTGGTTATGACTTTTATTGTTCCTTTGAGACTCTGTCATCCTCCCTACTCAGCAAAGTAAAGGGTCTCTCCAGCAGCACTCCTGTCTTATTCTCCAGGCTTTTTGTTTGTTTGTTTGTTTGTTTGTTTTTTTGAGATGGAGTCTGGTTCTGTCGGCCAGGCTGGAGTTCAGTACCGCAGTATCAGCTCAGCTGCAGCCTCCGCCTCCTGGGTTCAAATGATTCTCCTGCCTCAGCCTCCTGAGTAGCTGAGATTACAGGCGCCCACTACCATGCCCAGCTAATTTTTGTATTTTTTTTAGTAGAGACAGAGTTTCACCATGTTATCCAGGCTGGTCTCGAACCTCTGACCTCAGTTGGTCCGCCTGCCTCTGCCTCCCAATGTGCTGGGATTACAGGCGTGAGCCACTGTGCCTGGCAATTCTTCATAGATTTGTGATTATCTTTTGATACTTAGAAAAGAGCTAAAGGGATTAAACATTTATTTTTGTGTTCAGTGTAGTTTTTGTGTTACGGGTTTTTGTGAATGGTTAGATAACTAACAACTATTGGGGTGAATAGCTGTACCCTACTGTTCTTGTTCCACCAGTATTCTCCTTTGGTGTCCTCTGTGGTTGTAGAGGTTTGGCAGTGTAAGCAGAGAAGTTTTCTAAATTAGGAGTTAAGGATGTTGAAGTAGAGCAGGCAGGGATTATATAAAGGAGTTACAGATGTGTTCCTTATTTTCTTTTTTTTTTTTTTTTTTTTTTTTTTTTTTTTTGAGCCAGTCTTACTTGTCGCCCAGGCTGGAGTGCAGTGGCGCAATCTCGGCTCACTGCAACCTCCACCTCCTGGGTTCAAGTGATTCTCCTGCCTCAGCCTCCCGAGTAGCTGGGATTACAGGCATGCACCACCATGCCCTAATTTTTGTATTTTTAGTAGAGACGGGGTTTCGCCATGTTGGCCAGGCTGGTCCTGGACTCCTGACCTCAGGTGATCTACCTGCCTTCGCCACCCAAAGTGCTAGGATTACAGGCTGAGCCACCATGCCCGGCCCTTCTTTTCTATGATATTGAAATACATGCTGGGAGTTGAGGATGGTTGGATGGTGAATGGGAACCCAGGTAGTTTTCATGTTCAAAGATCTTGATGTTCAGTCTGACACTGTTAGGGATTTGTATGTAGTTAATTGCGGTTCTAAGTCAATGTAAATTATACAGTGTGTTTGTATGGCTATACATATGAATATACATAGTGGTCACAGAGGTGGGACTGATTTTCTCTTCTCTAGGAAAACTGGTGATAAGAACGTCAAGTGACAGTAGATGAGAAATACAAGTGTTCCTATATTAGATCAGTATCAAGGGTCTTCATTCTGAGTCAGACATGCTGTATATTTTCATGTTTCTTCGTTATTCTAGATCATATTTTCTACAAGCTTTTTAAAAGCCACCATTGGAAGAGAAATAACAAATCTACTTGCAGAATTGGCATAGACCATTGCTATCCAATAGAAATCTAATGTAAGCCACATACATAAT
Organism: Homo sapiens; assembly: GCF_000001405.40. NCBI lineage: Eukaryota > Metazoa > Chordata > Mammalia > Primates > Hominidae > Homo > Homo sapiens. The sequence goes on from NC_000002.12 coordinate 84,983,183, forward strand.
CTTAAATTCCCTGGTAGCCACATTTTTAAAAAAGGAGGTGAAATTAATAATGAAATAACAACCCACTATATCCAAAATACCATTTCAACATGTAACTGACATAGAATTGTTTATGATATATTTACATTTTTTTCTTACAAAGTCTTAAATTTTTTTTTTTAAGAGACAGAGTCTCACTCTGTTGCCCAGGCTGGAGTGTGGGGGTGTGATCGTACCTCACTGCAGCCTTGACCTCCCATCCTCAAGAGATTCTCATACCTCAATCTCCTGAGTGGATAGGACTACAGACATGTGCCACCATACCTGGCTAACTTTTGTTTTGTTTTTTTTGCTTGTTTGTTTGAGATAGAATTTCGTTCTTGTAGCCCAGGCTGGAGTAAAATGGCGTGATCTCAGCTCACTGCAACCTCCACCTCCTGGGTTCAAGCAATTCTCCTGCCTCAGCCTCCCAAAGTAGCTGGGATTACAGGCACCTGCCACCACACCCAGCTAATTTTTTTGTATTTTTAGTTGAAATGGGGTTTCACTGTGTTGGCCAGGCTGGTCTTGAACTCCTAACCTCAGGTGATCCACCCACCTTGGCCTCCCAAAGTGTTGGGATTACAGGCGTGAGCCACTGCGTCCGGCTGACTTTTGTATTTTTTATAGAGATGGAGTCACCCTATGTTGCCCAGGCAGGTCCTGAGCTCCTGACCTCAAGCAATCCTACCTTGGTCTCCTACAGTGCTGGGATTACAGGAGTGAGTCCCTATTCCCAGCCAAAGTCTTAAATCTTAAATTTTACATTCATCATATTTTAATTCAAATGCTAAATTTTCATTTAAAAAATGCCTCAGTTGAAAAACATATTCACATTTATGCGTTGAGGGTCTGCTAGGCTTTTGCTGACCACCCTGTCTAAAGTAGCTCATACTCTGGCTGGCCATGGTGGCTCATGCTTGTAATCCCAGCACTTTGGGAGGCTGAGGAAGGAGGATTGTTTGAGACAAAGCTGGGCAACATGGTAAGACCCCATCTTCACAAAATAAGTAAATAAATAATAGAAGTTTCTTTGAAAAAATAAGTAAATAAAGTAGCCCACACTCTATATATATTTTTTGTAGGGATGGGGTCTTGCTGTGTTGCCAAGGCTGGTCTCAAACTCCTGAGCTCAAGCAATTTTCCCGCCTCAGCCTCCCAAAGTGCTACGATTACAGATGTGAGCCATCACACTTGGCTGTGGATTTCTGCTTCAGTTTCTGTCCTAAGAACTTAGATTTTTCATTTCTTTTTCACCTTAAAATTATTTTTTAACATATACTGGTTTCATGACCTTTTATTTATTTTTTTCTTTTATATTTAAAGAAGCTTAGCAGAGGCTGGGTACGGTGGCTCACACCTGTAATCCCAGCACTTTGGGAGGCTGAGGTGGGTGGCTCATCTGAGGTGAGGAGTTCGAGACCAGCCTGACCAACATGAAGAAACCCCGTCACTACTAAAAATACAAAATAACCTGGGTGTGGTGGCGCATGCCCATAATCCTAGCTACTCGGGAGGCTGAGGCAGGAGAATTGCTTGAACCCGGGAGGCAGAGGTTGCGGTGAGCCAAGATTGCGCCATTGCACTCCAGTCCAGCCTGGGCAGCAAGTAAAACTCTGTCTCAAAAAGAAAGAAAGAAAGAAAGAAACTTCTATTATTTATTTATTTTGTGAAGTTGGGGCCTCACTATGTTGCCCAGGATGGCCTCGAACTCTTGGGCTCAATCCCCTTGCCTCAGCCTCCCAAAGTGTTGGGATTACAAGCTTGAGCCACCATGGCCGGCCAGAGTATGGGCTACTTTAGATAGGGTGGTCAGGAAAAGCCTATCTGAAGATGGACATTTAAGGAAAAGCCATAGTTAAATGAGAGAGATTTAAAGGAAAAAAAAATACGACTGAGGATACAGCAAGTGTAGAGGTCCTGAAATTGGAATGTTCTTGGAACAGCACAGAGGCCATGTGGCTGGAGGGCAATGATTGGGGTGGAAAGGGGTAGGAAGTGAAGTTGGCGTAGTTCGAGCCAGATCTTGGACACCCTCGCATTGTAGGCTGTGTTGAGGACTGTTGAACTGTGAATGCTTTGAGAAACACATTTCGGAAGCCCTGCTTCTATAGAAAGGTCTTTTTGACTAACTAAATGGCAGGGGGTGGAAAGTACATACTCAGTTTGTGTCCCAAACATCTCTAAGAACATTTCTTTACAAACTTTCCCTACATTTACCGTTCTTTTAAGCTTTGTCTTTCTTGACCCCTGTTACTCTATTACTCTATTTAACTGATGTTTCCTGAAGGGTGTGGGGTTTGGTGGAAGGTGAATCTTCCTAGTTTGAATGTAAAACCCTTGGGCCTGGCCTGGCGCGGTGGCTCACGCCTCTAATCTTAGCACTTTGGGAAGCCCAGGCAGGCGGCTCACGAGGTCAGGAGTTTGAGACCAGCCTGGCCAACATGGTGAAACCCCGTCTCTACTAAAAATACAAAAATTAGCTGGGTGTGGCAGTAAGTGCCTGTAATCCCAGCTACTGGGGAGACTGAGGCAGGAGAATAGCTTGAAACCAGAAGGCGGAGGTTGCAGTGAGCCGAGATTGTGTCACTGCACTCCAGCCTGGGTGACAGAGCCAGACTCCATCTCAAAAAAAAAAAACCCTTGGGCCTAGAAACTAGGTCATCTACATACATTAGCAGCTCTCAAACTTTTAAAAAAATATAACACAGAAATATATTTTATATTCTGATGCAGTAGTCACATACATATGTAATGAAGCAAGAGTAATGCAAAATAGTACTTATCACTACTTTGAAACATATACTTTGTTTTCTATTCTGCTTCATTAAAAACCAAAATACTAGTTGTGACCTTCTAGATTGATTTCACATTCTATTCATGGATTGTCACCTCCTATTGAAAAACACTGGCCTTGGATGTCTAACCTAAAACTTTGGGTCCTTATGTGCAAGGTATTATGATAAGTACTATGAGGCATTTAGAAAACTCTTAGAATTTTTCCTCCTAAAGTATGTGGTATGACTGAAGCAATAAGGTCTAAGTATTTAAAATAAAATAACCCTTGTATGACTGGGGCAATTAAAAGTGTCAGCTCATTTACTACAAGTTCTGTAGTGTTGGCAAGTGGAATGAGGTGTTATTTGGGTGTCAGAGAAGAGATTTCCTTAGGGTGGCATTTAAACTCAAGACTTGAAGAAGTATCGTATTTTTATAGGATGAGTTGGGGGAAGGGGATCCGCCAAGTGAGAGAATGTAGGAGGTAAAGTGCAGAACTAAGAAAACATGCAGTGTGTTGGAGAGAGGTAGGTGGGACAACAGTGAGGAGACCAGAGTTTCTGGAACAGAAGACTCCCGTATGTTAGCAGGGGGAGTGAGGTATATTAGAAAGGCTGGGCCGGGTGCGGTGGCTCACGCCTGTAATCCTAGCACTTTGGGAGGCCAAGGTGGGTGGATCACGAGGTCAGGAGTTCGAGACCAGCCTGGCCAAGATGGTGAAACCGTGTCTGTACTTAAGAAAAAAAAAAAAAAATTAGCCAGGCGTGGTGGTGGGCACCTGTAATCCCAGTTACTCGGGAGGCTGAGGCAGGAGACTCGCTTGAACCCGAGAGGTGGAGGTTGCAGTGAGCCGAGATCACGCCACTGTACTCCAGCCTGGGCGACACAGTGAGACTCCGTCTCAAAAAAAAGAAAGAAAGGTTGATGGACTTACTTAAGGTTCCAAGGGTGAAGTGGGACAGGGACTTATTTGTTTAGACTTGGGTTCAATGCTAGTAGTCTGTTTTCTCATCTGTAAAAGGAGGACACTAATGCCTGTTTAGCTACTCTCTAAGGCCTTTGTCAAGATGAAATGGCGGTGCATGTTAGGTTTTCTAAATTAGATAAAGCACTGCATAAATGTAAGGTGATGGTATTTTTTATCACGGTAGATAAGATAAGAAATGAAGGTGGGAGCAAGGTAGATAAGTGAAGGATTTTGATTGTCATGTGAAGGTCAGTCTTGTTCTTTTCCCATACAGATTGTGGGACAGAGGAAGGAGTAGTGCATTAAAAGTTTTAAGCAGAGAAAGGGAACAATGAAAATTGGTATCACTGAAGCAGATTGTTATGGTAGTATGTGAGAGATTGGTGCCTGTGCCTGTAGCAGGGAGACCTGTAGACCTTTTTGCTGGAATGAGCTTGAGCTTGAAATAAAAAGGATCTGAATTAGTCAATCGTCACAGGAACAGAAAGAAAAAAGATGCCTTAAGATAAAGGCTTATTGTTGAGAGAGCAAGGAATAAAGTATAAATTGCAGGACAGCCAGCCAGAGTGCTGGAAGAATTGCAGGTTCTTGTAGTAAATTGGGCATCTAGGAGGGGAGAGACAGGAAAAAGAATCATTTTCAGCTTTTGATGTTTTGAATTTAAGGTGATGGTAGGCCACTAGGTAGAAATCAGAAGTGGGAAATACTACTCTGGGGTTCAGGAGAGAGAAATTGGGGCTAGATTTAAGAATTTCATAGCCTTCTTTACTGAAGCCTGGGGATAGGCTAGATTTCTAAGGATGAAAGCATAGAGAAGGGAGAAGTATGTTCATATTTAGAAGCAAGAGCAGAGGAGTCAGGGTCAGCCCAATCAGAGAGCTAAGAGGAGGACCCTGCTTGTGTATTGACTTGGAAGACATCTTTTATAGTATAATAGCACTTGTCATGTGAGTGTTGACTTACTTGTCTGTCTGCTTTAAAAATGTAGGCTTCTGCCGGGCACAGTGGCTCACACCTGTAATCCCAGCACTTTGGGAGGCCGAGGCAGGCAGATCACCTGAGGTCGGGAGTTCAAGACCAGCCTGACCAACATGGAGAAATGCCGTCTCTACTAAAAAAAAATAAATAAATACAAAATTAGGCGGGTGTGATGGCGCATGCCTGTAATCCCAGCTACTCGGGAGGCTGAGGCAGGAGAATCACTTGAACCCAGGAGGCAGAGGTTGCGGTGAGCCAAGATCGCGCCATTGCACTCCAGCCTGGGCAACAAGAGTGAAACTCCATTTCAAAAAAAAAAAAAGTAGGCTTCTTGGGAATGGGGGTGGGAAGTAGAGTAGATGAAGAGGCAGCAAGGGGAGAAACTAATATTAACCAAGCATCTGCTATATTAATATTTATTGAATACTTACTATGTGCCAGGCACTGTTGTAAGCATTTCACATGTACCAACTCATTTAATTCTCTAAACAGTCCTATGAGATATGTATCATTATCTCAGTTTTATAGATGAGGAAATTAATGCACTGAGAAGTTAAGTACCTTCCCTAAGATGGCACAGTGTTTGATAGAGCTGGAATTCAAACCTGGGTTTGGGTTCTTAACATTAAGCTCTGTACCAAGAACTTTTAGACTGGTTCCTACAGCAGAGACCTCAGTTTAAAGGCTTAAAATTTCAGATCCACCCAGCAAGGCATATGTTATTCCCTTTTACAAATTAGGAAGTTGAGTTTCAGAGAGGTTAGGTTATTTGTCGTAGGTCCCATAGGTAGTAAGAGAGAAAGCCAGGATTTTTAATCAAACTCTATCACAGACCAAAGCCCATGTTCATTCATGTTTAGTTGAGAAGCCATCTGACTTTTTCTTTGGAGAACCACATAGCAAATGTGGCTTTGTAGGCCACATGGTCTTGATTGCAGTTACTCTACTCTGCTGTTGTAGTATGAAAGCAGCCATGAGACTTTGTATAAACAGATGAACATGACTATGATCTGGTAAATCTTTATGGGCACTGAAATTTGAATTTCATATAATTTTCAGGCACCACCAGATATTCTAAGTTCCCCCCACCCTATCATTTAAAAATGTAAAAACCATTCTTAGCAGGTTGTACAAAACCAGATAGGGGACCAGATTTCTCCACGGGCCATAGTTTGCTGACCTCTGCTTTAATCGATTCTTCTAATAAATATGTATTGAAAACTTACTCTGTGGAGATGTGCTGGGCACTGGTGACAAAAAAAGGGAGTTTCAGTCCTATGAGACAGGTGATTATAATACAGTGTAGTAAGAACTGTAATAAATTTATATTTACCAGATATAGTGGAAAAAACAGATACAGAGGCTCCATACTTTGATGGTGAATTTATAAAGGCATCTCAAAAAATAATGATAGTTGATGGATTGCCAGGCTTGTGGTGTAGGGGGAAGGCATAGATAGCATTGCTGAGGCAGAAAGGGAGGGATAAATGCCAGGAGATGAGCTTTGTCAAGAGGGTAGGGTGATGAGGAGTGAGTTTTTAGGTAATTTTAAGCCAGGGAGTAACATCTGATTTTTGTGCTCTGAAAGATAGCACTTTGGAGGATGGATCTGCAGGGAGGAAGGTATAGGAGGGAGACAGTTTCATTACCACAAGAAAAGATAATTGCTGTAGTTGTAGAGGTGAGTAAGAGTCATATCTGGTGATCGATTAAGCATGAGGATTGTGGAAGAATGAAAAGTCTAAGAAAACTTGGGTTTCTGGCTTGATTAATTGGGCGTTGCCATTCATCATGATGCATATAGAGGACAGAGAAGCATGCTTTCAGGGGTGGGTGCAGGAAGCAGGGAAAAGAGAAGGGACTTTGGTTTTGGCATGTTAGGTTTGAGGTGCCTGAGGGACATCCAGGTAGAGATGTCCAGGGGGATTTGAACATGTGAACATGAGGACTAGGCTAAGAGGTGTCCATTGTTGTAGAGTGATTGCTCAGTGATGTTGAAAATACATGGATTGAGAAGATAAGGAAACTGAATTGAGCATTGGAGGAGCAGGAAACTAACTGAACAGCCTGGAGAATGGGAGGACCAGGTGAGAGTATTGGTGTTGAAACTTAAGAAGATGATTTTCCTGAAGAAGAATATGGTCAATAGCACTACAGAAAGGTCAAGAAGATAAGGAATGCCGTGTTCATTGGCTTGAGCCATTGGAATAGGGAAGGTTGTGGAACTTAATGAGCAGTTTCAAAGGAGTGGGCTGGACCCAGATTGCAATGTGTTAAATTCTGACTGAATATGAGAAATTGAGGACACTACCCAAAGGTTTGGCTGTGAAGGGAAGGAGAGATGACAACAGCTGGAGGTATCTCTAGCACCTAGTGCATATTTTGGCACATAATAGAGACTGGGAAAACTCATTCATTCTACAAATACTGTGCCAGACACTATTACTGAAGCTAGGGATAGAGTAATGAAAGATAAGAGGAACTTCTTCTCACTCTGAAGCTTATATTTTAGTGGAGACTGGGGGTTGGGGGGTGGAGTAGAAATGAAACATAATTTTGGAAGGTGATAAATATTCTGAAGAAAATAAAGTAGAGTGAGAGAATAAGGATTGCAGTGACTCACTCCTGTAATCTCAATACTTTGGGAGGCTGAGTTGGGAGGATTGCTCAAGCCCAGGAGTTTGAGACCAGCCTGGGCAACACAGGGAGACCCTATCTCTGTTTTAATTAAAAAAAAAAAAATTGCATAACCTTGGAAGTCAGATGATTGGTGTGTGTGTTGCTGTTTTAGAAAGGATGATCAGGGAAGGCCTTTTGAGGAGGTGACATTGGAGCAGAGACTTCATTAAGTATAAAAGTCCTGAGTTGGAACACGGTAGGACAACAGGGTGGTTGAAGCTGCTAGGCAAAGAAGAGGAGTAGAGAAGATGAGGTAGGGATAAGCTGGGCCCAGGTTATATGGGACATTTTAGGCCTTGGTGAGGAATTTGATTTTGATTCTTGCTCAAAACCCAGTGGATGGTTTTGAGCAAGTTACTGACTTAACCACTTGTGTTCGAGATCATTCTAGCTGCAGGGTGGAGTGAGGCGAGAGTAGAAGGCAAGACTCCTAATTGGGAGGCTGCTTTAGTCAGAAGATGAAGGTGCCTTGAGCTAGGATGGAGGCATGACAGTGATGAGTAGTGGTGGCCTGGCCCAGATGTATCTTGAAGGTAGAGACAATGAGGACTTGCTGGTGTAATGTAGGGGAAAGGAGGAATCAAGGATGACAGCTCAGTCATCTCTGTGAAAGCAAGTGGTAGAGAAGAGGGCCATTTACTGACATGGGGAAGGCAGGAGGAAGGGAGAAGCATTTTGGAGATGGAGGTCAAGAGTTCTGTTTCAGGCGTAAATTAGGGATGTCTATTAGATGTTCAAGTGGAGATGTTGTATAGGCCATTGGGATGACCCAACTGTAGTTAATTTGGTTGAATGAATATGAATAAATACATGCTCAGCAGCAATATCATTAGAAATCTTGAAGTCAGGAGTTGATGTGATTATGTTGCCTTTCTCTCTAGTTTAAACTTTCTATCAGGTAGACATCATTTTGGTGGCCTGTGAACTTTGTCTTTTTTCCCACAGTTGCAGGAGAGTGGTAGAAAGCCCGATGTGTCTTCTGTGCCAGTGCTACAGTGAGACAGGTCCAGGCCTGGAGATCACACTGTGGGAAATAGGCCAGTTTGGCATCTGGATAATGAATTAGTTTATTTTAGTCCATTTCTCTCCAATATAATCAAGAGGAAGATAGAATAATAGACCTTTTGGTCCAGAAGGAAATCAGCCGCAACAGCCTCCTCCCCAGCCCCCTTTCATAATACCTCCAACTGTGGTCTAGAAGAAAGATTGAACCATACTACTTGAGATCATATTACAAGTTAATGACAAAGTCAGGACTAGAATCTAGATCCCATGACTCATATTTCAACCCATTTTCTACTATGTATGCTGCTGGTATGAGAGACCCAAAACTGCAGGCTCAGAGAGAATTTATTAGTTCATCAGTACCCTGAGGCCACACTTCTGCAATGGATGAAATTTTCCTGTTTACTCTTAAGTTTTTCCTGAGATAATGAGTAGTGAAGTTAGGAATGGAACTTTGGAGCCAGACTGTCTGAGTTCAAACCCCAGCCTGGTCACTTACTGTGACCTTGGGTAAGTTGTTTATCTCTCTGCATCATTTTATGAAATAGGCTTAATGTTTAGTAACCTCAGAGAATGGTTGTTATTAGATGGTTTTATATATAAAATGTTTGGAGTAGTGCCTGGCATATGGTAAGCAATCATCATTTTAGCTCTTTTTCTTTTTTTGAGATGGAATCTCACTCTGTCGCCCAGGCTGGAGTACAGTGGCGCGATCTCGGCTCACTGCAACATCTGCCTGCCGGGTTCAAGTGATTCTCCTGCCTCAGCCTCCCAAGTAGCTGGGACTACAGACGCACGCCACCACACCCAGCTAATTTTTGTATTTTTAGTAGAGATGGGGTTTCGCCATGTTGGCCAGGCTGGTCTCAAACTCCTGACCTCAGGTGAGCCACCGCGCCTGGCCCGTTTTGGCTCTTAGTAACCATCTTCATTTTCTTCTTGGATACAGAAAAATAGCTGTCTACCATCCTTATAAATACTTTGCATACAGTTTTAACGATTTTATTTATATGTGGTTTTTTTTTGTTTTTTGTTTTTTTCTTGAGACGGAGTCTAGCTCTGTCGCCCAGGCTGGAGTGCAGTGGTGCCATCTTGGCTCACTGCAAGCTCCGCCTCCTGGGTTCATGCCATTCTGCCTCAGCCTCCTGAGTAGCTGGGACTACAGGCGCCCACCACCATGCCTGGCTGATTTTTTGTAGAGACGGGGTTTCACCGTGTTAGCCAGGATGGTCTCGATCTCCTGACCTTGTGATCCGCCCGCCTCGGCCTCCCAAAGTGCTGAGATTACAGCATCACCATAGACAGTATCTTTCAGCTGGGCTCAGTGTATAATCCCAGCACTTTGGGAGGTCGAGGCAGGCAGGTCCCTTGAGCCCAGGTATTCGAGACTAGCCTGAACAACTGACGAAACCCCTTCTCTGCAAAAATATTAAGCCGGGCATGGTGGCACATGCCTGTAGTCCCAGCTACTTGGGAGGCTGAGATGAAAGGATCACCTGAGCCCAGGAGGTGGAGGCTGTGGTGAGCCATGATTGTGCCACTGCACTCCAGCCCAGGCAATAGAGTGAGACCCTGTGTCAGAAAAAAAAAAAAGAAAAGAAACAGGAAAAAAACAAAACAAAACAAAAAAACCAAAGACAGTATCTTTGCTTCATTAGGGAGTATCAGACAAGACTGTCACTGTCCTCATGACATAATAGATGTGTTGGATGGTAATATAAGAGGAGCTCATCACGACTGAGTAGCTCACAGAGTGTTGATCCACAGATAGTGTCAACCTGCAATACAGAGAAGATCACCGAGGTGATAATCACTTTTTTCTGTTGGGAGATAATTTGTTTTGTATGGACCGAGATTAACACATAGTTGATGTACTCCCTTAATCTATTACCCAGCTTCACATCAACATTTTATCATTTTTTGGTCAATTCTCTACCCCCATTATTTATTTATTTATTTATTTATTTATTTATTTATTTATTTTTGAGATGCAATTTTACTCTTGTGCCCCAGGCTGGAGTGCAATGGTGCAGTCTCGGCTCACTGCACCCTCCACCTCCTGGGTTCAAGCGATTCTGCTGCCTCAGCCTCCCGAGTAGCTGGGATTACAGGCATGCGCCACCGTGCCTGGCTATTTTTTGTATTTTTAGTAGAGACAGGGTTTCATCATGTTGGCCAGGCTGGTCTCAAACTCCTGACCTCAAGTGACCCGCCCACCTTGGCCTCCCAAAGTGCTGGGATTACAGGTGTGAGCTACTGCGCTTGACCTACCCCCCATTTTTGAGTTTGAACATTTTTTGTTTTGTTTTGTTTTGTTTTGTTTTGTTTTGTTTTGTTTTGTTTTGTTTTGTTTTGTTTGAGACAGAGTCTTGCTCTGTCACCCAGGCTGGAGTGCAGTGGCGTGACCTCGGCTCACTGCAAGCTCCGCCTCCTGGGTTCACGCCATTCTCCTGTCTCAGCCTTCCAAGTAGCTGGGACTACTGGCACTCGCCACCATGCCCGGCTAATTTTTTTGTATCTTTGGTAGAGGCGAGGTTTCACCATGTTAGCCAGGATGGTCTCGATCTCCTGACCCTGTGATCCGCCCATCTCGGCCTCCCAAAGTGCTGGGATTACAGGCGTGAGCCACCGCGCCCGGCCAAGTATGAACATTTTAAAGCAAATTTCAGACCTGCATATCCTTTTACTCACAAATATTTCTGTATTTATCTGTAACTACTGGATAGTGATGCACTACACACACTTGTGTGTGTATATGGAATTGCAATGTTACTATCACACCTCACTAAACTAACAATACTTCTTTTTTTTTTGAGACGGAGGTTCGCTTTTGTTGCCCAGGCTGGAGTGCAATGGCGTGATCTCAGCTCACTGCAACCTCCACCTCCCGGGTTCAAGCGATTCTCCTGCCTCAGCCTCCTGAATAGCTGGGTTTACAGGCATGCGCCGCCACACCCAGCTAATTTTGCATTTTTAGTAGAAACGGGGTTTCTCCATGTTGGTCAGGATGGTTTCAAACTCCCAACCTCAGCTGATCCACCCACCTCGGCCTCCCAAAGTGCTGGGATTACAGGCATGAGCCACCACGCCCAGCCAACAACACTTCTTTAATATTTAATACTCAGTTCATGTTCAGTTTTCTCATTTGTCAAGTATGTCTTTTTAGTTTGTTAAAATCAGGATCCAGATAAGATCCACATGTTACATTTGGTTGATAGGTCCTTTAAAATGTCTATTTATAGTAGCCCTCTTCTTGAAAATACTGTTTATTTGTTGAAAAAACTGGATCATTCCTTTGATAGTATTTCCCATATTTGGGATTGCATTTTAATGATATTTTAATACATTCTTTTCATCGCCTGTATTTCTTTTAAGTGGTGCTCAGTTCTAGAGCCTTTTTCGAAATTTAAATTTTATTAATTTTTTTTTTTTGAGATGGAGTCTTGCTCTGTTGCCCATGCTGGAGTGCAGTGGTGCGATCTTGGCTCACTACAACCTCCGCCTCCTGGGTTCAAGCAATTCTCCTGCCTCAGCCTTCTGAGTAGCTGGGATTACAGGCGCCCACCACCAACCCCAGCTAATTTTCATATTTTTAGTGGAGACGGGGTTTCACCATGTTGGTCAGGCTTGTCTGGAACTCCTGACCTCGTGATCCACCCACCTTGGCCTCCCAAAGTGCTGGGATTACAGGTGTGAGCCAACCGTGCCTGGCCAATTTTATTATTTTGTTTTTCTTGCTATGATAGATATGTTCAGAGTTTCAGGGTATCAGTTCTAGAGTCTTGATTCAGGTTTTTGTCTTTGGTAAGAATATTTCGTAGGTGCCGAATATGTTTTTATAAGAATATGAGTGTTATACTTCTTATTACATCATACTGACAGGCTTAGAATGTCTGGTTGTCTCAGTGGGTTCAGATGTCAGGCTGTTCCTTTATTGTCTGTCACTGATGTGAGCTACTTGGATCTATCTATCCTTTGTTAGTGATTGCAAGAGGTTGACTTTCCAACTTTATCATTTTTATTTCTGTGTTTATTCATTAGAATTCTTTTATAAAGAATTCTTGGCTGAGCACGATGGCTCATGCCTGTAATCCCAACACTGGGAGGCCAAGTTGGAAAGATCACTTGAGGCCAGGAGTTCAAAACAAGCGTGGGCAATACATTGAAACCCTGTGTCTTTAAAAAATCCATTTTTAAAAAGAACTCTTATTCACATACTTTAAGTAAAATGCTCAAATGTAAAGGAAAAATGAAAACAATATGTGATAATATGCCTTTCAAGATACAGATGCTTAGGAAGTTATTTAAAGAAGTAATGAAGAAGTCAGATACTCTATAAATGTGATGGCTTCAAATGCAAGTCCATAACAGACATGTTGTATTGAAGTTCAGATACCACAAGCAGTATTGCCGTCAATGTTGTTTCTTTTTGAACAGCTCATAGTTTCAAGTTCCAAGCAATTGTATTACTGGTGATTTCAGTGTGTATGTTAAAATCATGCAAAAGTACTTAGTACCTATATAAAAATTGATTTAGCTTCTACACTCAAGTAATTATAAACAGGTTTTTCTTTTGGGACATTTGACAGTTATGTGAAAGGTGAGTCTTCGTTGTGTAGTATTGTCTGTTACACTGCAGGTGTCTAGAATTGCTGATAGTGTTCTCCCTCTAAAGTAATGTCACCCAACCACTTGTAAATTGACGATAATAAGACAGGAAATCAAGAACCAATATAAATAAGCAAACATTTGAAAATAAGAGCTAAAAATCAAAAATAATCTCTCTTTTTGCTGATAATACTTTATACCTAAATAACCTAAGATTTTTTTTTTTTTTTTTTTTTTGAGACAGAGTCTTGGCTCTGTCACCCAGGCTGGAGTGCAGTGGTGCAATCCCGGCTCACTGGAACCTCCGCCTCCTGGGTTCAAGCGATTCTCCTGCCTCAGCCTCCTGAGAAGCTGGGATTACAGATGTGCACCACCATGCTCGGCCAATTTTTGTATTTTTAGTAGAGACAGGGTTTCACCATGTTGGCCAGACTCGTCTCAAACTCCTGACCTCAGGTGATCCACCTGCCTCGGCCTCCTAAACTGCTGAGATTACAGAGGAGTGAGCCACCATGCCTGGCCTAACCTAAAAGTCTCTTTAAAAATTATTAGAATTAATGAGATAATTTAATAAGTAGCTGGGTATGTATAGTGATTCTTTGCTTAATGAGAGGGATACGTGCTGAGAAATGCATCGTTAGGTGATTTTGTCATTGTGTGAACATCATAGAGTGTACTTACAGAAACCTAGACGGTATAGCCTACTACACATCTGGGCTATGTATGTTGGCCAGGCTAAGCTATTGCTCCTAGGCTACAAACCTGTACAGTATGTTACTGTACTGAATACTGTAGGTAATTATAACAGAATAATAACTGTATGTAAACATAGAAAAGATACAATAAAAATGTATGATCTTATGAGACTGCCGTGGCTATGCAGTCTATTGTTGATTTAAGTGTTGTGCATGACTATACCTAGCGTGACAACTACTCAGTCATAGAACAGGTTTGCAACTTAGTTTCACTGAAAATTTTTTTGTGGTGCTCACTTTTTTTTCCCTCATAAAATTGCTTGTTTCTTCCTGATTGTTGTAGGTCTTGAGGATATTAAACCTTTTTAATTATAGGATTTTTTTTCCATTTTCATTTGGCTTATACGTAGTGTCTTGGTTCCCCAAAAGATACTCATTTTTATTATAGACATATCCTCTGCCTTTCCTTTTTGCTTTCTGGATTTCATCATATCTAAAAAGGCGGTTACCATGCCCATGATTCTTTTGTTTGCTTTTAAGACCGAAAAGGTGAAAAAGCAATTGAGGACTTGAAGAAGGCATATATTTCTTACCCCTCACTCCCCATGGTCTCCTCTTAAGAGGAAGGCATCATATTAGGAAATGGATCACAGAGTAGGACACAGATCTCAGGAAGGGAGGAGACCTTTCTGAAGGAGGCAAGGAGCATGAGGTACCTTGTAAAATTGTTGAGTGGTGTCTGTTCAGTTATTGTGCCTCATCTATAAGGGTTGAAAGGCCTTGGGGTTGAGGGAGCACTTAGCAGTGCCTTGCATACTAATTTGATGTTGACTTACAGCAAAAAATACATTTTCTTTTTTTTTTTTTTTTTTTTTTTTGAGATGGAATCTCACTTTGTCACCCAGGCTGGAGAGCAGCGGTGCAATCCTGGCTCACTGCAACGTCCGCCTCCTGGATTCAAGTGTTCTCATGCCTCGGCCTCCCGAGTAGCTGGGATTACAGGTGTGCATCACCACACCCAGCTATTGTTTTTTGTATTTTTAGTAGAGACAGGGTTTCTCCATGTTGGCCAGGCTGGTCTTGAACTCCTGACCTCAAGTGATCTGCCCACCTCGGACTCCCATAGTGCTGGGATTACAGGCATAAGCCCCCGTGCCCAGCCAAAAAGTACATTTTACTTATTTATTTATTTATTTTTGAGACGGAGTTTCTCTCTTGTTGCCCAAGCTGGAGTGCAGTGGTGTGATTTTGGCTCACTGCAACCTCTGCCTCCCAGGTTCAAGCACTTCTCCTGCCTCAGCCTCCCGAGTAGCTGGGATTACAGGTGCACGCCACCATGCCCGGCTGATTTTTTTTGTATTTTTAGTAGAAACAGGGTTTCACCATGTTAGCCAGGCTGGTCTCAAACTCCTGACCTCAGGTGATCCACCCGCTTTGGCCTCCCAAACTGCTGGGATTATAGGCATGAGCCACCATGGCCAGCCTATAATACATATTTATAGCACCCAGAAAACACATACATAATGGAAACAAACACTTTATAAAATAATACCTGATTTGCAGTATAGTCTGATAATTTCTAATTCTTTTCTGTTTTTAAGAAGTTCTGGTTAAGATCCACTAAATTAATAATTCTCAACCCTGTCAGAGCCAACGCCTTATTTATTTATTTATTTATTTATTTACTTACTTACTTACTTACTTATTTGAGACAGAGTCTTGCTCTGTCACCCAGGCTGGAGTGCAGTGATACGTGATCCCGGTTCACTGCAACCTCTGCCTCTTGGGTTCAAGCTGTTTTCCTGCCTCAGCCTCCCAAGTAGCTGGGATTACAGGCGTGTACCACCCCGCCCAATTAATTTTTTTTTTTTTTGTATTTTTAGTAGAGACAGGGTTTCACCATGTTGGTCAGGCTGGTCTTGAACTCCTGACCTCAAGTGATCCACCCAACTCGGACTCCCAAAGTGCTGGGATTACAGCTATGACCCACTGTGCTGGGCCTCTTACCTATCTATCTATCTATCTATCTATCTATCTATCTATCTATCTATCTATCTGTCTGTCTGTCTATCTACCTACCTATCTGTCCACCCACCCACCCACCCACCCATCCATCCATCCACCCACCCATCCATCCATCCATCCATCCATCCAAGACGTAGTCTTGCTCTGTCACCCAGGCTGGAGTAATCCCAAAGTGCTGGGATTACAGGCATGAGCCACTGCGCCTGGCCTCTTATTTATTTATTTATATATCTGAGACAGAGTCTTGCTCTGTCGCCCAGGCTGGAGTGCAGTGGCGTGATCTCTGCTCACTGCCACCTCAGCCTCCCGGGTTGAAGCAATTCTTCTGCCTCAGCCTCCCAAGTAGCTGGGATTACAGGTGCCCGCCAACACACCCGGCTAATTTTTGTATTTTTTAAGTAGAGACACGGTTTCACCATGTTGGCCAGGCTGGTCTTGAACTCCTGAATTCGTGATCTGCCTGCCTCGGCCTCTCAAAGTGTTGGGATTACAGGCGTGAGCCACCACACCCGGCCTCATTTATTTTTTATAACAAATAATTTAATGCCTATTGATTATCCTGAAGTAAGGTTAATAGGTGAGTCTTTAACTACATTAGAATCTGACGTTACAGTGAAATAACTGAGTACCTATACCTACTTACAATAAATAAGTTGGACTTAAAAGAAATAAGATCAGAAGAACTTTCATTTTCCTATACTATTTATAGATATGGGTAGATACCAGAATGAAAACTGTTAGAATGAGTAAAAGCAGAATTATTTGCATATAAGAGAAAGGGGGAAATAATTTTGTTTGATGTAGGGATAACATAAGACAAATTACATACTTTCCACATGGAAAAATAAAAATAGTATCACATAGTCACTAGTGAGTTTGACCTAATTATAGTGTCAAAATAATTCCCAGTTAGAGGCCCTGACAGGAGACAAGGAAGTGAGGAAATCTCACAGAAAACCTGGTGGCATTTACATTCAGCCCCTAGTACTTAAATGTCCCCTGGAGAAAATACTCCTTAATAGGCAATGAGTAATAAAGGATAGATTAGAAAAAGAAACAGGAATAGATGTGTGGTAGACTTCAGGGGACATTAAAAAAAAAAGAAAAATAATAGCAACCTCAAAATAAATAAGTTCAATATTTAATTTTTACAACATAGATTTCTACCTATTGTGTCATAAAAAATTAAATATAACTAAGACGATATTGATTTTTTTTGAGATGGAGTCACCCAGGCTGGAGTGCAGTGGCACAGTCTCGGCTCACTGCAAGCTCCGCTTCCCAGGTTCACGCCATTCTCCTGCCTCAGCCTCCCGAGTAGCTGGGACTACAGGTGCCCGCTACCATGCCCAGCTAATTTCGTGTTTTTAGTAGAGACGGGGTTTCACCGTGTTAGCCAGGATGGTCTCGATCTCCTGACCTCGTGATCCGCCCATCTCAACCTCCCAAAGTGCTGGGATTACAGCCGTAAGCCACTGCGCCCAGCTATGAAATATATTTTTTAATCTCAATAAAATCTAGCAAGAACCCTGTGTTTCATAAGCCCCTTGTAATTTGATAATGTTTGGAAATAAATCTCTTCAGTCTCTATTTCATATTTGGAAGTTATAGCTCCGAAAGCAGTCTGATCAGGTACAGTGTACTGGAAAGTCAGCTACAAACAGCTTTGTCATCCAGTTTTCTGGAATGTTAAACAGTCTTTGGTAAATCCTAAATGAAGCAAAACAATATTTGTGTAATAGTGACATACTAGAAAGTAAGTGTTTACTAAAACTGTGAATAATATTCTGTGTTAAGGTTAAAAAATTGAATTAGGTATTATGCTTAGATAATTTTACTTTTTTTTTTTTTTTTTTTTTAAGAGTCAGGGTCTTGCTTTGTTGCCCAGGCTGGAGTGTAGTGGCACGATCATAGCTCACTGCAGCTTTGCACTCCTGGGCTCAAGCAATCCTCCCACCTCAGCATCCTGAGTAGGTAGGGCTACAGATAAGTGCCGCCATGCCCAGCTAAAGTTTTGGGTTTGTTTTGTTTTGTTTTGTGGGTTTTCTTTTTTTTTCTTTTTTGTCTTTTTTTTGTAGGGATGGGGTCTCACTATTGCCCAGGCTGGTCTTAAACTCCTGGTCTCAAGTGATCTTCCTGCTCCACTTCCCAAAGTGCTGGAATTACAGGTGTGAGCCACTACTCCCAGCCTTATATAATTTTATTTTAATTAATTAATTAATTAATTTTTTCATTTTTTTGAGACAGGGTCTCTGTCTGTCACCCAGGCTGGAGTGCAGTGGCGTGATCTTGGCTCACTGAAACCTCTGCCTCCCAGGTTCAAGTGATTCTTCCACCTCAGCCTCCTGAGTAGCTGTGACTACAGGCGTATACCACCATGCCCAGCTAATTTTTGTATTTTTTGGTAGAGACAGGGTCTCACCATGTTGGCCAGGCTGGTCTCGAACTCCTGACCTCAAGTGAGCTGCCTGCCCTAGCCTCCCAAAGTGCTGGGATTACAGGTGTGAGTCACTGCACCTGGCCCCCAGCCTTACATAATTTTAAAGTTTTGGGTTTTTAGTTTCCTTCTTGAATGTCTGGTAGGAGGTTTAGAAAATCCTGTTGGGATGCTGAACAATTCTTTATTGCATTTTCTGTGCATTGCAAAATGCCTAGCATCTTTGGCACTTTTCCTCAATAAATGCCAGTAGAGCCCCTAATCATTGTGATGACCAAAAAATAGCCCCCATACAGTTCCAGAATGTCCTGTGTGGGTGATACCTCCCAGTTGAGAGTGATAGTGACTAAATTTATTTTACTGAGTTACAACCTGTAGTTTGAAAAACACACGATCACATGTTGCCTAGCAACATAGATACATTCTGAGATCCATTGTTAAACAATTTCATAATCGTGTGAATATCATAGTGTACTAACACAAACCCCTACTGTACACCTAGGCTATATGGATAGCTTGTTGTTTATCTAAGCTAGAAACCTGCATAATATGTTGCTGTACTCAATACTGTAGGCAGTTATAACACAATGCTATTTGTGGTTCTAAACATACCTAAACATAAAAAAGGTATCAGTAAAAATAAACTTGTGGGACCACCATCATATATGCAGTCCTTCATTGACCTAACCATGG
This sequence comes from Homo sapiens, assembly GCF_000001405.40. Lineage (NCBI taxonomy): Eukaryota > Metazoa > Chordata > Mammalia > Primates > Hominidae > Homo > Homo sapiens. The sequence continues at coordinate 85,002,066 of NC_000002.12, forward strand.
TAGGCTTTGGCATCCTCCTCAAAACAGGTAGAAGAATTGATTATATTAATAACATTATTGCAAATACAAAATTGTTACTTTCCTAGTAGTGATGGATCTACTTCAGTTAGCTTTGTTCTTTACATTCTGGTTTTCAGTCTCCAGTATAAATATTAATGGCCCTACTAAATTCATTTAACCTCCAGTTTAGATGGTACCAGTGTCCTATGAAATATGCAGAAACCCTTTCAAAAGCATTTCAGTTTGTCTTTTAATCTTTGACCATAACGCATGCATTGACAGAGCATTCACTGTACCATCAGAGAATCATCCTTTGAACCACCTGCCTCCTTGTTAGCTTACTTTTTAAAAATAAACTTTTATTTTGGGATAATTTTTGATTTACAGAAAAGTTGCAAAGGTAGTATAGAGACTTCCCATATATTCCTTACCTGGTTTTTCCTAATGTTAATAGTTTGCATTACATTGGTACATTTGGCAAAACTAAGAAACCAACACTAGTACATTATTACTAATAAAGCTCCTGACTTTATTGAGGTCTTAACTGTGTTTTTTTTTTTTCACTAATATCCCTTTTCTGTGTGGGATCCAGGATACCAGGTTGCATTTAGTGTCTCCTGGTTTTGACCTTAGTAGCTACAGAGAACTGAGTGTACTGCCTCTTTGTGATAGCTCTGTATGGAGCTGTGGCATCCCCTCAGTGTTGCCTGTTCCCAGCTCTTTTGCTGAACAGCCCATTTTGTCCTTTAGTAATTTCTCTTGGTGTAGTTTCTAGATACTTTGCCATTCTGTCTATATACTATATATACTAACTATATAACTATATATACTACTGTACTTGTTTCCCATTTTAAAACAAGACACACAGAACTGAATGTAGTTCTTCACATATGGTCTGGCAGAGTAAAATGTTGTAGATATATCACAGTTATGAATCTTGTATGGTTATTAATGCAATCTAAGCTTGCTTGTTTATTTGCTGGCATTTTTAGCAACTGCATCTCATCTTGGGCTAATATTGACGCTAAGGTTTTGCTTAGTTAATTAATCCAGGATTTCTTATCACATGAATTGTTTTATCCAAAGGCAAAACTTTGTACGAAGTCCTTTTAAAATTCATCTTGTTGGCCGGGCGCGGTGGCTCACGCCTGTAATCCCAGCACTTTGGGAGGCCAAGGCGGGCAGATAACGAGGTCAGGAGATTGAGACCATTCTGGCTAACACGGTGAAACCCCGTCTCTACTAAAAAAAAGAAAAAAAAAATTAGCCAGGCGTGGTGGCGGGCACCTGTAGTCCTAGCTACTCGGGAGGCTGAGGCAGGAGAATGGTGCAAACCCTGGAGGCATAGCTTGCAGTGAGCCAAGATCGTGCCAGTGCACTCCAGCCTGGGCGACAGAGTGAGACTCCGTCTCAAAAAAAAAAATAAGTCTTGTTTTACATACCCGTTTGCCTCGCTTCAATCTCTGTTCTGTCATCTAGTATTTTAACTGTTTGTTTTATGCACAAGCTTATAAATGTTTGCTGTCATTTTATTTTTTTTATTTTTAATTTTTTGTTTGTTTGTTTTAAATAGAAACCGGGTCTCCCGATGTTACCCAGGTGGATCTCAAACTCCTGGGCTCTAGGAATCCTCCTGCCTAGGATTACAGGCGTGAGCTACCACACCTGGCCTACTGTCATTTTCTAAGTCACTAATAAAAACATATATAAAATAGGGTCAAGTACAGGACCTTACAGGCCCAAGATAACTGGGCAAATGAAAGAAGATGTAGCAAGCATGTAATTGTGTGAGGAAGCTAAAAAGGGTTAGCATAGGGTAAAGGCCCTGGTTCTGCCTTACAGTAGTCACCCTTTATCTGAGGGGGGACATTTTTCCAAGACCACCCAGTGGATGCCTGAACCTGTGGATAGTACTGAACCCTATGTATCCTGTTATTCATCTGATAACCAGCTGCTAAGTGACTAGTGGGCAGGTATACAGCACAGATACGCCAAGCAAAGGGATGATTCACCTCCGAGTGGGACAGTGCATGATGTCATCACACTATTCAAAACAGTAGGTAGTTTAAAACTTATGAATTGTTTGTCTCTGGAATTTTCCATTTAATATTTTCAGACCACTGTTGACCACGGATAACTGAAACCTCAGAAAGCAAAACTTTGGGGCGGGGCGTGGTGGCTCACACCTGTAATCCCAGCACTTTGGGAGGCCAAGGCGGGCAGATCACGATGTCAGGAGATTGAGACTATCCTGGCTAACATGGTGAAAACCTGCCTCTACTAAAAGTACAAAAAATTAGGCAGGCATGGTGGCGGGCACCTTGTAGTCCCAGCTACTCTGGAGGCTGAGGCAGGAGAATGGCGTGAACCCAGGAGGTGGAGTTTGCAGTGAGCCGAGATCGCGCCACTGCACTCCAGCCTGGGCGACAGAGCAAGACTCCATCTCAAAAAAAAATAATAATAAAAAAAAAGAGAAAGCAAAACTTTGGGTTGGGAGGACTGCAGTATATTCTGACCTGTGGGTGGTGCCTAAGCTAGAACTCTTGCAGAGTGTGAGAACAACTGAATTTTTTGGAGGGGGGCAGGTGGGCACAGGGTCTGTCTTAACTGAGAATGAAGCCAGTTGTGATTCGTAGGATTGTTTGCTTACCCTTTATATTACCGGTCATGCCTCAGTCTTCTATCTTGAGATTTTCATGAGTCTTGCTTGAACTAGGCCTTTTTATGAATGACACTGAAAATTTTGGAGGACTGTAGGCCTATTTATTTATTTATTTATTTATTTTTGAGATGGAGTTTCACTCTTGTCGCCCAGGCTGGAGTGCAGTGGCACAATTTCAGCTCACTGCAACCTCCGCCTCCCGGATTCAAGTGATTCTCCTGCCTCAGCCTCTCAAGTAGCTGGGATTCAGCTCACTCCAGCCTCCGCCTCCCAGGTTCAAGTGATTCTTCTGCCTCAGCCTCCCAAGTAGCTGGGATTACGGGCACCTGCCACCGTGCCCAGCTAATTTCTGTATTTTTAGTAGAGACAGGGTTTCACCACGTTGGCCAGGCTGGTCTTGAACTCCTGACCTCACAAGATCCACCCGCCTCAGCCTCCCAAAGTGCTGGCATTACAGGCATGAGCCGCCGTGCCTGGCCTAAATTTTTATTTTTAATTGACACATCATAATTATACGTATTTCTAGGGTACGTACATGGTGATATTTTGCTTTTTTATTTATTTATTTATTTTTTTTTTGAGACAGAGTCTCACACTGTCTCCCAGGCTGGAGTGCAGTGGCACGATCTCAGCTCACTGCAAGCTCCGCCTATTGGGGTCATGCCATTCTCCTCCCTCAGCCTCCTGAGTAGCTGGGACTACAGGCGCCCACCACCACACCCAACTAATTTTTTGTATTTTTAGTAGAGACAGGGTTTCACCGTGTTAGCCAGGATGGTCTCGAACTCCTGACCTCAGATGATCCACCTGCCTCGGCCTCCCAAAGTGCTGGGATTACAGGCATGAGCCACTGTGCCTGGCCTAACTTTTTTTATTTTTAATTGACACGTGATAATTATACATATTTCTAGGGTACATGGTGATACTTTGCTTTTTTATTTTTTTATTTTTATTTTTTAATAAACTAGAGATGAGGTCTCACTATGTTTCCCAGGATGTTCTCAAACCCTGGCCTTAAATGGTCTTCCCATCTTGGCCTCACAAAATGCTGGGATTATAGGCATAAGCCACCACACCCAGCCCATAGTGATATTTCAGTAAATACATATAGTGTGTAATGACCAGATCTGGGTAATTAGCTTATCTATCACCTCAAACATTTATCACTCATTTGTGTTAAGAGCATTCAAAATCCTCTCTTCCAGCTATTTGAAAATATACAATAAATTATTGTTAACTAAGCATACTTCTTTTATTTACCAAGCATGTATTTGAATGACATACTTCCTCTTCAGTAATGCCTGGTCACATATCAGTTCCTATTTTTCTATTTTTTTTCCCCTCCTACTGGTCTTTTTCTTAATGTTTAGGAGCCCATTGTTATATTTGTTACCGATATTTCTCCCTACTTGTTGTCATTTGAGTTTGTTTATGGAACCTTTTGCCAATATTAAAGTGTTATACTTATTTATGATCAAATTTACAGTGTGCTCCACCCTCCCCTATTTATAGTTTCACTTTCCTTATATTGCTTAGAAAGGCCTTACCCACTAAATATTCTCATTTTCTTTTTTTTTTTTTTTTTTTTTTTGAGATGGAGTCTCGCACTCTCACCCAGGCTGGAGTGCAGTGGCGCCATCTCGGCTCACTGCAAGCTCTGCCTCTCAGGTTCACGCCATTCTCCTGCCTCAGCCTCCCGAGTAGCTGGGACTACAGGCGCCCGCCACCATGCCCGGCTAATTTTTTGTATTTTTAGTAGAGACAGGGTTTCACCGTATTAGGCAGGATGATCTCGATCTTCTGACCTTGTGATCCACCACCTTGGTCTCCCAAAGTGCTGGGATTACAGGCGTGAGCCACCGCGCCCGGCCCTCATTTTCTTTTAAGAAGTTTATGTCTTTTTAAAAAAAATCTAAATAATATTTGCCATTTTAAAGACATATGGCCAGCCAGTTCTTTTCTTTGAGAATGGAATTTTTATGTATGTGTGTGAAATGTGTCATAACATTTAGAAGAGTGTACAAAAGTATGTATCTAGTAAAAAGAGAATAAAACCAACGTCCACACATCCACTACTCATATTAAGAAATAGAACATCTCGGCCAGGCGCGGTGCTCATGCCTGTAATCCCAGCACTTACGGAGGCCAAGGCAGGTGGATCATCTGAGGTCGGGAGTTTGAGACCAGGCTGACCAACATGGAGAAACCCCATCTCCACTAAAAATACAAAATTAGCCAGGCACATGCCTGTAATCCCAGCCACTCAGGAAGGCTGAGGCAGGAGAATCGCTTGGACCCGGGAGCCAGAGGTTGCAGTGAGTCGAGATCGCACCACTGCACTCCAGCCTGGGCAACAAGAGCAAAACTCAGTCTCAAAAAAAAAAAAAAAAAAAAAGAAATAGAACATCTCATCCACATGTCCATATCCACTAACTGGATCTTTGTTTTGATAATCCTCTTCCCTTTCTCTGCAGGTTTACTCCCAGTATATCCATTTCTATCTGAGCCACATATTGTTTAGTTATGAAACATGGAATAGCAAGCCCAGGTCTCACCATGTGAGGAAAGAGCAGTTTGCACTATTAGGTGGAAGCCCTTAGAAGAGAAGCTGAACAGAGTCTGCCTTCGGCTTCCCCGAGTTTCCAAGAGTCTGGAGAAATCATTGGGCAAGGTCACAAATGCACCTTGGAAACTCAGGACCCAACATATATGGAGCGTTTAGCAGGGTTATTGTATGGACCAGCTTGGATTTCCAGCACAGGGGTAGTCAGAGGACTGCCCTTCACTTGGCCCACCTCCAGCTCCCAGGAACAGGTCAGAGGGGGACACTCTCATGGGGTGAAATGAGATCAGCTGAACCTTTTTCCTTAAGGCGAGATCAGGAACTTCGACATCACTTGGGCAGGACCAGCCAAGTCCAGATAAGATACGGGGACTGGGCCCCAGGTACCACTGTGTCCTCAGGTTACAAAGAAAATGTATGATATTGTGTGATTTTATGTATGTATGTGTAATTAATTCTTGTTATAGGTGCTAATTGTGTTTTTCTTGTTGTTGTTTTTGAGACAGAGTCTCGTCACCCAGTCTGGAGTGCAATGGCGTGATCTCACTGCAACCGCCACCTCCTGGGTTCAAGTGATTCTCCTGCCTCAGCCTCCCAAGTAGCTGGGATTACAGGCACTGCCACCACGCCTGGCTAATTTTTTTGTATTTTTAGTAGAGATGGGGTTTCACCATGTTGACCAGGCTGGCTTTGAACTCCTGACCTCAAGTGATCCACCCATCTTGACCTCCCAAAGTGCTGGGATTACAGGCGTGAGCCACCGTGCCCAGCCGCTAGTTGTGTTCTATAAAGTTTACATGAACACCAAGTTAGCAATTACTGAACCTCTGTTCCTAGAGGAATCTCAGGGTGAGGTTCCTCTGAGCCTCTGGTTATAACATTTTTTCGATGGATCAATACGTAACCTTGTTTTATGTGTATTTCTGCTAAAATACATCACATATTATATTATATATGATATATATTATATATCATATATAATATATAATATGATATATAATATATATAATATATAATATGATATATATATCATATATAATATATAATATGATATATAATATATAATATATATTATATATCATATGATATATTATATATGATATATATTATATATCATATTATATATTATGTGATATATATGATATATACATCATATATCTGAGATATATGTTACATGATATATATCTCATATATCTTATATATATTTAGCAGCATTTCAGCACTACACTTGGGAGCCATTTAAATAGCGAAACTACCAAGAAACAGCACAAAAAGGTGAAAACATGGGACTAAATAGACCATGAAAACGACACTTGTTTACAAAATGAGAGCTGAAAGAAGGAGGCAGAGCATTGCTTTGTTGGACCTGAGCTGGAAACATGCGTATCAAGCCACTCAACTTTCATGCTGCTCTGTGCCTGTTTTCAGTCGCTCACTGGAAAGACTGAAAGCACTGCAAGTATTGACATGTACTCTTTTTTTTTTTTTTTTGGAGACAGGGTCTTGCTTTGTCTACCAGGCTGGAGTGCAGTGGCTCAATCTCACCTCACTGCAACCTCTGCCTCCCGGGCTCAGGCAGTCCTCCCCCGCTCAGTCTCTCAAATAGCTGGCAGTTTTTTTGTAGATAGGAGGTCTTACTATATCGCCCTGGTTGGTCTCAAACTCTTGGGCTCTAGCAGTCTTCCCACCTTGGCCTCCCAAAGTACTGAGATTATAAGTGTGAGCCACCATGCCCAGCCTTGATGCGTACTTTTGTATGTATATGTTATGGTTTGGCTCTGTATCCCCACCCAAATCCCATCTCAAATTGTAATCCTCATATGTCAGTGGGAGGTGATTGAATCATGGGGGCAGACTTCCCCCTTGCTGTTCTTGAGATAGTAAGTTCTCATGAGATCTGGTTGTTTGAAAGTGTGTGGCACTTCCCCTTTCGTGCTGTCTCTCTCCTGCTCCACCATTGTGAAGTAGGTGTCTGCTTCCCCTTCACCTTCTGCCATGATTGTAAGTTTCCTGAGGCCTCCCAGTCATGCATCCTGTTAAACCTGCAGAACTGTGAGTCAGTCAAACCTCTCTTCTTCATAAATTACCCAGTCTCAGGTAGTTCTTTATACTAGTGTGAAAATGGACTAATACAGGAAATTGGTGCCAAGAAAGTGGGACATTGCTGTACAGATGCCCTTTCAGTGAGGTCGTGCTGTACAGGGGCTCTTTCAGCCTGGCAATTCCTATTCTCTGTTCTGGAAAGTTTTCTTGAATTACTCTGTTGGTTATTTCCTCCCTTCCATTTTTCTTACTTTGAGGATATTGAAGCTTCTAGAGTAGGGTTCCAGTTTTCTTCCATGTTCTGATTTCTGTCTCTTTCTCTCTTCCCCCCTCTTCTTTCTTTTTTCTGTTTCTGGAAATGATATACTTACTTAATCCCTCTGTTTTCAATAAAATATGCACTTTATTCCGTTTTCAACGATGCCTTGAGTTCCTGGGGGTCAGAGACCCTCTTTAATGAATAAACTTCTACTTTCCACTTGAAGTGCAGCATAATGTTGAAGAAGCAACTTAGAAATTTAACTGCTTCTTAAAGACCTTTTATCCATCTTCTATCCTTCAGCAGTTCTTCACCCTAACTAGGGTTCCAGCAATGTTGCTGCCAGTCCCAGACATTTTGTTGAATTTGCTTTGTAAATTGGATTCTTAGCTTTCCCCTTTGCCCATACTGGGATTCAGTTCTTTCCAGTCTCCTAATTCAGTTACCTAATTCTGCTTTTCACATCCAGAATTGTATTCCTGTTGTTTCTTTTTATTCTCTTCATCCTTTTGAAATTGTCTTTTATTTCAATTTCAATACAAAATTTTAAGAGTTTCAGAAAGCAACAAAATGAGATCTTACCTTAAGACTGCTCTTGGCCGGGCGTGGTGGCTCACCCCTGTAATCCCAGCACTTTGGGAGGCTGAGGTGGGATCAGTTTAGGCCAGGAGTTCAAGACCAGCCTGGGCAACGTAGTGAAACCCCGTCTCTGCTAAAAACACAAAAATTAGCTGGGTGTAGTGGTGCACACCTGTAACCCTAGCTACTTGGGTGGCTGAGGCATGAGAATTGCTTGAACCAGGGCATCAGAGGCTGCAGTTAGCCTAGATTGCCTCACTGTACTCCAGCCTGGGTGACCAAATTGAGACTGTCTTCAATAAAAAAGACTGTTCTAGACCTTATTTTCACAAAATTATGGCTCAGTCTCTCAAATGTCATTGTCCGGTGCACCACTATCCAGTGCAGTAGCCACCAGCCACATGAGCACTTGAAATGTGGCCAGTGCAATTGAGGAACTGAATTTTTAGTTTAATTTTAGCAGATTACATTTAAATAGTGACATGTGCCTAGTGGCTACCATATTGGACAGCATACTTCTAGTACCAGTGAAGTAAGGAGCTGGAATGTAATTTCTAGTCAGTCTCTACCACTAGGAAGATTTTTTTTCTGCTTCCTTCTTCTGATTTATTTATTCCTTTATATCAGTATGGAGTCGTGGATTCCTGTGTTATTCAGTGAGTTATAATCTATTACTTTTTTTTTTTTTTTTGAGACGGAGTCTCACTGTGTCATCAAGCTGGAGTGCAGTGGCATAATCTCAGCTCACTGCAACCTCCACCTCCCGGGTTCAAGCAATTCTTCTTCCTCAGCCTCCCGAGTAGCTGGGACTATAGGCGCATGCCACCACGCCCAGCCAATTTTTATATTTTTAGTAGAAGTGGGGTTTCACCGTGTTGGCCATGATGGTCTCGATCTCTTGACCTTGTGATGTGCCTGCCTCACTTCCCAAAGTGCTTGGATTACAGACGTGAGCCACCGTGCCCGGCCAGTCTATTACTTTTATTATTTATCTTGATGCTCAAATTGTCCCAGGTTTGGCTGGTGAAACCCCTTTAAGGTTTCTTCTGTGTACTTTTGATATGTCCCCATCTTTCTTCATTAGTCATTTCTAGATGATTCATTTTAGAACTGGATATATTACAGGCTCATGTATTTGCCCTGCCCAACCCATAGAATCCTTCATTTCTGTGAGGAACCCTGGTTCCTCTTAGTGGAGGATGCTGTTTAGACTTACTTGGTGCTTGCTTGGTGTACTTATTGTATCACTGCTTCTGGGCCCTGTCACCTGACAAGGCATTTTAATTGCTAATGGCTATTATTGGACAGTACAGATGTAAAACCATCATTGCAAAAAAGGAAAAACTTGAGTTACTAGAATTTAGGAGTTCAAAGGCCCACCTGCACATCTCCACACAGTTGGTATTTGGCCTTCTGAGCAGGATGCAACTAGCTGGTGATGAGAGTGCCTGAAGACGCTAGTATTGGAGCTCTGGATGGAAGAAGACCTGCTGCCAGAAAGATGCTGACCTCTTCCCATTTTTTTTTGTCCCTCTGAAGCCTCCCATTGGCAGAGTGTAAACCGGAAGCAAGCTGCTAAGGGATTCTGAATAAATGAGTTGGCAGATCCTAGACCATGGTTTCTCAGCCTTGGCATCGTAGACATTTTGGGCCAGGGGGCTGTCCTGTGTTTTGTAGGATGTTTAGTAACATTCTTAGCCTCCCTGAAATTGATGCCATTAGCCCTCCCTGTCCCGCTAATAGTTAGAACTGAGAGTGTCTCCATACATTGCTAAGTGACCCCTAGGGGGCAACATGGCCACTGGTTGAGACCCATTTCCTAGACCCAGCAGAAGGGGCTTGGAGCTGAGAAACAGTAGTAATAACTAACCATCGACCAACTTTACTTCAAGTGTTCTTGAAATGTAGAGGAAGGGCAAAGGGATTATGTTTATGGGCCTGTGATGGTCCTGTAATGTAGAGAGATGATGCTTTTTCTTTTTCTTTTTCATTGACGAGGAAAGCAAAGATCAGGTAAGCAATCTCTATAGCCAGGCAAGAGTCAACTCCTGATAAAGTTGGTATTTGTTTACATGCTCTTAAAGTGTGTTGTTGAATTTTCTGGATTGGAGTTATTACCATACTATTTTTTCATGAGTGAACTGTTTTTTGTGTGTTGCATTTCAGTCATTCTTGATGCATTGTTAATGAATATTAAAGCCAGTGTTTAAAAACTTTTAAATTTTGTATAATTATACTGTATTTGTATACCTTGGTTTGAGATTCACATCAAACTGTATAAGCACTATCCATTTTCCTCATTTTATGTTTATGCTTAGTCCCTTCCTTCTTTCTTTTCCGTATTACCGTATATCACTCTCAGTGATACAAAGACATCCTTTCTCAGAGAAAGTCTCCCAAAGATCAGTTCATCCTAACCAACTGTTTACTGTACCTTTCAGCTTGCATGTCTTATCACTTCAAACCAAACATGTCTAAAATCAGACTCACATGCCTCCTAAACCAGACATAAACCACAACTCTTTTCCGCCAGTGCTAGAGTATTCTCTATACTTTGTATTAATTATTCCTACTCCTATACAGAGCTTTATGTTTGTTGTAGGTCCCTTTATTTTAAAATCCGTGAAGAAACTGGAGCAGACATAAAGAAATGTAATTTAACAGTTGACGGTAGGATTTTGGAGGACTTGCTAACATTTTAAATTGGTTAGCCTACAAAACAGGGGAAAGTGACTTAGTTCATGTTTGTGGTGAGTTTTTGAGACTGGATTTAGGATAACTGCTCTATATGTGGAGAACATTAGAACAAAGGGACCTGAAGTTATATTTCAGTGTCTTAGCGAGGATTTCAGGAACTGCTTGGTATGAAGAGTTGTGTCAGGGTGAGTCTGTTGTACTTCCCCAGCTAGAACAAGTCATCTTTCATCATTTTCATATGTTTGGCTTTGTTTCTGTAGGTCTCTATCCCTTAGTCTTCATACTGTTTTAAATGCTTATTTACTTATCCTTATTCCCCATTTAGGCTCTAAGCACTAAGTGGGTACTGCAAGTGCTCAAAAATTTTGGTTGCTAGAAATAGTAGTGTTAAGTCAATGAGAAATGGTCTTAAAATATAGACCCAGGGCAGATCTTTTCCCACCTCAGTACAATGAGCTGTCATGTGCCTTACTTGACTGGGAATCTATCACAAATACATGTGCAGACATTTCTAGTTTAGATAACATTAAAAAAACATTTAGCGAACAGTATGTATTCTGCTCCCTCCTTATACATCTTGCAGTACATTAAGGATTTCCAGTTTTCCTTTCCCTCAAACAGTTGCAGAAAGTCAGTATAAGAGTGTTTAGACCGGGCGCAGTGGCTCATGCTTGTAATCCCAGCACTTTGGGAGGCCGAGGTGGGCGGATCACGAGGCCGGTAGTTCGAGACCAGCCTGGCCAGCATGGTGAAACCCCGTCTCTACTAAAAGTACAAAAATTAGCCAGGCATGGTGGCACGCACTTGTAATCCCAGCTACTCGGGAGGCTGAGGTAGGAGAATCACTTGACCGCGGGAGGCAGAAGTGTCAGTGAGCCGAGATCACACCACTGTGCTCCAGCCTGGGCGACAGAGCGAGACTCTGTCTCAAAAAAAAAAAAGAATGTTTAAACAGTAGACCAAAAAATCCTAGGCAGGGGTGGGGGAGGGGAGACATTAAATGTGTTTCCCCCCTTTCATTGTTTGAAATGACATTATTCTCTTAACATGTAGTGTGTCTTTTTCAGGCCAGAGGTCCCTGTTGCTGTGCATATATTATTAGCCGAGTATATGATGGGAAGGCTTTCTAAACAGCTCTTAGACCCTGTTTTCAGTGCTCAGTGGTACACAGTCTTTGCATTGCCTGTAAGTTGTGCCTGTAATTTTCAAAAAGTTGAGAAAACACTACTCTAGAGTAAGAACTTAAAATAGTGACTTTAAGTAGAGTTTTGTTTGGTGATAAACCTCTGAAAATAAATATCTGTAAGCACCTGCCTCAAGAGTAATTCCTCAATCTCAGGATTTCATTCCAGAGAAGTTGTGTAATTAGTAGAATCTTCTTAAAAAATAAGAAGTCAAGGGAAAAACAATAAACAATGTGTTAAATATATATCTCCGTATCATAATAAATAAAGTTCTGAAGGCATCTACTTCTGGGGAAAAAAGGATTATTATCAAAAGATATGCTTCAGTAGGCAACCCTTTATCTTAATCACTGGTTTGCCATGTAATGGCTCTTTGCCTTTGGAGCAAATTACTTAGTGCCTGTGTGCCTCAGTTTATCCATCTGTAAAAGAATCAACAGTTCAGTGACTAGGTCTTTAGCAGATTAAAAATCATCACCTTCCCTTAAAAGGGCTTTTCTTTTTTTGGGAAAGTTGGAGCCTAAACCAAGCTCTCTCTGCCTTGCTGCCACAGACCTGTCTGCAGAATTTTCAAAACAGAGCAGTTTCTATCTAGTGTGCATTGTTTAAAGCAACTAAACTGAATTGCACATGTATATGGAAATACTGGCGCGCGCGTGCGTGCGTGCGTGCGTGTGTGTGTGTGTGTGTGTGTGTTTTTAAATAGAGATGAGGTCTTGCTATGTTGCCCAGGCTGGTCTCAAACTCCTGGGCTCAAGCAGTCCTCCTGCCTCAGCCTCCCAAAGTGTTTCCCTCAGCCTCCCAAAGCCACCTGTTTCCCACTAACCACCCTATTGCATGTTAAAACTTGCAACCTGGGTCTCCTGGGCTATTGTTGCCACCTGGTGGCTTACTCCTAGAGGTATTTGGTACAGCATTTTTATCTACTTTTTTCTCCTGTAGAAAACAAGTACTTGTTCAGGGCCTTCTTTTTCCCCCCTCTACTTTCATTATTCAGTAATTCTTCTGTCAAGAAGTCTTATACCAAGGAGGCGGAGGTTGCAGTGAGCCGAGATCGCGCCACTGCACTCCAGCCTGGGCGACAGAGTGAGACTCCATCTCAAAAAAAAAAAAAAAAAAAAAAAGTCTGTTATAGACACACATTAATCCCCCCCGCTTTCCCTTCTCTCTTTTTGAGCTCTTATCTAATTACTCTAGGAAAACGTCCCCTTCTTTTCATTTGCTTAATTCATTCAACAGATATTATTGAATTCCCACATTGTCCCAGGCACTCTTTATCCACCTCCTCTTCCTTCATTTTATGAGTCAGAAAACAGCTCTAATCATGGCTGAGTATAATAGTAGATTGAGTAATATAGAAGCTCCTCTATTTCCAGATAAGAGGCTCTGAAAGGCTGTTCCTAAGCTCACTCATGAGCAAGTCCATTGTTGCTAAGATAAGTTTCTGTTTTCAGAACAGGGATGCATTTCTATGAACAAATAAAAGAGTGTAGATCAGTTCTTTAAAATGAGGCAAACCAATCAGTTATTCCAAAGTGGACCAAGTTCCTCTATACTGAAAACTTTTAGAAATGAATTAAACTTCCCTCTTTCACAAAGTTCATAAAGAACTCTTTAAATACAATATTTCACCCATTTTTCTATTCACTTTGTTGGGCAGATTTGAACCAGCTTTAAATCATCTGTAGCCACAAAAGAAGTTTTATCACACTTTCCACCTACCTCATGACTTTGTGAAGATTGACAAAGTAATATATGTAAGTCATTAGGTACATAATTAAAAGTGAAGGAACTTGCTATTAAACCACTAGAGGGACGACCTCTGTGTGGCAAGAATTTTTATTCACTGCTGTGTCCTCAGCAAATATTTTTGTTCACTGCTGTATCTTGGCATATAATAAATAATAAATAATGAAAGGATGGGTGGATGCTCCTTGTTGTTACATATCACAGGACTCACAGAATTCTACCTGGAAAAAAAAAGTAGAAAAGCCGATTTCCAGTCAGAAAGGGTTGTTTTAAATGTTTTAAATGCTGAATGAATGTATCAGTTTCAAGTAAGACTACTGCGTGAAGACTACACATATTGCAAAACCTACTTACTAAGCTTCCCGGTTCTCTTTCTTCTGGATCTTGCTCCTGGATCATGCTCTCCCCCTATTTCATTTCTCTTTCTCTGCTGTGGAATCTCTTTAGCCATAGGTTTTCTCTTGAAGAGTGTGTTTGTACGGGTCTCGATACCCCATTTCTCTCTCCTCTTGAGTCTGTCCCTTAAACACAGGGCATAGGTTTTTAAAAATATGCGTATATAGAGTTATATGTATATTTAATAGATCTTTTTATTCTCTTCCTATTTCTAAAAATAACTAAGGAAAGCTCTCTAAAAAAAAACAGACAAACCCTAGAGTTTCTTTTTATTTTGGCAAGGGATGATTTATATTTCCTCTGTGATTCTTAAGTAGAAGATGAAACAGCTCTCCACTCCTGATCTAGGCTCCCAGTTTATGAAGCATTATAAACTTTGTCTTAGATTTCCTTTCTCCAGCAGTTTCACATCTGGAAGTATCCTTTGACCATTTTCTTTAAGCAAAATAATTCTGGTTACTTCTGCTTTTCACTGAGTTACTTATACTATAGTTTATCTTTTTTTTTTTTTTTGAGACAGAGTCTCGCTTTTTCACTCAGGCTGGAGCACATTGGCACAATTTTGGCTCACTGCAACCTCCACCTCCTGGATTCAAGTGATTCTGCCTCAGTCTCCCGAGTAACTGGGATTACAGGCACCCGCCATCACACCCAGCTAATTTTTGTATCTTTAGTAGAGACGAGGTTTCACAATGTTGGCCAGGCTGGTCTCGAACCCCTGACCTTAGGTGATCCACCCATCTCAGGCGTGAGCCACTGCGCCCAGCCTAGTTCATCTTTTTTACTTGCTTTTGTATTCATCTAAGATCCTCTTCTTTTTTTTTTTTTTTTTTTTTTTGAGATGGAGTCTCGCTCTGTCGCCCAGGCGGGACTGCGGACTGCAGTGGCGCAATCTCGGCTCACTGCAAGCTCCGCTTCCCGGGTTCACGCCATTCTCCTGCCTCAGCCTCCCGAGTAGCTGGGACTACAGGCGCCCGCCACTGCGCCCGGCTAATTTTTTTTGTATTTTTAGTAGAGACGGGGTTTCACCTTGTTAGCCAGGATGGTCTCGATCTCCTGACCTCATGATCCACCCGCTTCGGCCTCCCAAAGTGCTGGGATTACAGGCGTGAGCCACCGCGCCCGGCCATCTAAGATCCTCTTCTAAGGGTTGCACAATTTTTCAACTGCTTAAATGCAGAGTCTCTTCTTGGAGATTGTCTATCATTTAATAGTATTGTTCTCTGTATAGTTCTCAGTATCAAAATTATATAGCCTATATGATACACACCGTTTTTTAAAAAAAGTCACACTTGGAGAGATGCAAGGGCCTTGAAGAGATAATACACAGACATTTCACAGAATAGAAAAGAGGCCCTCCCTCCCTCCACCCCACCCCCCCAAATCACATGATAGCTAGAAGTCAAAATCGGCTGTCAATGGCAAGTGCTATATAATCCCAGGCCTTCAAATTCCAAATGAGGTCGACTTCCTGTTGTATTCTTTTTTCCCTGTGTTTCTTGAAAGTAACTTGCCCTTTGTTGACCTTTTCTTTCCCATCAACTCTCTATTCCCTAGCTAAAAACTAATTTTATTAAAAAGTAAAAGGTATACCAACCTGAGATTTTCTCCTTTAAAAAGCTGTAAACGAATATTAAAAACCTCTTTTATTTTTATTTTTTTAATAAGAAAGAAAAGACTACGTATTATTTCAGTGGCTTTTTAAAAATGTGTTCCCACTAGAGGGCATCCTTTTCTCCTTAAAATTTTAGTTCATAGCTTTCATTTGTTTTACAGAACTGCTAAATACAAGATATATGCTGATAATATGAATGTGTTCAGATATAACTTTTTCAGATAGGTGGTTGTCAGATATACACCATTTTTTTCATTTAGGTTTTATCTGTGACAGTGTTGAAAAAGGGGTTAAACTGTATGTCCTAGCATTTTCATTTATCTTGCTAGGTGAACTTGATTGGATGGGGGATTACAAATATAACACCGTAACCTTATGATGTAGCTTGTTCAAGTTAGCATTTTACAAACTAGTGATTTCTGAACTTCTTTATGACACAGTATGACTAAGCTAGATTTTTTTTTTTTTTTTTTTTTTGAGACGGAGTCCCGCTCTGTCACCAGACTGGAGTGCAGTGCGCAAACTCGGCTCACTGCAACCTCTGCCTCCCAGGTTCAAGCGATTCTCTTTCCTCAGCCTCCCGAGTACATGGGATTACAGGCACAGGCCAGCACGCCAGGCTAATTTTTGTATATTTAGTAGAGATGGGGTTTTGCCATGTTGGCCAGGCTGGTCTCGAACTCCTGACCTCAGGTGATCTGCCCGCTTCGGCCTCCCAAAGCCCTGGGATTACAGGCATGAGCCACTGCACCCAGCCATGACTAAGCTAGATTATTCAGTGATGGGTTGCACATGTTATTATTTGGTTAACTCAGTTTTTGCAGAATATATGTAGTATAAGGTAAATGAAACCTAAATATTTTTTAATGTAATGGATGTCAGTGCTATCTAGACAACTAGTGGTTATTCAGCTTTGCCTCTCAAGGCATTATTTTACAATATTTGAACTCTTGTTTCTGTTATAATACTTTTCAGAACTTTGATTTTTTTTTTTTTTTTTTTTTTTTTTTGAGACAGAGTCTCGCTCTGTCGCCCAGGCTGGAGTGCAGTGGCGTGATCTTGGCTCACTGCAACCTCGACCTCCCAGCTAATTCTTGTATTTTTAGTAGAGATGGGATTTCACCATGTTGACCAGGCTGGTCTTGAACTCCTGACCACAGGTGATCCGCCCACCTCGGCCTCCCAAAGTGCTGGGATTACAGGCGTGAGCCACCACGCCCAGCCAGAACTTTGATTTTTTAATATCTTAAATAGAGTGTACTGATATCTCATCAGAAGCAACTTCATTCTTCCTGTGAAGGAATTGATAGTTTTACATATGCCATGTATCTGTTCTGTTTCAGATTTCTCTGACTTCCTGATACCAGGTAAAATCACTATTGTTAAACCAAGGGACTGCAGCAAAGAGCTAACTTATTTCCTCCCATAGGAACTTTAGATTACCTGTAGTTGACAGTAGTGGAGCAGGTTTTGTTAGTCTGTGTCATAAAATGACACAGATTCTGACACATATACTTAGGAGGGCCTCTGTATTGAGTGAGAGTCATTCTAAAGGGGACAATGGGCTACTGTTGAGAAACTGAAAAAGCCTGTGCTTCTGTACTTTTATTTAGAGACTTAGGTAGTATGGAATGTTCTATAAAATTAAATATTAACTTCAAAAAGTTCATGACAACAGAAGGAATTAAAGGACAGAGCTTTCATAAACTAAACAATGAGAAAGGATGATAGCAGGCTATATGGAAAAACTGTATGTTATAAAACATTTTTACTTCCCTCGACTTCTTATTCATAGTATGCTAATCACCAAAAAACCCTCTGTAGCATGCCTGCCACATAGATTATTATTAATAAAGTGAATCTTATGTTGTAAGAAACCCTGCTGTAAACTTACCTGTTTGACTTAAATATATATGTGTGTGTGTATATATATGTATATATGTGTGTGTATATATACATATACGTGTATATATATACGTATATATGTGTGTGTATATATACATACGTATATATATACGTATGTATATATGTATCTGTATTTGAAATACTGACCTTGAATCATAAAAGGCCTTTCGGTGTTTGAGAAGCTAAAATATATATATTACAGAAATGATTTTATCAAAAATAGATAGTAAATTTAAAAAAAACCCTGTTTCCTTTTTAAAGGGCTTACAGTTACGGAACTCTAGCTGGGTTTAAGTGAAGCCTGAGGCTACCACCCCCTATCCCTTATGTGAACCATTTAGGTAGCTTTGAATTAAATCACAAGAGTAGAGCGAGCAAGGGATAAGTATCAGCATCTTTTTACTGAAAGATAAGAGTGTCAGTATCACCATGCACAGTTGCCTTAAGCTTTGTTCATCTATACTTGCCAGTAGGCATCCCCACCTCAGAAAGAAAAGGCAGGCCTGCAGAATAATGTCAGGCTACACACCAAAAAGTTCAGAGCTGGGTTTACCTTCCTGGCACCTAAATTCACACTACAATTTTTTGTCAATATTATTATACTATCATGTTAAACTTTCATTTGTGAACCTAAATAGATATCATAGGTATCTCCCCCCATTGATTAATTCAGTGTTATGCTTAAAGCATCGTCATGCATGGAAGCTATTTTGTTTTTTGTTTTTATTTGAGATAGGGTCTCACTCTGGCACCCAGGCTGGAGCGCAGTGGCACAATCTCCGCTCACTGCAGTCTCAACCTCCTAGACTCAAGTGATCCTCCCACCTCAACCTGAGAAGTAGGGACTACAGGTGCTCACCACTACACCTGGCTAATTTTTGTATGTTTTTTGTAGAAACTGGGTTTCTCCATGTTTCCCAGGCTGGTCTCAAACTCCTGCACTCAAACAATCTGTTCCCTTTAGTCTCCCAAAGTGTTCGTATTGATTACAGGCCTGAGCCACTGCGCCTGACCTGGAAGCTATTTTGAATAAGAAAATTTTTAAGTATTCCATCTCTTTGCTCAGGTATCTTTTTTAGTAATACTTTCTTTGCCCACGCTGTCCTTCACTGCTTTATGTTTCTCCATAGCACTTACTTCCACCTTGCTCTACAACTTTTTTTCTTTTATTGGAGTCAGGGTTTGCTCTGTCTCCAGGCTGGAGTGCAGTTGTATGATCATAGCTCACAGCAGCCTCGACCTCCTGGGCTGAAGCAATTCTCCCACTTCAGCCTCCTGAGTAGCTGGGACTACAGGCATGCACCACCACACTTAGCCAACTTTTATTTTTATGCTTGTCTTCACGCACTAAATGTTAGTTTCTTGGGGGCAGGGCTTTGTTTTGTTCATTGCTGTATCCTCAGCACCTAAAACATATTACATATTAGATAATCGATATTTGTTGAATTTGCTGAAAAATTGCTGCCATGATGCCATCATTTGGTTGTCTTAAGTTGATCGGGGAGTCTCACTGCAGCTTTTGAGATCTCAAGGATCTCGAAGGATATTTTGAAAACTAATTTAAAAGGTGTATATTATTGAGATCAAATTGTATTCTGGGAAAGCGATAAAATAATCTTACTGCAGCCGGGCGCGGTGGCTCACGCGTGTAATCCCAGCACTTTGGGAGGCCAAGGCGGGCGGATCACGAGGTCAGGAGATCGAGAACATCCTGGCCAATGTGGTGAAACCCTGTCTCTACTAAAAGTACAAAAATTAGCCGGGTGTGGTGGTGGGCACCTGTAGTCCCAGCTGCTCGGGAGGCTGAGGCAGGACAATGGCATGAAACCAGGAGACAGAGCTTGCAGTGAGCCAAGATTGCGCCACTGCACTCCAGCCTGGGCAACAGAGCGAGACTGTCACAAAAAAAAAAAATCTTACTGCATCTGAATGAGATAATACTACCATTTTAAAATTTAGGGCTTTCATGTCTTTTTTTTTCCTCATTTGATTCTCGTAGCAAACTTCATAGATGAAGAGAAATTGAGCAGAGAACATTGATTTGTCTAAGTGCTTATTGTTAATGGCTAAGTAATAACAGGGAATCCCATGGTGTTTTGTTTTGTTTTGTTTTGTTGAGAAGAAATCTTGCTCTTGTTCCCCAGGCTGAAGTACAATGGTGCGATCTCGGCTCACTACAACCTCCGCCTCCCAGGTTCAAGCAATTCTCCTGCCTCAGCCTCCGGAGTAGCTGGGATTACAGGTGCCTGCCACCACGCCTGGCTAATTTTTGTATTTTTAGTAGAGATGGGGTTTCACCATGTTGGTCAGGCTGGTCTTGAACTCCTGACCTCAGGTGATCCACCTGCCTCGGCCTCCCAAAGTGCTGGGCTTACAGGTGTGAGCCACCACGCCCGGCCTGTTTTTTTTGTTGTTGTTTTTTGTTTTAATAAAAACATATTCATTCAACAAACAATAAGAATCTACAACCTAGGCTGGTCTCGGTGGCTCATGCCTGTAATCTCAGTGCTTTGGGAGGCTGACACAGGCAGATTGCTTGAGTCCAGGAGTTTGAGACCAGTCTGGGCAACTTGGCGAAATCCCATCTCTACAAAAAAAATACAAAAATTATGCGGGCATGGTGGCGCACACCAGTAGTCCCAGCTACTCAGGAGGCTGAGGTAGAAGGATTGCTTAAATCCAGGAGGTCGAGGCTGTAGTGAGCCGAGATTGTGCAACTGCTCTCCAGCCAGGGTGACAGTGAGACCTTGTCTCAAAAATCTACAATCTGCCAAAACTATGTTGGTTTTCCAGTTTTCCACCTGACAGTCCACTGACAGCCCAAAGGTTGTTGTAAACAATTCCAGCTTTGCTTTCTGTTTTTTTGTTTGTTTGTTTTTGTTTAGAAGGAAGGGACTTTTAAAAATAAAATATTGGTTGGATATATGAGAATTTTCATAAAATAAATGCAAAAGAGAAGAATGGTACTACAGATCCTCTTGGCCAGATGTAAAAACGTTGCATTTCAAGATCCGTAAAAGCTTCACATACTCATCTCTTCATCACCTTAAACCCCAGAGGGAGCCACTGACCAAAATTTTATCATTCCCTCATTTTCCTTTTATAGTTTTACTACATGTTTGATTTCCTAAACTAGATACTGGTTTTCAACTTTATACTGTATGTATTCTTTTTTTTTTTTTTTTTTTTGAGACGGAGTCTCGCTCTGTTGCCCAGGCTAGAGTGCGGTGGCTGATCTCAGCTCACTGCAAGCTCCGCCTCCTGGGTTCACGCCATTCTCCTGCCTCAGTCTCCCCAGAAGCTGGAACTACAGGCGGCCGCCATCACGCCTGGCTAATTTTTTGTATTTTTAGTAGAGACGGGGTTTCACTGTGTTAGCCAGGATGGTCTCGATCTCCTGACCTCATGAGCCGCCCGCCTCGGCCTCCCAAAGTGCTGGGATTACAGGCGTGAGCCACCGCGCCCGGCCAATACTGTATGTATTCTTTGAAATTTCCTTTCACTCATCTGAGGCAGATGTTCTTACCGTTGCTGTGATTCATTCTTTTTCCAATTCATTCTGTGCATATTGAACTGTTGAGCCTTTGAATCTGAATAGCCTTTTTTTTTTTTTTTTTGAGACGGAGTCTCGCACTTTCTCGCCCAGGCTGGAGTGCAGTGGCGCGATCTCAGCTCACTGCAAGCTCCGCCTCCTGGGTTCACGCCATTCTCCTGCCTCAGCTTCCTGAGTAGCTGGGACTACAGGCGCCCGCCACCACGCCTGGCTAATTTTTTTTTGTATTTTTAGTAGAGACGGGGTTTCACCGTGTTAGCCAGGATGGTGTCGATCTACTGACCTTGTGATCCGCCCGCCTCGGTCTCCCAAAGTGCTGGGATTACAGGCGTGAGCCACCGCGCCCAGCCCCTGAGTAGCCTTTTTAAAATTCAGTTACAAAAACTGCCGTCAACATTCTTCCACATTCTCTAGGTGCACACAGACAAAAGATTCCCTCCCCGGGAATTTATTTAAGAGTGAAATTACGGTATCATAGGAGGTATATGTGTTTAACTTGACTAAAAATATGAACAAATTTTTCAAAGTGGTTGTGCTGATTTACACTCCTACCAGCAGGGTATAAGCACTTCTGCTGCCCTTTATCTTCACTAACACTTGATATCATGAAACTTGTAGTTTCTTACCGGTTTGGTAAATGTAAAATGCTAGCTCACGGATGTTAATCATGCACTTCTTTGATGACTAATGAGATTGAGCATCTTTTCATATGTTTACTGGCCATTTATGTTTGTTGTTCTTTGAGTGCCCTTTGACAGGTTTCTCCATTTTTCTACTAAGCATTCATCATTTACTTACTGATATGTAAGAGTTCATAATGCATTCTGAATACCAAACTTTTGTCTGTCATGTATGTTGTACATATCGCCAGTTTCTGAACCTTATATTTTCAATCAATGTAGGCTGTGAAAAGACGAAGAAAAAGGCCGAGCGTGGTGGCTCACGCCTGTTGTAATTCCAGCACTTTGGGAGGCCCAGGCGGGCAGATCACCCGGAGTTCGAGACCAGCCTGGCCAACGTGGTGAAACCCCGTCTCTACTAAAAATACAAAAATTAGCTGGGCATGGTGCCAGGCGCCTATGATCCCAACTCCTTGGGAGGCTGAGGCAGGAGAATTGCTTGAACCCAGGAGGCGGAGGTTGCAGTGAGCCAAGATCTCACCATTGCACTCCAGCCCCGGCGACAGAGTGAGACTCTATCTCAAAAGAATAAAACAAAAACAAAAGATGAAGAAAAAGTCTTAACGTAGTTGGACTTATCTCTTACTTTTTGATTTGGAGAGTGAGAGAGAGAGAGAGAGAGAGAGAGAGAGAGTGTGTGTGTGTGTGTGTGTGTGCGCGTGTGTGTGTGAGAAAGAGAAAGATTTAAGAAATTGTTTTCTACTTTAGACTCATAAAAATATTCTATATTGTCTTCTAGAGATATTTTTCATTGTTCTTTTGAATCCGTCTTTAAACCATGTGGAATTGATTTTTTGTGTGTATAGGATATGGGGAGAGATCCAATTCTGTTTTCCCCACATGCAGATAATCACCTGTTCAGCACCATTTATTGTCCATTCCCTTTTTTTCTCAGTGCTCTTTAGTGACCTTGCTGTTGTAAAACAGATTTCAACATCTGTTTCTGGTCTTTCCGTTCTATTCCATGGGCCAGTTTGTCTCTACCCTGGTGCCATTCCATCTTACTGTAGTTATTATAGGTTTATTATTTGTTATGGTGTTACTTATTATTTATTAGTTTAGCTCTTGATATATAAAACAAGTCCCTCTATCTCATTTTTCTTGGGAGCATCTTGACTCTCCTTGGCCCTTTTTGTAACTTGCATCAACATTTGAGTCAGCTTACCATGCCCCACAAAAAAATTCTTTTTAAATTTTGGTTATTAATTGTATTGAATCCACAAATCTGTTGACATTTTATTATGAACCTTCCAGTCCATGAAGTTGGTATTTATATTTTTTAAAGTCCTTTAGTGTCTTTGAATACATTTTTACTAATTTGCTTCATAAAGGGCTGCCTATCTTTGGTTAGATTTATTCATAGGCACTTTTTTAAAATGCTGTTGCAAATGGCTTATTTTTTTATTGCAGTAAAATATACATAGCATAAAATTTATTTTAACCCCTTTTAGGTGTACAGTTCAGTAGCATTAAGTATATTCACATTCTTGGAACCATCACCACTGTCCATCTCCAGAATTCTTCCATTATCCCAAACTTGAAAACTCTCTACCCACTAAACCGTAACTCCCCGTTCTCCCTTTCCTCAAGCT
Source organism: Homo sapiens (assembly GCF_000001405.40). Lineage (NCBI taxonomy): Eukaryota > Metazoa > Chordata > Mammalia > Primates > Hominidae > Homo > Homo sapiens. The sequence goes on from NC_000002.12 coordinate 85,025,543, forward strand.
TCTGGCAACCACTGTTCTACTTTCCTTCTCTTTGAATTTGGCACATCTCGATGGAATCACAAATGACATTTTTTTGGTTTTTTGAGATAGGAGTCCCGCTCTGTCACCCAGGCTGGAGTGCAGTGGCGCAACCTCAGCTTACTGCAACCTCTGCCTCCTGGGTTCAAGTGATTCTCTTCCCTCAGCCACCCGAGTAGCTGAGATTACAGGCACACACCACCATGCCTCACTAATTTTTTTGTAATAAATGACATATTTTTAATAATATGTTTTTCTGTCTGTTTTGCAGTGAAGAAATACAATCAGTACTTTATTTAGGAGGTCTCTATCTAACAGCTTTGCTTACTGCTTCTAATAACTTAGCTGTATTTGGGTTTTCAGCATAAACAAGCAGATCACATGTGAATAAAACTATGAAACCCACCTACAGAATTTTAAATTTTAACTTTTTTAAAAATATTTTTTAAAGACAGAGTCTCACTCTGTCGCCTAGGCTGGAGTGCAGTGGCATGATCTCGGCTCACTGCAACCTCCGTCTCCTGAGTTCAAGCCATTCTTCTGCTTCAGCCTCCCAAGTAGCTGAGATTACAGGCGCCCACCACCACGCCCGGCTAATTTTTGTATGTTTAGTAGAGATGGGGTTTCACCAGGTTGGTCAGGGTGGTCTTGAACTCCTGACCTCAGGTGATCCGCCCACCTCAGTCTCCCAAAGTGCTGAGATTACAGGCGTGAGCCACTGCGCCTGGCATATTTTAACTTTTTTTTTTTTAAACAAATACAAATGAGATCTCTCTATGTTGCCTTGGCTGGTCTTGAACTCCTGGCCTCAAGCAGCCCTCTTGTCTTAGCCTCCCAAAGTGTTGGAATTACAGGTGTGAGCTATGGCACCCAGCCCTGTTCAAGCTTCTTTCTTTCCTTTATTATTATTATTATTATTATTATTATTATTATTATTTTTATTTTTTCCAGACAGGGTCTTGTTCTGTTCCCAAGCTGGAGTGCAGTAGTTTGATCATGGTCACTGCAGCTTCGAGCTCCTGGGCTCAAGCATTCCTCCCACCTCAACCTTCCAAGTAGCTAAGGCTACAGGCACAGGCCACAATGCCCAGCTAATTTTTAAATTTTTTTGTAGACAGGATCTCTCTATGTTGCCCAGGCTGGTCTTGAACTCCTGGCCTCAAGCCATCCCCCTGCCTCGCCTTGCCAAAGTGCTTGGGATTATAGGTGTTAGCCACCACACCCAGTTATTTCTTTTAACAGGTCAAGAATTATTTGATGCCCCAATTCTGATATGAACTCATGACTGATTCTGCTGCTCCTGCTAGTTCTTTCTGATGGTGCTTTGTTTTTTTGTGTGTATTTTATGGTTTAAATTATGAACTTATTCTTTGGATGTTTATATATGCCAGATGCTTGGTATCAATTCTAATTTAAGACCACTTAAAATTCTTGACCCAAGGTCTTTGGAACCATTTGATAGAATTTGGGCTATAAACCCATGAGGACTGGTTTGTGGTTATGGCTTTTTGTGTTATTTTGTGCCCCTAGGGCAGGGGGCTTTCACTGGGGTAATTTTTGTAATCCCCTAGGGAGGATTTCTAGCCTACCCATGCATTGAGAGTATATTAGGGTCTTGGTTTTATGAGGAATCTTCTGTTAATTATCCCACCTTCACTAGGCCTTTGTCCAATAATGCTGTGGACCTTAAGCTTAGATTTTTACCTGCTTGGGCAAATACCCTCATGGTGAAAAGCCTTCTTTAGTGCTTCCAGTCACCAGTTCCTCTTCGTCTTGGTTTTTACCTTCTTGCTGGCTTATCAAGGCTTTTTTTTTTTTTTTTTTTTTTTTTTTTGAGACAAAGCCTCACTCTGTTGTGAGGCTGGAGTGCAGTGGCGCGATCTCAGCTCACTGCAACCCTACCTCCTGGGTTTAAGCAATTCTCATGCCTCAGCCTCCCAAGTAGTTGGGATTACAGGTGCCAGCCACCACGCCCAGCTAATTTTTGCATTTTTAGTAGAGACGGGGTTTCAACATGTTGACCAGGCTGGTCTTGGACTACTGACCTCAAGTGATCCACCCGCCTCGACCCCCGCAAAGTGCTCAGATTACAGGCGTGAGCCACTGCACCCAGCCTGTATCAGTCATTTTAAATTATTTTCATGTGGAGTATAAATCAGAGTAATGAATCCAGCACATGGCTAAAACTTCCCGTATCATTTTACTAAGTCATTTCTAGTCATTTTGGAAAGGACATATGAGGTTAAATGAGCACCTGAAACATTCATAAAAATGAAATCAAGAGTGGCCTTTACAACTGGTAACTAAAGATATTTCTTTTTTTTATAGGTGTCAGCTGTGATGCATGTTTAAAAGGAAATTTTCGAGGTCGCAGATATAAGTGTTTAATTTGCTACGATTACGATCTTTGTGCATCTTGTTATGAAAGTGGTGCAACAACAACAAGGCATACAACTGACCACCCAATGCAGTGCATATTAACAAGGGTAGATTTTGGTAAGTAATTAAAAATTTAATGAATTACATCATTTAGAATTTTATGTACGTTGAAGAAGTAAAGGCAAAGTGTTCTAAAACTCCCCAGCAGCATACCATAAGCCCCAAATTCATTAAACATGAAATAAATCTTACTTTTTTTTGAGACGGAGTTTCGCTCTTGTTGCCCAGGCTGGAGTGCAATGGCGCGATCTTGGCTCACTGCAACCTCCACCTCCCTGGTTCAAGCAATTCCCCTGCCTCAGCCACCCGAGTAGCTGGGATTACAGGTGCACACCACCACGCCTGGCTAATTTTTTTGTATTTTTAGTAGAGACAGGGTTTCACCACGTTGGCCAGACTGGTCTCGAACTCCTGACCTCAGTCAATCTGCCCGACTCAGCCGCCCAAAGTGCTGGGATTATAGGCGTGAGCCACTGTGCCTGGCTTTTTTTTTTTTTTTTTTTTTTTTTTTGAGGAGTCTTACCCTGTCGCCTAGGCTGGAGTGCAATGTCGTGATCTCAGCTCGCTGCAACCTCCACCCCCCAGGTTCAAGCGATTCTCCTGCCTCAGCCTCCCAAGGAGCTGGGATTACAGGCGTGCACCACCATGCCCGGCTGATTTTTTGTATCTTTAGTAGAGATAGGGTTTCACCATGTTAACCAGGCTGGTCTTGAACTCCTAACCTAATGATACACCTGCCTCGGCCTCCAAAGTGCTGGGATTACAGGCGTAAGCCACCGCGCCCGGCCTTACTTTTTACGTACTAAGTAATTCTGTCTGTTCATCTTAATCATAGTTTACTTGTTTAAAAAAACCATTCAGAAATATACACAACTGACAAGGAATGAAATAGAAGAGTGCTTCAGTAAAGAAGAAATATGCTCTGTCTTTTGTTCGTGCTATTAACACACAAATAATAGCTTTATTTTATTTTATTTTTTATTTTTTTAAGACAGAGTCTCACTCTGTCGCCCACGCTGGAATGCAGTGGCCGGATTTCGGCTCACTGCAACATCTGCCTCCTGGCTTCAAGCAATTCTCGTGCCTCAGCCTCTTGAGTAGCTGAGACTACAGGTGTGTGCCACCTTGCCCAGCTAATTTTTTTGTATTTTTAGTAGAGATGAAGTTTCACTATGTTGGCCAGGCTGGTCTTGACCTCAAGTTATCCACCTGCCTTCGCCTCCCAAAGTGCTGGGATTACAGACGTGAGCCACCATGCCCAGCAATAATAGCTTTTGTAGTGACCAGAAAACAGATTGTTGGCTGGTTATGGTGGCTAACGCCTGTAATCCCAGCCCTTTGGGAGGCTTAAGATGGTCAGATCACTTGAGCCCAGGAGTTTGAGATGAGCCTGGGCAACATGGCAAAAACCCTGTCTCTGCATCCACCCCCGAAAAATACAATAAATTAGCTGGATGTGGTGGCGCACATGCATCTGTAGCCCTAGCTACTTGGGAGGCTGAGATGGGAGGATCACTTGAGCCCAGGAGGTCAAGTGTGCAGTGAACCCTGATTGTGCCACTACATTCCGGCCTGGCCAACAAAGCAAGACGCTATCTCAAAAAAAAAAAAAGGCAGATTGTTTCTACAGTTGATTAGAAGACATTGTAAGAAAATATATAAATGTTTCATGCTATAATTTTTTTTTTTTTTTTTTTTGAGACAAGAGTTTCACTCTTGTCGCCTAGGCTGGAGTGCAATGGCGCCATCTCAGCTCACTGCAACCTCCACCTCCTGGGTTCAAGCGATTCTCCTGCCTCAGCCTCCTGAATAGCTGGGATTACAGGTGCCCGCCACCATGCCCAGAAAATTTTTTTTGTATTTTTAATAGAGACAGGGTTTCACCATGTTGGCCAGGCTGGTCTTGAACTCCTAATCTTAGGTGATCCACTTGCGGGCCTCCCAGAGTGCTGAGATTACAGACATGAGCCACCACGCCTGGCTTCGTGCTATAATTTCTTACCTAGCCCACACTTTTTGTCCTTTTTATTTCAGCCATCCTAGTAGGTGTAAAGTAGTATCTCAGGTGGTTTTGATTTATATTTCTCTGAAATATAAATTATGTTGAGCATCTTTTCTTGTGCTTATGGGCCATTTGTATATCTACTTTGAAGAAATACCTTGATCCTTTGCCCATTTTTTAATTGGATAATGTGTCTTTGTTATTGAATTGTAATAGTTTTTTATTCCTTATGTAAGTTTTTTTATCTGATAGATGATTTGCAAAAATTTTCTCCCATTCTGTGGGTTGTGTTTTCACTTTCTTGGTGGTGTGCTTTGAAGCACAAAACTTCTAATTCTGATAATGTCCCGTTTATGTATTTTTTCATTTGTTGTGCATTTGATGCTGTATCTAGAAAATCACTGCCTAATTCAAAGTCACGAAGATTTAAACTTGTGTGTTCTTCTAAGAGTTTTATAGTTTTAGCTCTTACATTTAGATATTTGACCCATTTAGAATTAATTTTTATATGTGGAATGAGGTAAAGGGCCAACTTTATTCTTTTGCATGTGAGTATTCAGTTGTCCCAGTATCTTTTGTTGGAAAGACTATTCTTTACCCAATGCATTGTCTTGGCACTCTTGTTAAAAATAGGTTGACTATAAATGAGGGTTTATTTCTAGACTCTCAGTCTATTCACATTGATCTATATGCCTGGTGTTTTTGTTTGTTTTTTGACACAGAGTCTCACTTTCACCCAGGCTGGAGTGCAGTGGTGCGATCTTGGCTCACTGCAGCCTCCGCTTCCCAGGCTCAAGCAATCCTCCACCCTCAGCCTTCCAAGTAATTGGGATCACAGGTGGAAGCCACCACGCCTAGCTGATTTTTAAATTTTTTGTGGAGATGGGGTTTTTCCACATTGCCCAAACTGGTATCAAACTCCTGAGCTCAAAGTGATCTGCCTGCCTCAGCCTCCCAAAGTGCTGAGATTGCAGGCGTGAGCCACCATGCCAAGCCTACATGTCTGTCTTTATGCCAGTACTACACTGTCTTGATTTCTGTAGCTTCATAGTAAGCTTTGAAATCAAGAAGAGTGAGTCTTCCAACTTTGTTCTTTTTCAATATTATTTTGGGTATTCTGTGTCCGTTTCATTTCTGTATTTTAGATTCAGCTTGTCAGTTTCTGCAAAGAAGCCAACTAGGATTTTGAATGGAATTATGTCGAATCGGTAGATTAGTTTGGAGAGTATTGCCATCTTAATAATATTAAATCTGCTGATACATGAACATGGGATATGCTTCCATTTTTGTAGGTTTTTAATTTCTTTTGACAAACTTTTGTAGTTATCACAGTATGAGTTTTGCACTTCCATTGAATTTATTCCTAAGAATAGATGGTCCCCAGTTTATGATGGTTCAGCTTATGCTTTTTTTATCTTATAGTGGTACAAAAGCAATATATGTTCAGTAGAAACAGAACTTTAAGGACATACAACCATGCTGTTTTTCATTTTCAGTGCGGTCTTCAATAAATTACATAAAATAGGCTTTGTTTTAGGTGATTTTGCCCAACTGTAGGCTTACATAAGTGTTCTGAGCACGTTTAATGTAGACTAGGCTAAGCTATGATGTTTGGTAGGTTAGGTGTATTAAATGCATTTTCAACTTAAAATAGGTTTATCAAGTTTATTAGGATATAACCCCATTGTAAGTCAAGGAGCATCTGTATTCTTTTTACTGTCTTAAATGGAATTTTTATCTTACTTATTTATCTATCTATTTTGAAAGGTTCTCACTGCCACCTAGGCTGGACTGCAGTGGTGCCATCATGGCTCATTGCAGTCTCAATCTCAGGCTCAAGTGATCTTCCCATCTCAGCCTTCCGAGTAGCCCACACCACATGCACATGCCACCACAGCTGACTGAATTTTTAATTTTTTGTAGAGGTGAAGTCTTGTTACATTGTAAAGGCTTGTCTCAAACTCCTGAGCTCAAGTGGTCCCCGCCTCCACCTCCAAAAGCGCTGGGATTATAGGCATGAGCCACCGCGGCTGTTTTTTAAATTTTATTTTTGAATTGTTCATTGCAACCATATAGACAAACAATTGATTTTTTTTTTCATATAGATCTCATATCCTACAGTGTTACTGAACTTGTTTATTCATTCCAAGAGTGGTTTGTTTTGTTTGTTGGTTGGTTGGTTTTCTTTGAGATGGAGTCTCCGTCTGTTGCCCAGGCTGGAGTGCAGTGGTGCAGTCTCGGCTCACTGCAACTTCCGCCTCCTGGCTTCAAGCGATTCTCCTGCCTCAGCCTCCCAAGTAGCTGAGATCACAGGCATGCACCACGATGTCTGGCTAATTTTTTTATTTTTATTTTTATTTTATTTTATTTTTATTTTATTTTATTTTATTTTGAGACAGAGTTTCGCTCTTGTCACCCAGGCTGGAGTGCAATGGTGCGATCTCGGCTCACTGCAACCTCTGCCTCCCGGGTTCAAGTGATTCTCCTGCCTCAGCCTCCTGAGTAGCTGAGACTACAGGCGTGCACCACCATGCCCAGCTAATTTTTGTATTTTTAGTAGAGACGGGGTTTCACCATGTTGGCCAGGCTAGTCTTGAGCTCCTGACCTTAGGTGATCCGCCCACCTTGGTCTGCCAAAGTGCTGGGATTACAGATGTGAGCCACCAAGCCCAGCCTAATTTTTGTATTTTTAGTAGAGATGGGGTTTTCCTAGTTGGCCAGGCTGGTCTTGAACTCCTGACCTCAAGTGATTCACCCACTTCGCTCTCCCTCCCAAAGTGCTAGGATTATAGGCGTGAGCCACCTCGCCCGGCGCCAAGAGTTTTTTAGTGGATTCTTTAAGTCTTTCTGTACACAAGGTCATGTCATCTGCAAATAAAAATCATTTTACTTCTTCCTTTCTGTCTGGATGCCTTTCATTTACTCTGGATAGATCCTCCAGTAAAATACTAAATAGGAGTGGCAAGAGTGGACACACTTGTCTTGTTCTGATCTTAGGGGAAAGCATCCAGTCTTTCACCAGTAAATGATGTTTGCTCAGTTTTTGGTAGATGCCCTTTATCAGATGAGGAAGTTCTATTCTTTTTAATATATTTATCCCCAGCTACTCCAAATTCACCTAACAAGTCTTGTGCACCTAATAAATGGTCAATATATACATAATACATAAAACTTTTATGATCATTTAAATCTCCCTAAAAATGAATATGAACAAATCTATCACGTAATGAACACTTTCTTCCATTTTCTTTTCTCACAAAAGCTCTCTTAAATTTGGTGTTTGTTTTATGCTAAATAATTAAATAATTCTTTTTAGTGGCGTAACACACTGAATATACTTTAATTTTATTTTATGTTTCTGTCTCTCTGTTTTATCTTAGTATAAGAAAATCCTTGAAATTAGATAATTTCTAAAGGAAAGGGGTCTATTTAGCTCACAATTGTTGAGGCTAAAGGGGCCAAGATTGTTCAGCTTCATCTGGTCGACTTCAGGTGAGGGCCTCAGCTGTGTCATAACATGGCAGAGAAGCAGATGGGGAAGTGGGCATGTGTAAAGAGACCAAACAGTTGTAAGTGACAGACAGCCTCCCTTTAAAACAACTCACTCTCAAGGGAGCTAATTCAGTCCTGAGAGAGCGAGAATTCACTCCTGAGAAAGGTGTTAATACCTCTTAACAACCCTATCACCTCCTAAAGACACCACCTTCCAACACCACCACATTGGAGATGAAGCCACAGCATGAGCTTTGGTGGGGACAAACCATATTCAAACCATAGCAATTACCTACTGGGAAAAAAAGACTTATTCCTTCAGATACACTTACGAGGTGAACAAATTATTCCTACAGACTAACTGGTTAGTTTTCCAGTAACCCAGTTGGGCAAAATATTTTGTGACAGGCCAGGCGTGGTGGCTCATGCCTGTAGTCCCAGCACTTTGGGAGGCTGAGGTGGGAGGATGACTTGAGCCTAGGAGTTCAAAACCAGCCTAGGCAACATGGTGGGACCCCATCTTTCCAAAAAAAAAAAAAAATTTTTTTTTTAATTAGCCGGATGTGATGGCACACACCTGTAGTTCAGTTATGTTGGAGGCTGAGGCAGGAGGATCATTTGAGCCCAGATACTGAGTCTGCAGTGAGCTGTGATCATCCAGCCTGTGCGACAGAGTAAGACCTTGTCTCAAAAAAAATTTCTTAATGTTGTTGGTAGTATCTTAAGTTAGCATTTACAAAAAATGAATGTTCAGGGTCCTTCCTGCTCTAAAAGCAGCATGTTCTATAGACAACTAGCTACATCTGGGAGTTCTCATATTGATCATGGTTGTCTGTTCTTTCCCTCTGAGCACATTTGTCCCTGTTACATGGTAGACCCTGCTGATTTTTACTGTCAATGTCAGTGTTGCCCCAGTATATACAGATAAGGAAAAAATAAATTACAATAAAATTAGAGCCAGATGTGAAATGACCAATGTTTCAAATAAATGAAGGAGGATGGAGTTGTTTGTCTCGTTCTCTCTTAAGGCTATATATGTAGTAGCTATCTGGGGAAGGAATTTTGGAGGAATAACATGGAGTCCTCATGGGAATAAGGATATTACAAATGTAAACAGGTACCTAAGCACTCCTTGATCACGTGACGTTGTTGAATATTTTAGGCACACTTTCTTTTGGAGTGCAGTGGCATGATCTCGGCTCACTGCAACCTCTGCCTTCCAAGTTCAAGCGATTCTCCTGGCTCAGCCTCCGGAGCAGCTGAGATTACAGGCATCTGCCACCATGCCTGGCTAATTTTTGTATTTTTAGTAGACACGAGGTTTTACCATGTTCACCAGGCTGGTCTCAAACTCCTGACCTCAAGTGATCCACCCACCTTGTCCTCCCAACGTGCTGGGATTGCAGGCATGAACCACTGCTCCTGGCCCACACTTTCTTTTTTACATTATTGTATCGTACGATTACATTTTTATATGTTTAAAAACTAATATTCCTCAATGCAATTCTACCTTATTTTTCAGATTTATACTATGGTGGGGAAGCTTTCTCTGTAGAGCAGCCACAGTCTTTTACTTGTCCCTATTGTGGAAAAATGGGCTATACGGAGACATCTCTTCAAGAACATGTTACTTCTGAACATGCAGAAACATCAACAGAAGTGGTAAGTGAAGCAGCAACCTTATGACTAAAATGATGTTGTAAAGTATATTATTTCTAACATTAATAAAGCTAGGTCACTGTCATCTGCTTCCTGCTCAGTGTAATGATACCGTTTGCATAGTTATTAAAATCATCTTTTAACAGCAAATTTTATACATCATGGGAGGCTGCATTTTTGCAAAATAATACCTCTTACTGTCCACACTGGGTTTCTTAACCTGTAGCTAAACCCACAGCATGGAGTCTTGACCAAATTCAGGAGCCCTTTATTCAATGCATTGTGAAAGGTTAAAAGGATGGCAACCTGCAGTGCATCTCTTGTTATAGTATCCTTGCTATCTGCTTAACTTTTCTTCTACAAGGAACTTCACAAGGAAATTTAAAAACCTTTGGTAGTATCATAATAATCCATTGTCACATCTCATTGTAGCATATCGCTGATCTTACCTGGTTTTCATCAGATCACATCTCTTGCTTCCTAGGTCAAGCTCTGGGGTCCCTAGAAGTTCTTCCTATCCTGATCTTTCCAGTGGCTAAAGGCCATGGACCCAGAATAATACACAAAGAAAGTCTTACCTTGAAAGCTTGTTGGATTTTTTACTTGACATCTGAGTCAGCATGCATCCACCTTCAAGAAATGATAAAGTACACCTAAGAGTCTCTCCCCCACCTCTTTACCATTGATAATAATAGGTAAAGTGAAGGCTTTATATGGAACTATAGATACTGAATTGGGAGAATTTTGGCACAGTAATTGCATATTGCATCAACTAATAAGCCCGTAAATGTACTCAAAACAAATTAATTGAAACCCAGAGAAATAAAGTAGCATGCTCAAGGACATACAGCTTAGTAAGGGGCAGGGGTAGGGGCAGGTGTTTGGACTCAGCTAGAGTCCCTCTGGGTTCCAGAGTCTCTACTTAACTCTGCTACAGCTATGCATATAATATAGGGTTACTTTTATTCCCACTGACACTGCTAGTTTGATGTTTGAAGTTGTTATAACATGTATAGTTCAAACAGTAGGTAAATTTATTTTTTATAGACATCAAGCCAAATTTTGCTGTCTTAACAGCTCAGAAATGCTCTGATCTTTTACCTAGGAGAGCCTCAGACTACTGTTGTCACATTTTATTACTATTCTTAGTTTATTCTTTTTATTCTGTAAAGTGACTTTGCTTCCTTTTGGTACAGTATGAAGAATCCTAACTCAGTTGCATCTCCATGCTGGTTGATGTGGAAAACTTGCAGTCATTTTTCTTTGATTTAATTTCTGTTAAGTTTGGGTCCTTTACCTAAATACCATAACACAAACATGGAGTTCTTATTGTAAATTAGGCATCCTTAAAATCATTATTAGACTGTGCACAGTGACTCATGACTGTAATCCCAACACTGGGAAGCTGAGGTGAGAGCATTGCTTGAGCCCAGAAGTTTGAGATTGGCCTGGACAACAAAGTGGGGCCTTGTCTCCACAAAATTTAAAAATTAGCTGGACGTGGTGGCACATACCTGTGGTCCCAGCTACTTGGGAAGTTGAGGTGGGAGAATTGCTTGAGCTCAGGAGGTTGAGGCTGCAGTGAGCCATGATTGTGCCACTGCATTGCACTGCAGCCTGGGTAACAGAACAAGACCCTGTCTCCAAAAAAAAATTATGTATTATTATATATAATATATAAATATATTAATAAATATATAACATTAATTGATAATATTTATTATTATATTTTGTTATTATTATCAGCCAATAGTCCCTAGTATAGTATTTTCATCACCCCTCAGGGGCAAGGCAACTCCTCAGTTTTCCACAACCTTGCCTCTGGTTGGTTTGCCCCATGCCCCCCCATCCCGCCCCTGAAAGTAAATACTCAAAATTTGTTGTTTACACTCTGGCATACCTGATACACAGTTTGAAAATTAAATACCCACCACCTACAAATGCTATCATGGTCTGTTTCTTGTGAGTTGTGTTTATGCCTTCATTAAGTTTCCAGGCTTTTGGTACATAGCCCAAGGCAGTTGTCACTCTATTTTCATATTGGTTTTTGTGGAATATTTTAAGGATTTATCTCTCCTCATTAGCCCTTAATCTTTGCATGAGTACTATATCTACATATGTTCCCACCCATACACCTAGACATTTCAAAGTGAAAAATGGCAAGCAGATAAGAATCTTTAATATAAAAGTACAGGATTTCTTCAGGTCATGTGGGTCAAGTCCTAGAGGCAGGGCTGGCATTCAGCAGGTACAGCCAAGTGTAGCATGCTGACTAGTGTCCATTCTGAAGGATTGGTGCCTATGCCATACCAGTTGTTAAGTGTTTTGAATGCCTCTCTGCATATATGTGAAACATACTATCAGCTCCAGTGTGCTACAGTTATATGTAAATGTCCAGGTGATATTACTGTGTGTCCCCTCTCACCCCTCAATGTTTTGCATTTTTTAATTAGGGAATTCAAGAGTGATTTACATCATTTTGGTTTAGGGGATTATATCTACACAGCAACTTGCTATATATCTCCTTTTCTATTCCTCTTAACATATTCCTTTCTAAATGCTCTGTTTGCTATCTTGCTTTGCCCCACGTTACCTGCATGTGTCCTCTAGACCAGGGTTCCCCAACCCCTGGGCCACGGACGGGACCAGACTAATACCCGTCCATGACCTGTTTGGAACCAAGCCACAGAGCAGAAGGTGAGCAGTGGGCCAGCGGACATTACCGCCTGAACTCCACTCCCTGTCAGATCAGCAACATCATTAGATTCTCACAGGAGCGCAATCCCTTTTGTGAACTGCCTTCTGATTTCTTTGGAATTATTTTTCAGTGTAGCTAAATTATATTAATACTATTTCAAGTTTTGTGAATTCCCAAGATGTCATCATACACATAAATTTTTGTACAAGAACCATGTTTAAAAGTAAAACATAATTGCTTTTTAGGACTTTCTAAATTACTTGTAAATGCTGCTCTTTAGAAGCCAGTGACAAATCTAACTTCAGCACTATGATGGGAGAATGGAATCGACAGGGAAAATAATTTAATATGAAGTAATTCACAATTATAAGTTAATTTCACTTATAATTGAACACTTACTATAACTGTTCACTGCAGCAACAGAAAATTAGACTGTAATCTAGTTGAACAGTATGCTCACTCAACTCTTGAAAGGACCTTTATTTATATTGGCAAAATGGATGGCCAAGGTGCAGGTAGCTACAAGCTAGACGGTTCTACAAGGCCCAAAAGGAGTTTCTTGACCACATAGCATAGATCATCCACTAGTCCTTTATGTATATTCTCCAAGCAAAACTTGAATTTCAGTCTTGTATTCATTATATCTGCAGATTTTGTAGGATCAACTAATACTTTTAATTGGGCAGGAGATCCAAAAGCCTGAAGTTGTCATTGGCCGTGGCATTTAGTTAACTCAGTAGAATGTCTTTCTTCTTCTTCTTCTTCTTTTTTTTCTTTTTTTGTATAAGCACTAAAGTATAATATGTGTCAACAGGTTTTGTATGATGGCTTTAAATTTAGATGGCTCTTTTTGGGTCATCACTCTTCTGTGGAAAAACTGTTTTAAACCCCATTCCCCCCATTGTATTGCAGGTGATCAGAAAATCCCTTGGCATAATAAGCCTGGGTGTTTCTGTAGCTGAGTTCTAAGAGCCGCTCAAAAGCAGAGACGTGAATTGTACCCCAGTTTGAAGAAATAATGAAAAATACCAATTTAAAAAAAATATTTTGGTAGAGACTTCGTCTCACCGTGTGGCCCAGGCTGGTCTCAAACTCTTGTCTGCAAGTGATCCCCCTGCCTCATTCTCCCAAAGTGTTGGGGTTACAGGCATAAGCCACTGTGCCCTGCCCCAATTTTGGCCCCAGTTTTTAAAAAGAGATGAAATTCATATGAACTTTAATGTTGGCAGGAACTATGCTCATTTCTTGATAATGTTTTAAACTAAAGTGTTAAGTTAGTTCTGATTTGGTACTCAGTAAGTGCTTAACGGATTAGTCCATGGTAACAAAATTATATAATATAACAAATTTAGCCAGTCAGAACTTTAACTTTACCAACTTACCTGGATTTCATAGCATAGATCCTTGAACTAGAAATAGGAATGTGGTTATAAAGAATAGTTTTTAAAGCTGTGAATAGTACCCATCGAGAGAATGCTGTCTGCTGTAGTTGTATTAGTTCAAGAGAGAGGCCAGAGGAAATCCAAACTTGCTTTAAAATGGTTGATAATTGTATGGGGAAAAATGTGTGGAGCTGTTGTTTTTAAAAAAAAAATCAGGCATGCTGACTTTAGGTGCTTTCATAGAGGAAAAGTTCTGTATATTCAGCAGTGATTCGGTGTTTATATGTGGAGTAATGACTTCAGAAGGTATATTTTAAAGACATTGGCAACAAACTGTGCTATAATGTGTCCTAACTGGTTGCTGGCTGGTAGTCATGCCCTGGAACCATGTGGAAAAATGGAGACTCTGTACGTTCTTGGGATGGGACCTCATCTCAATTGGTAAAGGCTTCCAAAGGGGCTGCAGATAAAAAGCAAGACTGATGGTGACCCTCAGTGGCAAGGTGAAGGAGAAGAGGAAACTCGAGCAACAGCAGAGACGACACTGAGAACAGCAAGGACATTTGTGAATACAAATGTTTTTTCCTTTTTTTTTGGAGACAGAGATTTTGCTCTTGTTGCCCAGGCTCGAGTGCGATGGTGCGATCTCGGCTCACTGCAACCTCTGCCTCCCAAGTTCAAGCAATTCTCCTGCCTCAGCCTCCCGAGTAGCTGGGATTACAGGCATGTGCCACCACGCCTGGCTAATTTTTTTTGTATTTTTAGTAGAGATGGGGTTTCACCATGTTGGCCAGACTGGTCTCAAACTCCTAACCTCAGGCAATCCATCTGCCTTGGCCTCCCAAAGTGCTGCGATTGTAGGCGTGAGCCACTGCACCTGGCCCAGATGATTTATATTCTTAGCCAAATTAAAGAAATACTGACTTAAGCCAGTTAAGTAAATCTTAATTGACAAGTTGTTGTAATTTTAAGCTTGTGTGTTACATGGAATGTTTCCATATGAATAATAGATATTACTCTATCGTGTGGCAGTGGAAGTATGATAAATATTAATGTTGACAAGCTGTCATAATTTTAGGGTCAGTACCCTAAAGTTACCCTTTGTGTCGAGTTTTCCTGTCCTGTAAGAGATATTAGGCACCATGATGTAGAAATAAAGACACACTCAAAACTAAGCAGTATTTGTGCCCATGAGTGGCACAGTGGCTTGCTTTGTCTCTCCTCCCACTCCCCACCACCTCTTTTCCATTTCTCCTGCCCCGCTTTGCTCTCCTTTTTCTTTCTTCGTCTTGTTCCCTTCATTTCCTCTCAGAAAACACAGTCTTGAGAACAAGCATTTTTGTCTTAAAGCATGAGTTAGCTTGCTAAATATAAAATGTAAAACCTAAAAGGTGACCAGGCCTCTGTGATCGCATCAGCATCTGAGCTTAGTTTTCCTTTCCAACTCCTCATTTGAGTTAACTTCATGTGACCCAAGTGTGGCAACATCTTCCACTTGGTTCTAAATCTAGCCTCTTGATTTTCTTTTTTCTTTTCTTTTTTTTTTTTTTGAGATGGAGTCTCTGTCGCTCAGGCTGGAGTGCAGTGGTGCGATCTTGGCTCACTGCAACCTCCGCTTCCCGGGTTCAAGTGATTCTCCTGCCTCAGCCTCCTGAGTAGCTGGGATTACAGGCGTGTGCCACCATGCCCAGGTCATTTTTGTATTTTTTAGTAGAGATGGGGTTTCACCATGTTGGTCAGGCTGGTCTCGAACTCCTGACCTTGTGATCCACCCACCTCAGCCTTCCAAAGTGCTGGGATTACAGGCATGAGCCACCGTGCCTGGCCTAGCCTCTTGATTTTTCTATGCCAGCTGTCAACCTGGGTGATCCTCCCACCACAGTAATTTCTTATCCTCAGTAATTCTTTATCCCTAGTAGTTATGGAAGTTTGGTTGGTTGATTGGTTGGTTTTATATTATTTCTCTTTGAATGAAGCAGTTCTGAATACCTTCATCCTGCCATCTTAGCAGAATTACTGCAATGAAATAAAAAAGATTTTGAGTATAGAACCAAAGTCAATACACGATAAGGAAGGATCTTGATTTTATTTTACATCCTTGTCTCGAAGGTGCTTTTCTACTTGTTAAATTATCTATCTTATTAGGACATTCTTTGTACGTTTGATGTCTCTGCTTCCCATTCTGTTTTCCTTCTAGGAATCTATATCCTTGTGGAGACTTTTCTCATCTACCAACATTTTTATGTCCCCTCAAGTACTGAAGCCTTTGCAGCTATCATTGGACAGCTCAAGTTGTTTATAGATTTTACCCGAAGGCCAATCTAAAGGAAAGTATCTTAGAAGAAAGATGCCTTTTCCTTTTGGTGGTTATTTTCTCTTTAAATAAAAATCTTATACAGCCTTATAATATTGTAATAAAACTATAACCCAGCACTTGTTAACTTTTTCAGAATGATGAGTCTCTAAGGTAGCTTGTTTTATTTTTAAATAACTGGAACTTGTTTTCTGTTTCTCCAAACATTGCTGGTCTTTTTTTTTTTTTTTTTTTTTTAAAAAAAGCAAGTCTGGCCGGAGTTTAAAACCAAAGACAAATCACATTGTCCTGCATCTCTCAAAGAGTTTACAGTTTAGCTAGGTAAGACCAGAAGCACGTGAAAAGTAAAATATGTATATCAGACATAACCAGGTAATGTCAGAGTACAGGAATGGTACAGATAGTAAAAGTTAAATCCCTAGTAAAGAGAGAGTGGATGGATAATCTGTAAACTTTGACACATACAGCTACTTTTCTGACAGAGGAAAGAATCTGACCACCTTCCTGGCATCTTCTAAGAAAGGCATAGGCAGGTCTATCTACTTCTTTTTCTCTTTTGCCTCATCACATTCCATTGTGACCTGTCTAGTTCTTCTGCACACTGTCATGCTTAAATGTTATTTCTCATGAACATATTTAGGTTTTCCTGAGGATATTTCTCAGAGTCCTGAGTCACATAATCAGGACAGCTGATTAGGCATAAGAGAGACTGATATCAAATCAGAGTTGAACTCTCAGGAGACTTCTGCTTTCTAGTTGTTAGAAGATGGAAAGTTATGTTTGTTTGGGCTTCAGGAATCAGAGCAGTTTGTTTTCCCTCCGTACCCCAGGATTGTCCTTCCAAGTCTCACCTTTTCCATCTCCCCTCATCTCCAGCGCTACCACCTACTCCCACTGTGCTGGCAGCAGACAATAAGGTTGACCAATTGCCTAGATTTTGCCTAAGTGAAAGAATTTCGGCACATGTACTGGCAATGAATCACATATCCTATCTTTAACCTTCTTATTTATGGATAAAGACACAAGTCTACAACTTGAACTGTGCACTTCCTGGGGCTCCTTTTGGTCATGCCCCTTGCTTCAGACCTTTCTTCTTGGCCCTGTTCTTTAAGATTGAAGTTGTTCATACTTCAAGGCTTGGCTACCATTGTTAGAACATTATCTGTCCATTTGAATTTCGGAAGAGTAAGGGCCTTTCCTCTTTAAAACGTTCCTCATTCTTTCTAGCCTTCCCCTCTCCTTCCCTCTGTTTCACCAATTCTGTTAACTATAGAAACCACCTTCCCAACCTGTCACCCGCTCCCCGAACTGTGACTGTGTACACACCATTTTATTCCTACTTTCTCCCATCTCTTGCCAAGAGGCCCATGGAAAGTTGTTCTACTACTCCTTGAGCCTGACCTGGTTACAAGCTTCTGGCCTACCACCCCATTTCTTCAGGAAATAAGGTTTAAAAATGGGCTTCCATACCATATTCCCCTTGGAAGTCACATTCATAAATTTATAGACCACATTTGCATATTATCAGTAATCATAATTTGTCTTACATTCAACATGTCTGTTGAATGTTTGCACAGTTGCATTTAATCAGATCTCTGCTGTCTTATTTGGGAATTGGCTCTCAAGTATAGCTTGCTTTGGAGAAGTGTGCCATAGGCTTGTATCTGTCTTTACCATTCAAGACTGGACTTACACGTAAATGTGCACTAAATAGCACATTTTAAAGTTTTTTTTAATGGAAACTATTTTGCTAGACCATACAAATGAATCAGGCAGGCTGTTAGAAGGCCCTGCCAGAGATCAAGTTTGGTGTGTCTGAAACTGTTGTGTTTGACCCTGAGGGACCTTGTGTGAACAGTTCTTGCTTAGGTTTCTACTGCTTTTCACTGATTTAGGATCTGCTGTGTTTTCTGTTGGTTAAAACTTGATAATAGTAAAACTTACAGCAGAATACTCGTCCAGAAAGATGTCTTATTGACGTTCATTTATTAAGCTGCTTTCTTTACTTCCATTTCAGATTTGTCCAATATGTGCAGCGTTACCTGGAGGCGATCCTAATCATGTCACGGATGACTTTGCAGCTCATCTTACACTTGAACACAGAGCCCCTAGAGATTTAATATCCTTTTAAGAGATGACAAGGAAAAGAGTTGTTTGTAATGTTTGTCATTTTGATTTTTTGTTTTGGAGACAAGATCTCGCTGTGTCGACCTGGCTGGTCTCAAACTCCTGAGCTCAAGTGATCCTCCTGCTTCAGCCTCTTGAGTAGCTGGGACTATAGGCACACATGTGCCACTGCATCCAGCTTGTCATTTTGATTTTTTTTAAGGATCATATCCCCCAAAAGAGGAAAAGTAATGTCCAAATTATTTTTACTTATTTGAACTTTTCCTAAAAGTGACTCAGTGCTGAGATGCAATTTATTTCTCTTTTTATATACTATCACCATTGTATGAACCATTTTCATTAAGTGAAAGTTGACTTGTCCTTCATCTTTAGTTCATTACAATTAGATTTTTTTTAAGGCAGTTTGACCAAATTGTGTCTTCCAGGATGGCGTTTTCATACAAAAGAGGAAAATGTTAATCCAAATTAAAATTTAATTAGTTAAATATGAAGAGGCATTATTTGCTTTCCCTCTCTGTTCCTCTGCTGCCTTACCCTGTTGTGGGTGTGGTGTGGTGAGATGGTGGGGACAGGTGTGCATCTTGGTGTTCCTTTCCTTTTTGGGGTCCCCTTCTCCAGAGAGAGCCATTTCCTGCCGAGTTCCTGAGTAGGATAGCATAAGGTCAGCTCTAGCTTTAAATTTCCTTTCCTGCTTTTCTTTTCTTTTCTTTTTTTTTTAAAAGTCGGAGTCTTGCTCTGTCAGCCAGGCTGGAGTACAATGGTGCTATCTTCAGCTTATTGCAACCTCCACCTCCTGGATTCAAGTAATTCTCCTGCCTCAGCCTCCCAAGTAGCTAAGATTACAGGTGCCCGCCACCACACCCAGCTAATTTTTGTATTTTTAGTAGAGATGGGGTTTCACCATATTGGCCAGGCTGGTCTCTTGGCCATGCTGGTCTTGAACTCCTGACTGCCTGCCTCAGCCTCCCAAAGTGCTGGGATTACAGGCATGAACCACTGCGCCTGGCCAATTTTTGTATTTTTTTAGTAGAGATGGGGTTTCACCATGTTGGCCAGGCTGGTCTCGAACTCCTGACCTCAGGTGATCTGCCCACCTCAGCTTCCCAAAGTGCTGGGATTCAGGCGTGAGCCACCACGCCCAGCCTCTTGCTTTTATTTCTGCATTCCCTTCCTTGTCTCTCAACAGTTTCTGGCAGTGTTCCCTGAGATTACTGGCCTACCAGAGCGATTAATTTTGTGGACTCAATGCTTCTGATTTCAGGTTATGAATTGTTCGTCTAAAACTGTCACCAGCTGGGTACAGTGGCTCATGCCTATACTCCCAGCACTTTGAAAGGCCAAGGTGGGAGGATCACTTGAGCCTAGAAGTTTGAAACCAACCTGGACAACATAGGAAGACCCCATCTCTACCAAAATAATGAGCTCAGCTGGTGGCACACACCTGTGGTCCCAGCTACTCAAGAGGCTGAGGTAGGAGGATCACTTGAGCCCATGAGCTCAAGGCTGCAGTAAGCTATGATTGCACCACTGCACTCCAGCCTGGCAACAAAGTGAGACCCTGTCTCAAGATACATATATATATGTATATATAATCATAATATAAAATTATCAAATATATAAATATGATCATATCACTTTCTCTAGAACCCAAACCATCCTCATGAATATGATGGAACAGGGCATGTACCGTGACACCTGAAGGCCTCTTGGAGCTACCCATCCGGTCCTTAAATAACTCCAGAACCATCAGCTGAAAAACTGAGAAGCCAGCCAAAAAATTAATCTGCATTATAAAGCTGGTCTGTTTGGTACTTTAAAGGAAAAATCTCTTCTATATGATCTGGCCTCCCCCACCTCTCATTTGCCTTTGTGGAAACGTAAGGTTGTCTTCATGAGTTTTGACAGCTATTTGCAACTCAGGACCTTTTTCAGTTTGACTTACACTCAGCTGTGTAAGACGGTTGAGGCTGCTGGGAATTTTTCTTCGTGATAAATGTCATGTTAATCTATCTGTGTGTCTTATACAAGAAATGCAAATCTGTTTTCTGCTTAGCAGCGGCATTGGAAAGAAGCTTGAAGACAGAGTAAAACTAATAATCCAAAAGGAACCTTTGATGTGCTGAATATACATTCAGTATTGTTCCTTTTTCATTATAGGTGGTATTTGAGATTTCATGAGCTATATAGAGAAACTTTTTTACCTCACACACCCAATACACACACACACACTCACATGTTGCCTTACATTTGAGTGTCTTTTTAGGGTTAATAGCCCTCATAGATAGAGTTGGGACATTTGCACTTTAAGTTAAATGTGCTGTTTTTAAATGCTTACAATTCAGGAAATCTTTACATCTGTCTAGCAAGGACTCAGGTGATTTTTTTTCTTTCTGTGAAATACTTTCGTTTTTTTCTTAACTTTTGGGTTATGATGAATCGAGTGGTGTTCGACATGTACGTAGAATGTTTCACCCTGGCCGGGGATTAGGAGGTCCTCGTGCTCGTAGATCAAACATGCACTTTACTAGCAGTTCTACTGGTGGACTTTCTTCTTCTCAGAGTTCATATTCTCCAAGCAATAGGGAAGCCATGGATCCTATAGCTGGTAAGTTAGTTTCACATTAATAAGGGAAATGGCAGGGGAAGGAGGAGCTCCTTTTAAAACTTTTTGTGATGCCAGGTGCGGTGGCTCACACCTTTAATCCCAGCACTCTGGGAGGCTGGAGCGGGTGGATCACTTGAGGCCAGGAATTCAAGACCAGCCTGGCCAACATGGCAAAACTCCATCTCTACTAAAAATAAAAAAATTAGCCAGATTTGGTGGTGGGTGCCTGTAATCGCAGCTACTCTGGATGCTGAGGCATGAGAATCGCTTGAGCCTGAAAGGTGGAGGTTCCAGGGAGCCGAGATCGCACCACTGCAGTCCAGCCTGGGTGATGGAGTGAGACCCTGTCTCAAAAAAAAAAAAAAAAACTTTTTGTGAGATTTGTGTTCTTAAGTCTCACCTCTCTGATCATAAGCCATGTTCCTTCACAAAATTCCCAAATACATTAAAAGTGTAAAATGTGTTAAAAGCAGACACTTAACATAAAGTAATTCATACTCTTCTGGCATTGCTTAAGTCCAGTAGTCCCCCCGTCATGTGGTTTTGCTTTCCTGGGTTTCAGTTACCCACAACCAACTACAGTCAAAAAATAGGTGAGTACAGGACAATAAGATACTTAGAGAGAGACCACATCACATAACTTTCATAGTATATTTTTAGATTTACTCTATTTTGTTGGGAATCTCATGTTCCTAATTTATAAATTAGGTGCCTAATTTATAAATTAAACTTTAGCACAACAGATAAGTATGTATAGGAAAAAACATAGTATGTATAGGGTTCTGTATTATCCAAATGCCCATTTCAGCCATTCACTGGGGGTTTTGGAACGTATCTCCTGCAGGTAAAGGGAGACTACTGTTCTTAGAGACAAAAGATGATAAGAAATGGTTTTATGTTGTATTTGTGGCCTCTATTGAAGCCCAAGGAAATCATAAAAGATTTCAACTTGAATACCTCCAAAATGTCATGGTTAAATCTCCATAAGTACACATAAAAAAATGTCCAAAGCACATTTGAAATTAAGGTTTTATAAGGTATAGCTAACATTTTTAAGAACATGTTATGTGTAAAATTCTGTCACAGATTTATGCCTATCTCAGATGTTGTGCAAGGCGCCTCATGGCTTCCAGGTACACATTCCACCACATGGACACATTTCAGAACTGTTATCTATAGCTAATTGAAAAGACTAAAGAATTAAGCTCTTCTCATGGAAGAAAGGAAAGTAGGACTTAATGTCCTGACCTTGATTTGAGAACTATATTGTTGTAGAACATACTGAAAGGTACATGTTTAATAGCTTGGGAAAAATCTTAAAAAAAAAAAAAAAAACACAGTTTTTGAACCTGGCCATGTCACTGAGTCTAGTACATGACAAACCTAGGAAGTTGGTAGCAGAACACAGGGTCAAAATAAAATACAAGAAATCACTGTAGCCTGATAATCTGCAAGACACACCAAGCAGACAAGTGGTAAGACAGTGGGAAGTGTGCACACATTTAAAGCAACAATTCTGAAATGTGTCCATGTGGTGAAGTGTGCACCTACCTGGAAGCCATGAGCACCCTGCAGAACACCTGAAACATTGATAAGTGTAAATCTGTAATAGAAACTGAGAACATCAGAGCTAAATGACAACTTAGGAACACAAAGGAGGAGACAGCAGACACTGGGGGAGGGTAGCAAGAGAGAGAGGAGCAGAAAGATAACTGTTGGGTACTGGGCTTAATTGGGTCCTGGGTGATGTAATAATATGTATGACAAACCCTCGTGGCAGGTGTTTAACTGTGTAACGGACCTTCACATGTACCCCCAAACCTAAAATAAAAATTTAAAAAAGAAAAACAACCTAAGAACAATTTTATACCTATCATGTTATTTAAAAGTTAGATATACCATATAAAATTTTAATTCCAAATGTGCTTTGGACATTTGTGTGTGCAACAACAAAAACAAGCCTAATAAACTGAGTTTGGGGGATTTAAAAAATATTTCTTCATCCAAAGGGAATATTTACCTGCTATTTTGGTGGCAGGCACTAAAAATTAAAGTAGTTTCTGGGAGCAAAATTCAAAATTGAGAAATTTTCTTCATTTGATTTTTTTTCTGTCAGTGAAAATTAGTTTATTTTAGTGATAGACTGTATATTCCATGAAAGAGTGGTATAAGAGTGCTATAAAAAGCCTGGGATAAAGCAACAGTGAGCAAGAAAACAAACTGTTAATGAGTTTTAATGATAAAGAGTTTTTGCTGGCCTGAAAGTGTCTGCAAGGCAGTCATCGATTCCCTATAAGCGAGGTGGACCCTCCACTTGGAAGAAGGCATTTCACTGTACCTTACTTAGATGAGGATGCGGGGACAAAAGTTTACACCTCTCTTAATGAGTACAGCCTTATGGACACAAGACAGTCTGGATCATAACAGGCCACTAAGTAGGCTGTACAGTCAGATGCAGCAGGTTCTCAGGAGCCAGTCAGCCTTGCTGAGCACTGGTAGTGGTATCTACTGCAGTGGTACTCTGAAACAGCAGTACCAGAAGGTACTAGAGGGAGAAAGCAGAGGCAGAGAGTGTGCAAGGGCCACCATCAGAAATGATCCAGGCCTCTTGGACTGAATCCTAATAATTCATTCAGTCATTCAGTAAATGTTTGAATTCCTGCTATATCAGGCCCTGTTCTGATAGCTGGGAATATAGTCAACAGTAGACCTCATCCCTGCTTCCATGGAACACATATTGAGAGAGCTTATATTATAATTGGGCCCACAGATAAACCACTTCATTAAATACTAAGAGAAAGCTTCACTAAATTAGTCTATTATGCAAATAATTTTAAAGACAATTTAAGTTTTACTTCAAACATAATTCAGTCTGGGTTAATATTCGTATGCATTTGCATTCTCTGTCCACAGTAACTCCTGCCTTCAGGAGGCATTCTAGAAGGATTCAGCTCTTAAACTGTGTGCTGTGGTGGTTACCTACCTGTTCACAATGCTTTTGATGTTGTTCCAGTAAAAGAGTGATCTGTAGCGTTTTGTTTTCCTCAGTATTAAGCAGACATTAATTGTCTTCATTTCCATTGGCAGAGCTTTTATCTCAGTTATCAGGAGTGAGACGTTCTGCAGGAGGACAGCTTAATTCCTCTGGCCCTTCCGCTTCTCAGTTACAACAACTGCAGATGCAGCTGCAGCTAGAACGGCAGCATGCCCAGGCAGCACGGCAACAACTGGAGACCGCACGCAACGCAACCCGGCGTACTAACACAAGCAGTGTCACCACTACAATCACACAATCCACAGCAACAACCAACATAGCTAATACAGAAAGCAGTCAGCAGACTCTACAGAATTCCCAGTTTCTTTTAACAAGGTAGCTCATTTGTTAATAGAATTTTGTTTGGGAAGTAATATTTTATTGCCACTACAGTCTGGAATTATCTTTTCTCTTTTGTGCATTATATTTCTTTAAAATTTTGTGTTTGATTAAAACTCACAGATCTCTGATTAAAACGCATATTCAGTATTTCCCCAAGAATGTGAAACATAGTAATTATTTTAGATAAATTAAGAATACTGGGCCAGACCCAGTGGCTCACACCTGTAATCCCAGCACCTCACACCTGTAATCCCAGCACTTTGGGAGGCCAAGGCAAGCAGATCGCCAGAGCCCAGGAGTTCCAAACCACCCTGGGTAACATGATGAAATCTTATCTCTACAAAAATGAGCCAGGTGTGATGGTGCGCACCTGTAGTCCCCGCTACTCAGGAGGCTGAGGTGGGAGGATCGCTTGAGCCCTGGAGACAGAGGTTGCAGTAGCCAAGATTGCACCATGCACTCCAGCCTGGGTGACAAGAGTGAGACCCTGTCTCTAAAATAAAATAACTGGTCTTGTTCTCAAGGTATATATCATCATATAATATGAATTGTTTTGCCATAGTACCCATAAAACTTAAACACTATATCATTATATATATATGGTTCATATTAGGTGTATTTATCATAATTAACGTTGCTTGTTATTGCCAGTTTTAATCTGCTTTGAAATATTAAAAGTATAAGAAGGATTTCATAATACAGTGGCAGTTTTCTCCTGTGAATTTCTAAAAAAGCTAGATTTAAATTTTTATGGTTGGCACACAAAAGTAACTTAAAAAAATGGCTTCCTATGGTATAAATAATATTTAGTAAAACAGTAAACTACTCTACTAGATGGAGTTCTTGTTTGCTTCTGAAACTGTTAGCAACTGCATGTATTTGTCTGCCAAAACTTCACAGGCATTTTATGTGACTTTTAGGAATATAAAGAATTCTTAAAAGAGCAATGATGAGTGGAGACTTAGCCTCAACAGATAATGAACCTGGACTAATTGGGCTTTTAAGGGAGCAGAGAGGAACATAAAGGAAGAACTGTAAAATGAAGAATAAAGTTTGTGTAATACATGATTATTTCCAAAATGCAGTGTGTATGACAATTCATTGGGATGTTAGAGGAAAATATTATAATTTCTACTTATGTTTCTTTTATCTCATACTCTGTTAATACAGTGGTGCATGTGTATAGTTATAAATAACATATTGTGGGTGCAGAATAAAAAATGCTTGAAAATCCCTGGGCTAGAGCCCCAGCTTTGCCAATTACAAGTTTTGGACCTCAGGCAAGTCATTTCACTCCTCCAAACCTCAATTTTATCATCAGTATCCCAGAAGTTTTGCCTTTAGAGAGATAATTATTTTGAGGATTAAATGGAATACTGGTATGTGTATGGTCTGGCTCACTATCTGGCCTATAGTAAAGGTCCAATTAATGGTACTCGTTATCAACATTTGTTATGAAACCAAGAAAAACATTTTAAATGGGTAATTTACCTTTGAATTATCTCTGCAAGGTCAGTAACTGTGCCTGGTTATTACCAGATAATGCTGCTTTAATGTAAGAAAACCACAGAGCCACAGATGGAGCTACCTGCTGCCATGTAGCCTTCCCCATAGGGACTGACCAGCAGCAGGTCTATAACATACCAGATCTAAGTCCCTACCTCAAAAAGGAGATCTACTAGCGTGCATTTCTACTGAGAGTTCACAGAACTGTGGGTGGAATGTCTTGCCAGTGCCCTTTGGAAAAGACATCTTCCTACCCACCCTTGCCCTATCCTTTTTTTTTTTAAGACCCAAACTACTCAGCTTGATCTGTAATTTTTTTCTGTGCATTTATTCCACACCCAACTCTCAGAGCATGGTATGAGTGACCTCTGAGTGCTGTCTGTGGATTCTGGTTGTAGCTTCTTGAAATCCCCCTTCTATCATCTGATACTGTACATTCTATGGTACCATGCAGTTTGCAAACCACTTTCCACATCTTTTATTGTATTATATTCATATGATTTATTTAAGGCAATATTTCCCCAGAAATACTCTCTTAACTTCATATATTCAAAGGAATATATGTAATTACTTATGTTCTTCCACCCCCAATTAATAAGGTTGCAGAAAGCAAAGTAAGGAAAATTAAGAGATTATTTACTGTTGGGCTTCTTAGAACTTCAAATATATTAACATGCATTGTGAATTTTCAAGGCAAGGAGAACGGCTGCAGTGTATGCAGGGGAGATCCTGCTCTCTGGTCACACAGCTCTTATGTGATATATATAGGGCCCAAGCCTTATTTTTGGTCTTTTCTTTGACCAGGGGCAGTTCCTATTCATGTTGCCCTGCAACTGATGGTAAGGTCACAGTTTCTTTGAAGTCCAAGATAGTTGACCTTTTAGAAAGTGATTATTGGAGTGTGTAAGTCAGATCGGTCTTTTTTTGAGATAGAATTTCGCTCTTGTTGCCCAAGCTGGAGTGCAATGGCACGATCTCGGCTCACTGCAACCACCGCCTCCCAGGTTTAAGCGATTCTCCTACTTCAGCCTCCCGAGTAGCTGGGATTATAGGCACGCACCCCCACACCTGGCTAATTTTTTGTATTTTTAGTAGAAATGGGGTTTCACCACATTAGCCAGGCTGGTCTCAAACTCCTGACCTCAGGTGATCCGCCCGCCTTGGCCTCCCAAAGTGCTGGGATTACAGTCATGAGCCACCGTGCCTGGCCAGATCTAATCTTTTGACAGTGGGACCAGTTCATTTTGCTAACCCCAACTTGAAGATCCTCACAAGCCTTGCAGTTTCATTTATATCCTAAATGTTATATTTCATCAAGAAATTTGTCTAGTCTCTGTGCAGATGAGCCAGGTTTCCCAGCATAGCCCAGATCTCATAAGTACATGCATCAGGGGAGCAAGTCAGGCAGGTAGACCTTGTGTCTGCCCTGCTACACTGTAGGTCCTTGGTAGAAGAAATGTAGGAGTTTGTATGTATGTGTTTTCTTGCCCTTTCTAGCTTCTGCATATACCAAGAAGAATTAAATAGAGTAATAGAGAAAAGTCAGAGGAAATCTTAGGATATTTTTCAGTTGAATATTCTGTTCACTGCAGATTTTGTTTTTGTGTTTTATTTTCCTCTTTTTATTTACCCCCAGATGAAATTCTGGTTAGATACTTTCCCAAGCATCTAATCTGTAAGAAATCCTGTTTTCCTTAGAAAATTTTCACCTAGCTTTCTCTGGAGTGGAAAAAGTCTAAATGTCTTTTTTTTTCTCATTGAGTCTAATTAAAGCATAGATTTGCACCTCCAGGTAACAGTATTGCAACAAGTGTGGGGAATTCGTCTCAACACAATTAAGGATAAATTACAGCCAAGTATTCCAGCAATGTCTCATTCTGAATTTTGCCACCTGTAAAACTTCACAGTGGAGAGCACTGTAGAAATTGGCCATGCCATTGTTCATTGACTTTTTAACAATAAGGTCTTTTCTTTTTAACTTACACAGGTTGAATGATCCTAAAATGTCTGAAACGGAGCGCCAGTCCATGGAAAGCGAGCGTGCAGACCGCAGCCTGTTTGTCCAAGAGCTCCTTCTGTCCACTTTAGTGCGTGAAGAGAGCTCATCCTCAGATGAGGATGATCGGGGGGAGATGGCAGATTTTGGTGCTATGGGCTGTGTAGATATTATGCCTTTAGATGTTGCTTTAGAAAACCTAAATTTAAAAGAGAGTAATAAAGGAAATGAGCCTCCACCACCTCCTCTTTGATGACATCCCAATTCGCAGACAATGTCCTCTGTGCTGTATTTGCCAATGAAAGTGGACAACAACTATCTTGGGTTTGTTTGGTGATTGTAATTTCAGGTCTGTCACTCTTGTTACATTGTGTACATTCAAAAGGAAGAGAGAAAATATATATGATAATCATTTCCACTTAACTAATTTTTACTTCTAGCAGGTAAATGTAGGTAGCAGTGCAGGGGTGATCTCTGCTTCCTGTACCTTGACATGCAAAAGGCTCTCCTAATACTCCACATTCAAACTGAAGAGGAAAATTGAAATCTCTAATGAAGCTGCTGTGTGTATTTATGAATATTAATGAATAAAAACTGCTTGGATGGTTTACCTTAACTACTGCATGAGGTTTTTTGCAGCGTGCATGAGTTTTAGTGACCTTGTTATTTAAGAAGTTAAATACAAGGAGTAAAACTTAAAAAAAAAATACAAAGCCCAAAGCTTTCCCAAACATTATTCAATGGTTACACGACGAAGTAGCTTTTGAATAATGTCTGCCTGAATCACCTTTCTTTGTGTGCCTCCTACGCACAAAGCCAGCTCTGCAGTGGAATCTGGGGATTATAGCCGGGTGTGGCACTCCGCCCTGTGTGACTGTCCTGTCGCCCTGTTAGTCATCTTGCCTGTGTGGAGCTCAGCCTGTCTCTTTAACTCATCTGTAGAAGACACACCAGTAAAGCTACTGTTGGAATCTGCTGCAGGGGCCTTTGTGTGCCCTAAAAACAAATCCTGTTCATGTTTGTTTAAAGTTTTTACTTTTTGTGGTTGTTTAAAATTTTTTCAATTGTTAAATATGTTTTATTCAGGTGTAGATGAATTTCATTTATTGACTGTTCAACAGAGTTAACCTGAATTATGTTGTCTTTGTTTTTAAAAATCTCACATTCTCAATCATATTTTGCATTATTTATGTATTTGCTTTGTAGTTTGCTGAGACAGATCAGTATCAGGGGAGCTTTGAGGATTTGCCTTCCCAGATTTGTCAGTATATTACAACCAAATTCTTAATGCTAATTTTAGCACCTTTTATTTATTGGGTTTTTTCTGGCATAAAAAGTAAAGCCTTTTAATTGAATCATGCCACCTATATGCCTATATTATTAATCCTATGTGTAAAAAAAATGTACAGCTTTTTTTGGGTTTGTTTTGGGGTTTGGAAGGGCCGGGTTATTTTTTATTTCCTGTTTCAGTTTTTGTGCATAGACTTTCACAATAGCTCCAAGGCAGGGACAGCGGGTTTGGGGGTTGGGAGGGCAGTTTTTGGAATGTAAATTTAGGACTTTTAAAAAGGTGCGCACAGCTTCTGATAAATTTATAACTAGACTTAACCTAATCATGTCTCGTTCCAGTTCTCTTTTCTCTGAGCCCTTTTCAAAGTCTCCTCTCTTTCTCCTGTCATCCTTTTCCTTTCCTGTCCGTGTATCTCCGTTTCTTCAACATGACAAGCATACAGACTTGAACACCCCTCCGGTGTTCTTCCGAGAACTGTGAAGTCCATGTTCATCCAAATGTAACCAAAAAAGAAGTCACCCTACATGTCTGAAAAACTGTTGCTTCTCCTCTGAAACTTCAAACTCCAACGATTTCCAAATACAATAGCTTTGTTTTCTTTAGTTCTGTAATGGATAATGTTTAAAGGAAAACTTTACACCAGGCTTCTGGTTACACTAGAAGTCAAGCCCATTAGGGATTTTCATTTTTTTTCATTTGGTTGTTGAGAAGTTTCAAAAATCAGTTTTCAAGCTGTGGTCTTTCAAACACATCTGCACATAAGTCACACATTTCAATAAAGCATTTTCAAGACTGTTGACCACTTGAATTTCTTTGGTGTTAGTGGATTAACCTAACCATTACTCTGAGATTTTATATCTCT